>NC_000009.12:41899725-42230335 GCF_000001405.40 Homo sapiens | reverse complement strand
TTCTATAAATGTTAGGTATAGTTTATAATGTTTTATTATTTTAAAAAATCACCATTCTGACTGGTGTGAGATGGTATCTCACTGTGGTTTTGATTTGCATTTCTCTAATGATCACTGATATTGAGCTTTTTTTCATATGATTGTTGGCCGCATGTATGTCTTCCTTTAAAAAGTATCTGTTCATGTCCTTTTCCCACTTTAATGGGGTTGGTTTTTTCTTGTAAATTAGTTTAAGTTCCTTATAGATGCTGGGTATTGGACCTTTGTCAGATGCATAGTTTGCAAATATTTTCTTGCATTCTGTAGGTTGTCTGTTGACTCTGTTGATAGTTTCTTTTGCTGTGCAGAAGGTCTTTAGTTTAATTAGATCCCATTTGTCAATGTTTGTTTCTGTTACAATTGCTTTTTGTGTCTTTATCATGAAATCTTTGCCTGTGACTGTTCTGAATGGTATTGCCTAGGTTGTCTTCCAGGATTTCTATAGTTTTGGGTTTTACATTTAAGTCTTTAATCCATCTTGAGCTAATTTTTTAATATGGTGTAAGGAAGAAGTTCAATTTCAATCTTCTGTATATGGCTAGCCAGTTATCCTAGCACCATTTATTGAATAGGGAATATTTTCCCCATTGCTTGCTTTTGTCAGGTTTGTTGAAGATCAGATAGTTGTAGGTGTGTGGTCTTACTTGTGGGTTCTCTATTCTGTTCCATTGGTTTATGTGTCTGTACCAATAATAAATTTGTACAAATAAATTTGTACCAGTACTATGTTTTTTGGTTACTGTAGCCCTGTAGTATAGCTCAAAGTCGGGTAGCGTGATGCCTCCAGCTTTGTTGTTTTTGCTTAAGATTGCCTTGGCTATTTGTGCTCTTATTTGGTTCCATATGAATATTAAAAGAGTTTTTTTTATAGTTCTGTGAAGAATGTCAGTGATAGTTTAACAGGCATAGCATTGAATCTGTAAATTGCATTGGGCAGTATGGCCATTTTAACAATATTGACTCTTTTTTTCTCTCTCTCTCTTTTGAGATGGAGTCTGGCTCTGTCGCCAGGTTGGAGTGCAGTGGCACAATCTTGACTCACTGCAACCTCCGCCTCCCAGATTCAAGCGATTCTCCTGCTTCAGCCTCCCGAGTAGCTGGGACTACAGGCGCACAACACCATGCCCAGCTAGTTTTTGTATTTTTAGTAGAGACGGGGTTTCACCATGTTGGCCAGGATGGTCTCAATCTCTTGACCTCATGATCTGCCCATCTCAGCCTCCCAAAGTGCTAGGATTACAGGTGTGAGCCACTGTGCCTGGCCAACAATATTGATTCTTCTTATCCATGGGCATAGAATGTTTTTCCATTTGTTTGTGCCTTCTCTGATTTATTTGAGCAGTGGTTTGTAGTTCTCCTTGTAGAGACCTTTCACCTCCCTTGTTAGCTGTATTCTTAGGTATTTTATTCTTTTTGTTGCAGTTGTGAATGGGAGTTTGTTCCTGATTTGGCTCTTGGCTTGACTTTTGTTGGTGTATAGGAATGCTAGTAATTTTTGCACCTTGATTTTGTATCCCGAGATTTTCCTGAAGTTGCTTATCAGCTTAATAAGCTTTTGGGTTGAGACTATGGGGTTTTCTAGAAATATGATCATGTCATCTGCAAACAGGGATAGTTGACTTCTTCTCTTACTATTTGAAAGTTCTTTATTTCTTTATCTTGCCTGATTGCCCTGGCCAGAACTTCCAATACTATATTTAATAGGAGTAGTGAGAGAGGGCAACCTTGTCTTGTGCCAGTTTCCAAGGGGAATGCTTCCAGCTTTTGCCCATTAAGTATGATATTAGCTGTGGGTTTATCATATATGGTGCTTATTCTTTTGAGGTATGTTTCTTCAATACCTAGTTTATTGAGAGTTTTTAACATGAATGAATGTTGAATTTTATTGAAAGCCTTTTCTGTATCTTTTGAGATAATCATATGGTTTTGGCCTTTAGTTCTGTTTATGTGATGAATAACATTTATTGGTTTGTGTAGGTTGAACCAACCTTGTATCCCGGGGATGAAGTCTAATTGACCGTGGTGGATACGCCTTTTGATCTGCTGCTCAATTCGGTTTGCCAGTATTTTGTTGAGGATTTTTACATCAACATTCATCAAGAATATTGGCCTGAAGTTTTTTGTTGTTGTTGTTGTTGTATATCTGCCAGGTTTTGGTATCTGGATGATGCTGGCCTCATAGAAGGAGTTTGGGAGGAATCCCTCCTCCTCAATTTTTTTGAATAGTTTTGGTATGAGTAATACCAGCTCTTCTTTGTACATCTGGTAGGATTCAGCTGTGCATCTGTCTAGTCCTGGGCCTTTTTTGGTTGACAGGCTACTTATTACTGATTCAAGTTTGGAGCTTATTTTTGGTCTGTTCGGGGACTCAATTTCTTCCTGGTTCAGTCTTGGGAGGGTGTATGTGTCCAGGCATTTATCCATTTCTACTAGATTTTCTAGTTTATATGCATAGAGGTGTTCATAATATTCTCTGATAGTTATTTGTATTTCTGTGGGGTCAGTGGTAATATTGCCCTTGTTGTTTCTGATTGTTTATTTGAATCTTCTTTCTTTTCTTTTTTGTTAGTCTAGCTAGTGGTCTATTTTAATTTTTTCAGAAAATCATCTCCTGGATGTCTCTATCTCCTTCAGTCTGCCTGTGTGCAGTTCTAGTTTCAGTCTGTTTCAGAGCTCAAGCTTGAATACATAAGAAGAAAGAAGAAGACTGAGAAGAAGGAGAAGGAGGGGTGGAAGAGGAGGAATAAGAGAGGAGAAATAAGAAGGAGAGAGGGAGGGAGGAAGAAGGGAAAGAGGAAGGATGATGAGAGGGAGGGAAGGAAAGAGGAAGGGAAGGAAGGAGGAAATCAAGTTAGGCAAATCACCGCTAGGTCATCCTTCAGGTCCTGAGCTCCATACCAAGTTCAGGGGTACATGTGTAGCTATTAAAATGGGAAAGGTTCCCTTGTCCCTTTTGCAGGGCATGTGATGGAGGTGTGGCTTGCTTCTTCAGTGCTTCAGTGCCCCGCTGGTCAAACCTCTAGGGGAGCATACAGACAGGCTGTGGGGCTTCAACCCCATGGCAATGTCTAGGGGTGAATGTTTACTACTCTTATCCAACGTTCAGAGTCTTCTGTTAGTAACATTATGCATTTTGACCATGATTATCAGTGTAATCAGTAGATAAGGCAGAATGTGTCTACTCAATCTGAACCAAACTGGAACTCTGCAATTGGGATGTGTGCAACTGTGCACCTTCAAAATGTCCATGTTGAAATTTTAGAGCAACTGATTAATATGACCAAAAGTACTTAAGAGAAAAGTTTCAAAACACTAATTCTAATTATACCAGCTCTTGTTCTTTTTTATGTTCATGCTTAATATTTTCTTTCTTTATTTATTTTATTTTTTATTTTTTTGAGACAGAGTCTTGCTCCACCCAGGCTGGAGTGTAGTGGTGCAATCTCAGCTCACTGCAATCTCTGCCTCCTGGGTTCACACAATTCTCTGCCTCAGCCTCCAGAGTAGCTGGGATTACAGGTGCCTGCCACCAGTCATAGCTAGTTTTTGTATTTTTAGTAAAGATGGGGTTTCGCCATCTTGGCCAAGCTGGTCTTGAACTCTTGACCTCATAATACACCTGCCTTGGCCTCTCAAAGTGCTGGGATTACAGGTGTGAGCCACCATGCCCAGCCATACTTAATATTTTAATTTCAAATTTTATATATGAATGTATGTATGTGTCAGTATATATATTCTATGTACATATTGTGTGTGTGTATATATACACACACACACACACAGAGAGAGAGGGAGGAAGGATATAAAAATTATATCAAAGAAGAATGTAGTGCTATTTAAACCAAAGAACACACGCACAGCTCTTACTATTATAATCATAGAAAAAAATGAACTGACATTAAAGGGCATTTTAAATGTTCATATATTTTGTCTCTTTTACTCAGCTACTAAAATACTCAAAATGTGGTAAGATTCTCTAATGTTTATATAGTAGAGGTTTTTTGTCTTTGTTTAACTAGTTGAGTTGGATTGCTTATCATACAATTGAGAGCTTCGAATATCAGAACAGTTACTTACATGCCAAAATTGCTTATGAATGTTCTGTCATGTCAAAGTTGTTCCATTACCATATAGAAGTAAACTCTGATCTGTATAGATACTACCAGATGGGTGTGGTGGCACATGCCTGTAGTCTCAGTTACATGGGAGGCTGAGGTGGAAGGGTCACCTGAGCCTGGGAGGTTGAGGCTGCAGTGAGCTGCGATCACACCACTGTACTCCAGACTGAATGACAGAGTGAGACCCTGTCTCAAATGAAAAATAAAATGATATTACTAGAATATACTTGTCTAAACTTTTACTTTGAGAAAACAGAAAATCAAACACATTGTTCTCACGGTGTTAACTTTCAAAGAAATGATCTGTAATTTATCTGGTGGAATTCAATGCAGTTATTTTGTTTATAACATTTTTCAAAAGCTGCGGTTTTCCCTGGGTGTGTGTGGGCACAATTCCATTGTGATAACACTCATCTTTTGCAGAGTGCTGAAAGAGTGAGCCAGGACAGCCTTTTGACATTGAACAAGGCAATTCCCAATCTCTTGGTGGGTGAATGGAGGAAGAGTGATATCCTGATTGATGCCTCTACAATTACTTAAAAATATTTGGACACTCTAGAAAATTACTCTTTTTGGACCATCCCCTCAGGTCCCTTAAATATCTGTGTCCCTTTACTGAGCAGCAATTTGGGTCAGAAAAAATGGGCTCTGAGGATGCTCAGAAACAAAAGTGTTTTGGGGAGAAAGATATGGTTCTGAAGGCCTGGAGAGGCAAACCATGTCCAGAAAAGGTCCCAGATGATAGAACTCCCTGAGTATTCTTGCAGAAATGAATATCCACCAGGCTTCTTCTTTTTTTTTTTTTTTTTTTTGAGATGGAGTCTGTCTCTGTCGCCCAGGCTGGCGTGCAATGGCGCGATCTTGGCTCAATGCAAGCTCCGCCTCCCAGGTTCACGCTATTCTCCTGCCTCAGCCTCCCAAGTAGCTGGGACTACAGGTGCCTGCCACCATGCCCGGCTAATTTTTTTTGTATTTTTCGTAGAGACGGGGTTTCACCGTGTTAGCCAGGTTGGTCTCGATCTCCTGACCTCGTGATCCACCCGCCTCGGCCTCCCAAAGTGCTGGGATTACAGGCGTGAGCCACCGTGCCCGGCCCCTTGTTTTTCAATCACAAGATATGAGTCATTGCAGGAAACAAATAAAATGGAACCAACACAGAGAAAGGTAGAGATGGAAGAGGTAAGACTAAATTCTAGAGATGCTGCTTATTCCCTAAGGTCTGTCCTTTAGCATTTTGTAACATGAGTTAAAGTACATTTGAGTTGTGTCTTTGTAATTTGCATCCAACAGAGCCCTGGCTGTGTTCACTGAATGGATCTAGTCTCTGAAAATTCACCGACATTTTTGGCTTGGCGCTGTGGCTCATGCCTGTAATCCCAGCACTTTGGGAGGTTGAGACGGGAAGATTACGAGGTCAAGAGATCAAGACTATCCTGGGCAACATGATGAAACGCTGTCTCTACTAAAAACACAAAAAATTAGCTGGGTGTGGTGGTGCGAGCCTGTAGTCCCAGCTACTCAGGAGGCTTAAGCAGGAGAATTGCTTGAACCCAGGAGGCGGCGGTTGCAGTGAGCCAAGGTGGCGCCACCGCTCTCCAGCCTGGCAACAGAACGTGACTCCGTCTCAAAAAAAGAAAAAAAAAAAATTTCAGGGGTATTTATGTAGTGACCTGTTATTTGATTTTTCAATAACATAAATCTGTTTCAAGAAAAAGAAATTTTAAACAAACTCTTATGATTTTCTTTCTCCTGAAAATTATTCCAGAACTTAAAAAAAAGAAGAAACAAAACAGAGTAAGTACATTAGCTTTATTCAACATACCATCTTGTCTAGTAGTAAACTACTAAAAACAGTCTCCTGAGTGGAAAAAATATAAATTTTTGTCTATTTAACAAGTAATAGCATCAGTGTTGTCCTGCGTGTTCTCATTATTTTCTCCAAATAAATTGGCTCAATATGCTGCTAAGTATTACCATTTATGTTTATTTTGAAGTTCTATATCTTGTCTTTGCTGTTTCATCTGTAAACAGGCAATTATTGCCTCAATGTGTATTCTGATACATTTTCTCTCTAAATCTATTGTCCAACATCTTGCATATAAAATCTGGCTTTTCTCTCATATATCAAAATCACAGGTCACATAGTCTCAGTGCCAAGAGTTACAAGAACAACTGCTTTATTTCACTCCCATCTCTGTGAATACAAAACTTCAATCTCTAAAGTATTTTGTATCTATTTATAACACTATGTTCCTGGCTTATTATTATATTATTTCATTATTAGTTCTTAAAAACTTAAGGTGCTGAATAATTTTGTGAAATATTCCATGGAGAACTACCATTAAAATAGTGATTATTTTAATTATATTTCATCACCTCATTTCACAAGTCATTACAAAACTTCTTAATTGTTTAAAAATGAATGTACTTGGGTGGGGCACAGTGGCTCACACCTGTAGTCCCAGCACTTTGGGAGGCCGAGGAGGCCAGATCACCTGAGGTCAGGAGTTTGAGACCAGCCTGGTCAACATGGTGAAACCCTGCCTCTACTCAAATTACAAAAATTAGCCGGGCATGGTGGCACATGCCTGTAATCCCAGCTACTCAGGAGGCTGAGGTAGGAGAATTGCTTGAACCCAGGAGATGGAGGTTGCAGTTAGCCGAGATCATGCCACTCCAGCCTGGCCGACAGAGCAAGACTCTGTCTAACAAAAAAAAAAAAAAAAAGGAATGTACTTATCAGTCCAAGGGAAATAGCTATCAAATTAGTCACTGCCCAAGTATACGTCTTTTAGTGAACACAAATTGAGAATTTAGCACTGAATCTCCAAAGATTTAGTTTTTATCTAGGTTTTGAAATTGAATTTTGTTTTGTTTTGTTTTTTGTTTTGAGACAGTGTCGCTCTGTCGCCGAGGCTGGAGTGCAGCGGCGCAATCTCGGCTCACTGCAGGCTCCGCCCCCCGGGTTCACGCCATTCTCTCGCCTCAGCCTCCCGAGTAGCTGGGACTACAGGCACCCGGCTAATTTTTTGTATTTTTTATAGAGACGGGGTTCTCACCGTGTTAGCCAGGATGGTCTTGATCTCCTGACCTCGTGATCCGCCTGCCTGGGCCTCCCAAAGTGCTGGGATTACAGGCGTGAGCCACCGCGCCCAGCTTGAAATTGTATTCTTAAATCTCAGAAGGCTGAAGCTTTCAAGACAGGAAGAAGACAGGGATTCCCGAGTTGAACAGAGAGTGGGCCGGGCGCAGTGGCTAACGCCTGTAATCCCAGCATTTTGGGAGGCCGAGGCAGGTGGATTCCGAGGTCAGGAGATCAAGACCATCCTGGCTAACACAGTGAAACCCCATCTCTACTAAAAATACAAAAAATTCACCGGGCGTGGGGGCTCACGTCTGTAATCCCAGCTACTTGGGAGGCTGAGGCAGGAGAATGGCATGAACCCGGGAGGTGGAGGTTGCAGTGAGCCGAGATCAGGCCACTGCCCTCTAGACTGGGCGACAGAGCGAGACTGTGTCTCAAAAAAAAAAAAAAAAAAAAAAAAAAGACCGGACGCAGTGGCTCAGGCCTGTAATCCCAGCACTTTGGGAGGCTGAGGCGGGTGGATCACGAGGTCAAGAGATCGAGACCATCCTGGCCAACATGGTAAAATCCCGTCTCTATTAAAAATATAAAAATTAGCTGGGCGTGGTGGCAGGCACCTGTAGTCCCAGCTACTCCGGAGGCTGAGGCAGGAGAATCGCTTGAACCCGGGAAGTGGAGGTTGCAGTGAGCCGAGATCATGCCATTGCACTCCAGCCTGGGCAACAGAGTGAGAAACCCTCTCGAAAAAGAAAAAACAAAAACAAAACAAAACAAAAAGATAATAAACAAGAAAATACTAATGTAGTTGTTAACTTTCAGAAGGCAGTAATTTAAGACATGGATGTGAATGCAGATAATGGAAGTAAGGAGAGATCAGTGTAGGCCACAGTCCTGTGCTGAGTGCTGTCTTTACCTGTCTTGTAGGGATGGCTCAGACAAAGTCTTAACAAACAGGCAAATGACTGATTTATCTTTTTAGATTCTAAAGTTCATAAGAATAATAATGAGCTTTATAGTTGACAATAGCTAACTAAAATTTGGTCTAAGGGGAAAAGAGCGCTTAATGTTAATCAGTCAGTTTAATCTTTCTGTAAACCCTCTCAAAAAGCAAAATTGAATTAGATCATTGTGGTGCACTGATTCTTTTGGTATGTGTGTCCCACCTATAATAAAGTTCTGGGCCAGGTGCGGTGGCTGACGCCTGTAACCCCAGCACTTTGGGAGGCCGAGGCGGGCGGATCACAAGGTCAGAAGATCGAGACCATCCTGGCTAATGCGGTGAAACCCCGTCTCTACTTAAGAAATACAAAAATTGGCCGGACGTGGTGGCGGGCGTCTGTAGTCCCAGCTACTCAGGAGGCTGAGGCAGGAGAATGGCTGAGCTTTCAGTGAGCCGAGATCACACCACTGCACTCCAGCCTGGGCGACAGAGCCAGACTCTGTCTCAAAAACATAAATAAATAAAATAATAAATAAATAAAGTTATTGGCCAGGAGCGGTGGCTTACACCTGTAATCCCAGCACTTTGGGTGGCCAAGGTGGGTGGATCACCTGAGGTCAGGAGTTCAAGACCAGCCTGGCCAACATGGTAGAACTTCCCTCTCTACTAAAAATACAAAAATTAGCCAGGCATGGTGGCGCAAATCTGTAATCTCAGCTACTCAGGAGGCTGAGACAGGAGACTCGCTTGAATCCAGGAGGCAGAGGTTGCAGTGGGCCGAGACTGCACCACTGCACTCCAGCCTGGGTGACAGAGTGAGATGCTGTCTCAAAAAAAAAAAAAAAAATTTATCTGAAGACTGACCCCACAATGGTGAGCCCTGCCTGCCATGTTTGTGTTATGGAATCATGTCCCATACCTGACCCTATTTATTTAAAGGTAGAACAACTGACCCAACCACATTTTCTCTTTAAAATGTGGGAATTGGGATTGAGAGATACTGGTCTTTCCCTATGGGTCATTTCAACTTAGAATATTTAAGTTTGGGATCGTTGGTGCTTCCATATTTAACCAGCAGCTTAGAAAAGCAGACATAGTCGATCTGTGGAAAGAAAAGCTGAAGTGATGTGGAGAGAGAAGTTGTGAAAAGCGATCAGAGCGCCTGGGAGAGATTTACTTAGGGTAGCTGGAGCTGTTCCTGGAGCTCTTTCCAGACTTTGGTTCTAGCTCTTGAAGCTACCAGGCTTCCAGCCTTTAGAATAATTCCATTTTAACCTCAGAGATTTTGCGCTGGTTCAACACCAAACAAAAGAACACTGAATAAGACAGTAATGTGAGTAGAAAATTCTATGAAATAGAAAAGAAACTTAATGATGCGTCATAGGCCATTGATATTCACTTTCCTCCGTCCCATGTATATAGATCACTTCGCCTCTTCCAAAATTCTTATTTCATAATAAAGATTAACTAGTTATTTAAAAGTTAACCATAGCCTATTTATTGTTTATTAACGAACGTGTTTAAAAGGATCAGGTGCTAAACCTTGGAAGAATATTAAGGCAAGATGTTATGAGATCACAGAAGCTTAGTGCTGAAGGGTCCATGCCTTCACGTGGGTACAGATTCCTCTCTGAGTGCTCATTCACCCATTGTGGTGTGAGCCCTGTGTGAAAACTCTTCAGATGCAGACATGAATAAGACAAGGTGTCTGCTCAAAGTCAACTAGAGGAGACAGTAAGCAAATAATTAGAATGTGGAACATGCCATAATCGAAGTGGATGGGTGTCATGGGAGCACAGATCATGGGGTATCTAACTTTGCTTTGGAGGTTAAAGTATAGCAGTCATGAAGACTTCAAAGGGGAGGTGGATTTTTATTGGAACTGTTGAGAATAAACAAGGATATACATATTTTCAACTATGGCCTGAGCGTATATGAGCTTTAAGAGCTGAACTGTTGGGGGCATTCCAGACCAAGAGGAAGTCGTGGGCAGAGGCAGGAAGGTGAAAGGAGTATGCTGTTTTTGGGAGAAGCATAGTTAGTGCAGAGGGGCTATGACTCAGGGCACACAGGATGGCAGAGTGTGTCTGGGAGATGAAACTGGCTTACAGGCAGGAAGTGAGGAAGAAAGGACTTTCTGAACTTCTTATGGAATTTAGACTTCTATAGATAACAGAGAATCACTGTATGAATACACTGTCATACATTCTTTGAGAGAAAACACATTCATTTTTGAGAATCCTCATTCCTGAATTCTTTTTGTCTGTGGTACAGCTTCCTGCAGCCCCATCCACCAATTACAGACCTATCTTCTTAGTGTGAGTCTAATGTCTCCTCCATGGGAGGGAGCTGTAGAATTTAAAGTTGACCATCCTGCTCATGCCTGAGTTTTCTCTCTCCTGCAACTAACGCCTTCCTCTCTGTCTGAGACCTGGCATGTCAGGGTAGAAGGCCCTTCACCCTCCTTCTCTTGACAAACTCTGATTTATTGACATCTTACTGAATATCCAATGGCTGGAACTGGGATCAAGCTCTTCAGTGTGGTCTGAAGCTGGGGGCAGGAGAGACCTCACTCCCTTCAAATTCACTAAGATATGAGGTGACCTCATCATACCACAGGCTTTTGTCAAGGCCACAGGGACATAAACTCAGGTCACTTTTGTTTCACAGGCATTATTCTAATATTTGTGGGGTTTTTTTTGTTTGTTTGTTTTTTGAGATGGAGTCTCACTCTGTCACCCAGGCTGGAGTGCAGTGGCACAATCTCGGCTCACTGCAGCCCCGCCTCCTGGGTTCAAGCGAATCTTCTCCCTCAGCCTCCCGAGTAGCTGGGAGCACAGGTGCACACCACCACGCCCAGCTAATTTTTGTATTTTTAGTAGAGACAGAGTTTCACCATATTGGCCAGGCAGGCTGGTCTCGAACTGCTGACCTCGTGATCTTCCTACCTCGGCCTCCCAAAGTGCTGAGATTACAGGTGTGAGCCACCACGCCCGGCCTAAATTTGTGTATTTTTAAACTAAAGTGTCAAACTACATTTATCGCCCTCTTCTTAGTTTGGAAAAGTGCTTTGTTTCTGTTAAGACTGTTTTAGGTTTTATCTCTTCACCACACACAGGCTGCTCCTTCCAGTTCAGTATTAGCTGAGGATTTCATTTCAGTCCTCATACAGAGCAGTGATAACAGCTGAATAAACCAGAGCTGAAAGTGGGCCCATGTCCCTCTTTCCTACCTCTCTTTCACACCTGAGTCTGATTGAGTGCAGTATGCAACTTGGATGAGCGTGTGTATGCAAAGTGCACGTCAGCAATGACCATAGCTGGAACAGGATGGAGCTAGCCACCTCTTTATCATCTCCCTGCTCATTCTTTGATGCAGAAAACTAACCTTGTCTCAAGCATGTGTAAATAATTCATGCAAAGTTACAAGACATGGTTCAAGTCATGCCCCCTCCAACCACATCAGCACCATGAGCAGTCCTTGAGGGTCTTCAGATAATAACAACACTAAGAGTTAGCATATGTTGAATGCTGTACTATGTATGTCATTCTAAGGGGAGAAGCTATGTAGAACCAAAAGTAAGCACAGGCAGCTTCAAGCAGCACACAGAAACGCAACACAGGAGGTGGCTTATTTGATTGTCATTGAAGTTGTGAAAAAGTGTTAAAAATAATAAATACAATAGTTTAAAAAAGAAACAAGGAAAGTATTATATACCATAACAAAGTGGGATGCACTCCAGAATGCAAGCCTAGTTCAACAGTCAAAGATCGGTCCATTATACCAATGGGTTAAAGAAGAAAAATCATGTAATCTTATCAATAGATGCATAAAAAGAATTTGACAATATCTAACAATCATTCATGATAAAAACTTTCAGCAGGCTGGGTGTGGTGGCTCATGCCTGTAATCCCAGCACTTTGGGAGGCCAAGGCAGGCAGATCACGAGGCTAGGAAATCGAGACCATCCTGGCTAACACAGTGAAACCTCAACTCTACTAAAAATACAAAAAAAAAAAAAAAAATTAGCCGGGCATGATAGCGCGCACCTATATCCCAGCTACTCAAGAAGCTGAGACAGGAGAATCGCTTGAACCCAGGAAGCGGAGGTTGCAGTGAGCCGAGATCACACCACTGCCCTCCAGCCTGGGGGACAGAGTGAGACTCTGCCTCAAAAAACAAAACAAACAAACAGACAAAACAAAAACTTTCAGCAAACTAGCAATAGAGAGAAACTTCTTCAAATTGATTTTTTAAATCTAAAAAACCCCTCCACTTAACATGATACTCAAGCCTGAAAAGTGAGATACTTTCCCACTAAGAACAGGAACAAAACAAGGATGTCTCCTCTTATCACTCTTATTTAACTTTGTGTGGAAAGTCCTAACTAATGCAATAAGACAGAAAAAAGAAATAAAAGGTATACAGATAAGAAAGGAAGTGATAGCGGAGCGCAGTGGCTAACGCCTGTAATCCCAGCACTTTGGGATATCGAGGGAGGCGGATCACGAGACCAGGAGATCGAGACCATCCTGGCTAACATGGCGAAACCCCGTCTCTACTAAAAATACAAAAAATTAGCCAGGCGTGGTGGCAGGCGCCTGTAGTCCCAGCTACTCGGGAGACTGAGGCAGGAGAGTGGCATGAATCTGGGAGGCAGAGCTTGCAGTGAGCCGAGATCGAGCCACTGCACTCCAGCCTGGGTGACAGAGCGAGACTCTGTCTCAAAAAAAAAAAAAAAAAAAAAAGAAGAAAGGAAGTGATAAAACTGTCTTTGTTCATATATGCCATGAGTGCCTATGTAGAAAATCACAAAGAATAAACAACTCCTAGAATGAATGCTATGTATATAATCTTTTATAAGTGATTACAGCAAGGATGAAGGATACAAAGTTAATTTACAAAAGTCATTTCTTTTTCTATATGCCATCAATGAACAGTTGAAATTTAAAATTAAAAACACAGTGCCATTTACATTAGCACCAAAAATGAAATACTTAGGTATAAGTCTAACAAAATATGTGTAGTATCTATCTGAGGAAAACTATGAAAATCTGATGAACGAAACCACAGAAGATCTAAAAAATCGACTTACTGCATGTTAATGAATAAGAAAATTCAATATTGTTAAGATATCAGTTCTTTCAACTTGATCTACAGATCAGTATTGGGATCAATGCAGTACTTATCAAAATCCAAGCAAGCTACTTTGTAGATATTGACTAGCTGACTCCAAATCTATAGAAAGTCACGAGATGCAGAAAAGCCAACATAATATTAAAGAAGAACAAAATTAGAGAACTAATGCTTAATGACTTCAAAGGGCTTACTGTAAACTTACAGTAATCAAGAGAGTGTTGTATTGGTAAAGAATAGACAAATAGATCAATGGAATAGAACACAGAGTACAGATAGAGACCCTCACAAATATAGTCAATAGATCTTTGACAAATAAGCAAAGGTAATTCAATGGGAAAAAGATATGGTTCTTAACAAATGGTGTTAAAACTACTGGACAACCACATGTAAAAAATGAATCTAGATACTGACCTTATACTTCTCACAAAAATTAACTCAAAATGGATCATAGACTTAAATTTAAAGGCAAAACTATAAAACTTCTAAAAGATAGCAGGAGAAAATACAGGTGACCTTGGGTTTGACTATGAGTTTTTAATTACAACCCTATAGTGTGACCTATAGAAGAAAAACTTGCTAAGTGGGACTTTATTATAATTAAAAAAATAAAAAAAAACTTCTACTGCATGGGTGACACTGTTAAAAGAATTAGAAAACAAGTCACAGGGAGGGAGAACATATCTGATAAAGGGCTAGTATTCAAAATATACAGAGAATACTTGAAACTCTACAATAAGAAAACAAATAATCCAACTTAAAAGTGGGCAAAAGGCCGGGCGTGGTGGCTCACACCTGTAATCCCAGCACTTTGGGAGGCAAAGGTGAGAGGATCACGAGGTCAGGAGTTCAAGACCAGCCTGAACAACACAGTGAAACCTCATCTCTACTGAAAATACAAAAATTAGCTGGGCCTGGTGGCACGTGCCTGTAATCCCAGCTACTGAGGAGGCTGAGGCAGGAGAACTGCTTGAACCTGGGAGGCGGAGGTTGCAGTGAGCCAAGATCGCACCACTGCACTCCAGCCTGTGTGACAGAGCAAGACTGCATCTCAAAAAGAAACAAAAAAAGTAGCTGGAATCATACAGTATGTATGTTGATATTATTTTTCCAGCTATATTATAAACTCCACATGGGCAACGTATATTCCCTACCTTATATAATGTATAATATATACAATATGTACCTGGTATAATGTATAATATGTACATATTTAATAAACACTCATTATTATAAATATTCACAAATATACATAATAAATGTTCTCTAATCAACCACATAGAGTTTTTTTAACACCTTTGAATAATGCAATAGGAACAATCTATTAAAATAAAACAGAAAAATATTCAAATTTAAATGAAACAAAGCAACTGCCAAATTATTAAATCCAAGTTCCTTATTTTAGGCGTCAAATGCAAATATTCTTATAGCTTTTATTGCACATACATGTTGGCGGTCATGGTAAAAGAAGATACAACTCTCAACTTCAATAAAATGTATTTCAATATTCAATAAAATTTCAATATTATAAGAAAACCAAAATGTTGTGTTAGTACCAGGACAGTTGCATTTGTAAGTACTTGTGATTTCTTTTTCTTTCTTTCTTTTTTTTTTTTCTGAGATGGAGTCTTGCCTTGTTGCCCAGGCTGGAGTGCAGTGGCGCCATCTCAGCTCACTGCAAGCTCCGCCTCCCAGGTTCACGCCATTCTCCTGCCACAGTCTCCCGAGTAGCTGGGACTACAGGCGCCCGCCACCATGCCCGGCTAATTTTTTGTATTTTTTTTTTTAGTAGAGACGGGGTTTCACCGTGTTAGCCAAGATGGTCTCGATCTCTTGACCCCACGATCCACCCGCCTCCCAAAGTGCTGGGATTACAGGCGTGAGCCACTGCGCCCGGCCCATACTTGTGATTTCACGTGCACAGTGAGAGTTTGACTCTTTCATCCTCGCCCAAATACTTTTTCATCCCATGACTGTTGGGCTTTTGTTTCCCTTTCTTTCTTTCTTTTTTTAAGATTGCAACTCCATCAATACTGGGATGTCTATTCAAGCTAGCTAAATATGTTGATTAACTTCTCCACTCCCAGCACCTCCTAGAATCCCACTGCAATAACAACAAATAAGAACAAAGGGGCCGGGCGCAGTGGCTCAAGCCTGTAATCCCAGCAGTTTGGGAGGCCGAGGCGAGTGGATCGCTTGAGGCCAGGAGCTCAAGACCAGCCTGGCCAACACGGCAAAACCCCGTCTCTACTGAAAATATAAAAACTAGCCAGGCGTGTTGGTGCGCGCCTGTAATCCCAGCTACTCAGGAAGCTGAGGCAGAAGAGCTTGAACCTGGGAGGCGGAGGTTGCAGTGAGCCCAGATAGCGCCAATGCACACCAGCCTGGGCCACAGAGTGAGACTCTGTCTCAAAAAAATTAAAAGGAACAAAATGAACCCATTTATACAAAGACTACAAGGGTGGAGAGACTTGGATAGCATGCAGGATATTCACAAGCAATTCTGGAAGAAAAATGACAGATGAGTGCATTCTGTTATTAAAATCACAGCTCAGAGTCCTCCCAGGAAATGGCTGCGGTGTGTAGGGAGCTGTCTTTCACAGTGATGAAAAGAACTCTAGGTTCAGAGTGGGCAGGTATCTGGAAGAACATTTTTTCGCCAGCATCCCTTTATTTATTGATACGTCGATGAGAATAGTACCACAGCCCAATGACATTTATCATTTCAGTTGGCAGTGTCTCTGAGAGCAAGCTGCAAGATTTCCAAGCCTTCACTGAGTCTTCTACTGACATTTAGCTTAATCTTGACAAGTATATCTGACTACTGCAATGTGTTAATGATCAAGGAGTATGTCAAATTATAACATGTCTGCTGCAGGAAATTATGGGGTAATACAGACAGTGTGCACTGGATCAACCATTATCTATGCCTGGTGTTATGACAAAAAGTGATTGATTTTGGCATCAAAATTAAAGTGTTCGTCTGGTTCAACTTGTTCTTTGTACACCGTCCTTCATTATGACAAGCACATATAGCAAAAATACTGTCTTCAATATGAACTGTTGATTATTGATTAAACAGATCACATTTGGATGGGCTGCAGTTTCTGCATGTCTAACGGGTGGGATCCTTCTGAGAATGCTAGAATAGGGAATCATGACACCGAGCCACTTCAGTCATAGACCTTATTCTTGCACTTTTTTTTCTTGCTGGCAATTTTACATAGCAGGTTGAGAAAGCTACTCTATGCTAGTATAGACTATACACCAATAATTTTGATAATGAGTTCCAGGATGTATTTTTCTTCTTATATATTTTCCTTCCTACCATGATACTAGTAATTTATAAGGGGTCTGTGTAGTTTGAATGTATTTGAATAACTTTAGCTCTACTGTTTGATTTGAACCAAAGAAGCGAAGAGGACGTAAATATTCCCATTTAGAAGCCCAAAGTCAGTGAGATGAAACCCAACATCAAGAAATTGAAGCAAAGTTACTTGTGGATAAAGAAAGCATTAGGTAAGTTGTCTAGAGCATAATAATTAGATTTTCTGGCTTTCAAAAATTTGGATTGCAATAAGAGGAAACTTCATGCTATTTTTACAATTTTCAGTACAAAGGGGTGTATATCTAGAAACAATAAAGTTGACATATTTGAGTACCTTTTCAAAAAAAGGTAACCATAACCTATTTTTTTTTTTTTTATTAAAAGGACCAGGTGCTAAACCTTGGAAGAATATTGAGGCAAGAGTATTAAGGCATTTTAATTCAGCTTAAGTATCATGTTAAGTCGTGGAATTCAGATGTAATAGAATGCATAAAAGTGTTAATCACCAGTGCTTAAGATGGCCCACAGAGGTTGTTCTACCAGGCATATAGAAATCTTTCTCACTATGCCTGTTTGTGAGCAGGATCAGTGGTTTTGCACTGCAGGCACACATTTCATTTTGTCAAATATTTTTGCAACCTCCCCTCTACTTAATAGTTTAATCACTACATCTATACAAACTACTTGGTCAATGAGGGCCCATTTTACTTGTGTCTTCCAGAAATATTTTGCATTACCCCAAATGACATCTTCCAGCAGATCTTCCTCAGATATAAAGTTTCCAAAAAACTGGCAAATAAAATTACTATCTTCAGAACTTTTCTGTATTTAAAAATAACAATAAAAAGCTATGAATTTACATAAAATTCAAACCATTGTGTTTATAGCCACAGTCCTCCACACAATTTTCATGACACCATTGGTAAAATCATGTATAAGCAACATTCCTTTATTCCTAGAAAGTGTTTATATTTCAAAAGCACTTTATTTTTCTTCAGATATTCCCCTGAAGAAATTTGGAAAGAAATTGAAATTGCCTGTGGTTGTAGCCAATTCACCTGTAAAGAATATAAAATTCTCCCCATGAACTGGTCATCCCAGTGTCACACTTACAAGTCTGAGAAAAGTGCAAGAGGTTATTGGGAAGTATTCCTTCCTTTTTCAATTTTCTCTTTAATTGGAATAATTGGTAAGAACTAGCAGAATTGGTATCATATTTTTCTTAAATGTTTGGTAGAATTCTTCACTGAAGCCATTTAGACCTAGCATTGGAGTCTTTGTGGAAAGGTTTTAAATTACAGCTTCAATTTCTTTAATAGATACCGGGCTATTCTGTCTATTTGTTTTTGAGTAAGACTAGATAATTGTGTCTTTGGAGAAATTTGTCCACTTCATCTAAGTTGTCAAATCTGTTGGCACAATGTTGTTCATAATTACCATTTATTATCTCTTTAGCATCTGTTGAATCTGTTGTTATGTTACTTCTCTTATTCCTGATAGGTTGTTTTTGTATTCTCTCTTTTTTTCCTGATAAGCCTGAATAGAAGTTTATCAATACTATGGACCTTCTCAAAGAGACAGAGTTTGGTTTCATTTATTTCCTGTAAATGATTTTTCCTGTTTTCTATTGCATTGATTTCTACACTGATGCTTTTTACTTCCTTTCTTCTGCTTACTGTTGGTTTTATTTTCTTTTCTAGTTTCTTTTTTTTTTTTTTTTTTTTTTTTTGAGATGGAGTTTTGCTCTTGTAACCCAGGCTGGAGTGCAATGGCAGGATCTCGGCTCACCGCAACCTCCCCCTCCTGGGTTCAAGCGATTTTCCTGCCTCAGCCTCCCGAGTAGCTGGGATTACAGGCATGCATCACCACACCCGGCTAATTTTGTATTTTTAGTAGAGACTGGGTTTCTCCATGTTGGTCAGGCTGGTTGAACTTCTGACCTGAGGTGATCTGCCCGCCTCAGCCTCCCAAAGTGTTGGGATTACAGGCATGAGCCACCATGCCCAGCCTCATACCTGATTTTATTGTCCTTTGCTTTACTGCACTTCTCAGATACTGCATTTTTTATAAATTGAAGGCATGTGGCAACCCTGCATTGAGCAAGTCTATCAGCACCATTTTCTCCAATAGCATGTGCTCACTTTGTGTCACTGTATCACATCTGGTAACTCTTGCAATATTTTAAATTTGTATTATTATGTGTTATGTGATCTGTGATCAGTAATCTTTGATGTTACTATTGTAATTGTTTTGGGGTGCCACGACTGTGCCAATATAAGATGACAAACTTGCCAGTAAATATGTGTATTCTGACTGCTCCACCAACCATCCCCCATCTCTTTTTTCCTCTCTTCAGGCCTCTGTATTCCCTGAAACAGAACAGTATTGAAATTAGGCCAATTAACAATCCTACAATTGCCTCTAAGTGTTCAAATGAAAGGACGAATCACGTATTTCTCACTTTAAGTCAAAAGCTAGAAATGATTGAGCTGAGTGAGGAAGGCATCCTGGAAACCAAGATAGACGCGAAGCTAGGCCTCTTTCACCAAACAGTTGGCCAAGCTGTGCATGCAAAGAGAATGTTCCTGGAGGAAATTAAAAGTGCTACTCCAGTAAACACACAAGTGATGAGAAAGTGAAACAGACTTATTGCTGATATGGAGAAAGTTTGAGTGCTCTGGACAGAAAATCAAACCAGCCACAACATTCCCTTAAACCAAAGCCTAATCCAGAGGAAGGCCCTAACTCTCTTCAGTTCTATGAAGGCTGAGAGAGGTGAGGAAGCTGAAGAAGAAAAGTTGGAAGGTAGTAGAGGTTGGTTCGTGAGGTTTAAGGAAAGAAGCCATCTCCGTAAATTAGCTTTTAAAACTTTTTTAAGCAGGCAATCTCTGACTTTGCTTCAGTAACATTTCCTTCTCCTGCTCTTTCTCATTTTCCCATTGCTCATGCTTATACCTGCCCATCTTTCTCTAGTATTAAAGTTTGGATAAATGTTTGATCTTTGAATAATATTTTATATTGTTATATGCCTCTGATTTTATCCTCTGGACAAACTTGAGAGACAGTGCAAAAATTTCTTTATATCTTTATAATATAAAGAATTATGGCAAATTTTAAAAGAAGTACCAGCCTTATTGAGGTATAATTTACGTATAATAAACTGCACCCTCTCCACCCCCTCCCCTCACTGTCTACCAAAAAATGTCTGATGATATCCTGGCAATCTGACCCTGCCTGGAAAACACCATAGAGAAAGACAGCAATGTGCTTCCTCACTCTGGAGTTCTATTGGATTTTAATGGCCATAGATGTATTATGAGCCACACAAACCAGCACTAAAGTAGAGAATTTTTTCCAGAAAAGGTGTGCTAAAAAAGCATGTAAACGAAAGCTTTTATTTGTTTTATTTTCAGCAACCAAGACATAAAATTATTAGGTAGGCCATGATACACAAACACTAACCACTGTACCATCCTTTGATGTTCATTGCAATGGATTCAATGTTTGTGCCCCCCACAAAAATTCATATGTTGAAATCCTAGCCCCCAAAGTGATGAGATTAGAAGGGAGGATTGCTGAGAAGTGATTCAGTCACGATGGGCCCTCGGAAATGGGATTAGTGCTCTTATCAAAGAGACTAGGAGCACTGGCTTGCCCCTATCACCACATGAGGACACAGCAAGAAAGCACCCATTTATGAACCAGAAAGCAGGCCTTCACCAGACACTGAATCTTCCAATGCCGTGATCTTGGACTTCCCAGCCTCCAGAACGATAAGAAACACATTTCTGTGGTTTATAAGTCACCCGGTCTATGGTATTTTGTTGTAGCATCCCAAATGGACGAAGACATAGTTCACTGTCAGTTCAATTGACCATGAAGGATTATGGGGCCTGCGTGTCCCTGGCACTGTGATAGGAACTGAGGAGAACACAGATGGAAATTAATAATACTTCAGCCTGTATTTTAATAACGTAGAGTTTAGTAGAAATAAACTGAAAGGCATAGCAGGGTGAAAAAAAAGTGTAAGTAATGTACTAATATTTGTTGAGCCCCACCATATGCTAGACTCTATTGTCTTACTTATACCTCTCAGCAAACCTATAAGTTAGGTCCTATTAGCTAATTTATAGATGGCAAAATAGGCTCAGTGAGGTCAAGTAACTTGCCCTATGTTATAGAGTTATCAGTGGGAAAGTTGAAAGTGGTCAAGGGCTATTTATAGTCAGGAGAAATTAAGCGAGTTTAGAGTCATTCCTTTTCTGTAGCATTACATTAGTCCTGAAATAAAGCAAAATGTATCAAATTCATATACCATATATAAATATATATATATTTTTTATTATTATTTTAAGACAGAGTTTCAGTCTTGTTGCCCAGGCTGGAGTGCAATGGTATGATCTTGGCTCACTGCAACCTCCGCCTCCTGGGTTCAAGTGATTCTCCTGCCTCAGCTTCCCAAGTAGCTGGGATTATAGGCATGGACCAACACATCCGGCTAATTTTGTATTTTTAGTAGAGACATGTTGGTCAGGCTGGTCTCGAACTCCTGACCTCAGGTGATTCACCTGCCTCGGCCTCCCAAAGTACTGGGATTACAGGCATGAGCCACTGCGCCTGATCCTGTATTTTAGATAAGAAAGATGCTTTATCTGTCTCCCATTGGAATACACTTTTGTTGTTCGTTTTTTTTTAACTTAATTAAACTTGAAAGCCAACTTTTGTCAAAACAGAAGAAAATAAAGCAATTTTTTAAAAAATCCAGTATTTAAAATACTTATCATTTATAATATATGCATATAACAGAAAAGTAGAAAATAATTCTGCATTTTAAAAGCTTAGCTTCTACATGGCAAGTGTGGGACATAAAGTTGATACTTGACTACTAACTGGATATATTCTAGATTTTCACATTTAATGATAATGGATGTGTGCGTCTCATGGTCAAACTAAAATGATTTATTTTTTACAAATTATCTTTATCATTAGCAAACAAGTCTTACTTTTATTAGTCAATTATAAGTCCACAGAGCTATAGGAGCTCAATTTGTTACAGGGAACTTGAGCATTCCATGGATTATCTGAGCTGAATTTGAAGAATGTACTGTGGAGATCTTCTATGTGACATATATAAAGGATGTAGGTCAACTACTGGTTATTATTTAGAAAATACTTTAGGGAAAAAAATTATCTTCTGGGGCCAATAATTGAGTTCTATTAAACTACAGAGGTAGATAATTTTGAAATGAGAAATCAAAATATATTTTGATTTTATATTACTCATATTTTCATTTTATTCATAAAGTCTTTTGGAAAAAGACAACAGAAATTGTACTTTGTTGAGAAGACTCCTAGAGCCAAATAGTCACAGACTCAGAACACACAGAGACAAGCAAAGATGGTTCCAGCAAGCTCTAAGGACACAGACATGTGAAAGAGGCGCTGAAGACACACGAGGACTGATGCATGGTAGATGTCATTCTGATATGGCTGGGCTTCTGGACTCACTGCCTCCTCCTTCTAGAACCCAGCACCTCCAAGGCTGGGAGAAGAGAAGTTTGGGGTCTATGGGAAATGACCTCTGGAAGTGGCTGTGACTGTTTCCAAAGACAAATACAATCTAGATTCTCAAAACAATGCAAATGAACAAAAAATGTGAGTTT
Source organism: Homo sapiens (assembly GCF_000001405.40). Taxonomy (NCBI): domain Eukaryota; kingdom Metazoa; phylum Chordata; class Mammalia; order Primates; family Hominidae; genus Homo; species Homo sapiens. Next base: position 42,208,026 of record NC_000009.12, on the reverse strand, counting down.
AGCAGTTAGTGAAACATTAAGATGAGATACAGGAGTAAACACATTTTTTTCCATAAAAGTAGTGGATGTTAAATAATGAAATACAGTGGTAAAACAATTACAGCCTGGAGGCTTTAAGATGTAAATCAAAAATGGAGACCAGTGGTGTTAATATCATATGAGAGGATTAAATATGAGCTGCTGGTCCAACTGTGTTCTGCAGGAATTCAGGCAGATGGATGAGAGACAGGCTATGAGTAAAGCATTACCACAGCTGGGGGTGTGGTGTATGGAAGCTCATCCTAGCTAGCACTTGGAGAAGAACTCACACATTGCAAACATATCCGGTTAAAAACTGGCATTTGCTGCAACTAAAAAAGGCAAGTGATGGTCTAGGTGAACTGCCTTTTCTTTCTCTCCTTCCAAAGGACAAAATTATTATTATTATTTTTTTTGAGATGGAGTCTTGCTCTGTCACCCAGACTGGAGTGTAGTGGTGTGATCTCAGCTCACTGCAAGCTCTGCCTCCCAGGTTCACACCATTCTCCTGCCTCAGCCTCCCAAGTAGCTGGGACTACAGGTGCCCACCACCACGCCTGGCTAATTTTTAGTATTTTTTAGTAGAGACGGGGTTTCGCCATGTTAGCCAGGATGGTCTCAATCTCCTGACTTCGTGATGTGCCCGCCTTGGCCTCCCAAAGTGCTGGGATTACAGGTGTGAGCCACCGCACCCGGCCCCACAAAATTAAATTCTTAATTAAGGAAACTGTTTCTTTTACATCTATTTTTTCATCCCAAACTCAAATGCCAAATATTTAGCTATTATACATGTATTCATTTTCTTAGAATACACTCTATCCAGCTTGACATTTCTTTTAAATTTTCCCATTACATAATTAGATTCTTGATCCTCATGTATGTGATGTTTCCATCATGTGCTGGGTTTTATGCTCCAAATACATGTCCTTTCATACTTTAATGGACACAAATGTGCTTTATAAATATTTTAAAATCCATTTTAAGGTAATTTATTGAGTGAAAATTCTGTGTTTGGTATTTTACTGGGGTCAGTGGTGGGGTAGGAGAAGGAAAGGACATGGCTTTTGCCCTCTAAGGAAGTTGCAGGGAAACTGTCTCTGATTTCATTATCAAAGCGAGGCCCCTTTCTATTTCTCCATTTCAATACCTTTTCTACTGACTTCAGATCTATCAGATGTTATAATTATTTCCCACTTGTGTTTGTGTAACTGTGTTCTGACTATCCACACATTAGGTGTGGGCTCTGTGAAAGCAGGGACCATATTGATCCTGTTCAATGTCATACCATATCCCTAGCATAGAACTAGTAGAGGCATAACAAAGATCTGTGAAAAAGTAAATGCATGCATAACTCAGTTGGTCAATTAATGTACATCACTTGGCAGAAGAATAAAAGGATCACGAGAGCAGATGAAAGAAGACTTTATATTTTGCAGAAGAAAATTTTCTGTGTCTTCAAATGATCACAAATCAAATTAATAAAGTTGATGAGGCTTTCTTCAAAATGGTGCTTGTAGAAAAAGTGAGAGAAAGGTAAAACAAGAGGAATAATATGGATATTTAGCATTCTGGATGTTTGCTAAGTGACAATTTAACCACAAGAATACACTTCACAGGCCGGGAGCGGTGGCTCACACCTGTAATCCCAGCACTTTGGGAAGCTGAGGCAGGTGATCACGAGGTCAGGAGATCAAGACCATCCTGGCTAACATGGTGAAACCCCATCTCTACTAAAAATACAGAAACAAAATTAGCTGGGCGTGATGGTGGGCGCCTGTAGTCCCAGCTACTCAGGAGGCTGAGGCAGGAGAATGGCGTGAACCTGGGAGCTTGCAGTGAGCTGAGATCACGCCACTGCACTCCAGCCTGGGCGACAGAGCGAGACTCCGTCTCAAAAAAAAAAAAAAAGAGTACATTTCACTCCATTGTCAAGAGAGAGAGATATATATATATATATAAAATACATATTAAATTATGTGTGTGTATATGTATATCTTTTAAGACCAATTTTATTGAGATATAATTTATAGACAGTTAAAGTCACTAATGTTGTGTATAATACAATTAGAATTTTGACAAATGTGTACATACAGTTGTATAATTGGTGCCAAAATCAAGATATAAAATATTTCCATTACCCATAAAAAGTTTCCTCAGTCCCTTTTGTGGCCAATGAATCCCCATCTTCCTGCAACCAATGGTTTTCTTTCAGAGACTATAGTTTTTTGTTTTCAAACTTTCTGTGAATAGAATATTACACTGTGTATTTGATAATTGTTTTCTTTCAATCAGCATGGTGTTTTTAAATTCATCTATGTTATGTATATTACTACTTCATCCTCTATTTTTGCTTAACAGTATTCCTTTTCTAGCTAGAAAGTAGTATCAAGATACTAAAATATATTTGTTCATCACTTGTTGATAGGCAACTATAAATAAATTTATTGCCATAAGCATGTGTATACAAGCTTTCTGTGAGCATATGTTTTCATTTTTCCTGTATAAATTTCTACAAGTGAGATTTTGGGGTCATATGGTAAATCAGTACCAAAGTATTTTCCAAAGTAATGTATTATTTTTCATTTTCATCAGCAATATGTGGGAGTTCTAGTTGTTCTACATCTTTACCAATATTTGGAATCATCAATCTTCTTAATTTTAGTCATTCTTTTTTTTTTTTTTTTTTTTTTTTTTTTTGAGATAGAGTCTCGCTTTGTCTCCCAGGCTGGAGTGCAATGGCACAATCTTGGCTCATTGCAACCTCTGCCTCTCAGGTTCAAGTGATTCTTCTGCCTCAGCCTCCCAAGTAGCTGGGATTACAGGTGCCTGCCACCATGCCTGGCTAATTTTTGTATTTTTAGTAGAGACAGGGTTTCACCATATTGGCCAGGCTGGTCTTGAACTCCTGACCTCATGATCCACCCTCCTTGGCCTTCCAAATTGCTGGGATTACAGGCATGAGCCACTGCGCCCGGCCTTGATGACGTCTCTCTTTCACTTTTGTTCCTGACAGTCCAGACTGCACAATTTCGGATGTGGGAGACTGGGTGATTTCTTTGATCTTCCCAACCAAATATGACTTACTTAAGGATTTTACCTGTAAAATACATTATTAAAGGTTAAGAGAAGGGTGACAATGGTGGCCTCCTTAGCTTAACTGAATGGTTATGGTTTTTAGTTGTAGTTGCAATCTTATGCTTGTGTGGTTCTTTGATTAGTGTTTACTTTCTCTATCCTACACTATTAGCTTCATGAGAATAGGAAAATTATTCCTCTTTGAACTCACCATTGTATTCCCAATTCTAGCACAGTGCCTGGGATTTCCTCTGTATGTGTTTTTGAAATGCACCCAATAGATCCACAGACAGATTTTAAAAATATAAACATAGAAACAAATCCTTCTGGTCTTGAAGCTTGAAACTTACATTTGTTTTCTCTGAGTTTCTTCCTCAGGAAATGGACTCTCAGCTCTCTCAAAAAGTATCAAAGAAGTGAAATTCATCAGACCACTGTGTCGAGACAATGAGATGCCAGATGCCAGATTCCTTATTTGTCATGATTGCTTCCTTAGCCCTCCCTAGTTCCTGTTTTCCTGCTCATAGTTACATTTCTTCCTTGCTATATAATCCCCTAATTTCGGCTGGTTGAGGAGATGGAATTGAGACTGATATCCCATATCCTTAGCTGTAGCATGCAATTAAAGCCTTCTTCCTTGGCAATATTCATTGTCTAAGTGATTGGCTTTCTGTGTGCAAGTAACAGAACCTAGATTGAACTCCTGGTATTTCAGTAACATTTTGTGTGTAAGAAAGAGGGTGGAGGAAGGAGAGTAGGGGAAATAGGAAGAGTGTCTTAATATTTTTGTTGCTATAACAGAATACCACAGACTGAGTGATTTATAAAGAAAATAAATGTATTTAGCTCTGAGGCCTAGGAATGCCAAGAGCATGATGCTGGCCTCTGGAGAAGGCCTTCTTGCTGCCTAACAACATGGCAGGGGGCATCACATAGTGAGAGAGCAAGAGCAAAAGGGCTTATGATAAGGAACCCACTACTATGCTAGTGACATTAATCCATTCATGAGGGCAGGACTGACATAAATCTATTCATGAGAGAAGAGGGATTAAGTTTCCAATCTACGAACTTTTGGAGGATACATTCAAACCATAGCAGAAAGACAGACAGAGATAGATATGTAAAGAGGGAACAAGCACACATCACACATACAAAAACTGGACAATATTTTTATAAATGAAATGCCTAGAGCCTCTCTCGTATATTGTATTTGTTGTTATTTTCTCAATTTAAACTTATCACTCCATAATTTCTCTTTTTCTTCCAAATGAAAATTTCTTCTCATTTCTCCAAAATGATGTACATGTTTCTTCCTTATAGCCATAAAACACAGTAATTGTTTCCTGGAAAATTTTAAATGTCTCACTACAATTCAAGTATCATACTTACTATATGTTTTTTATCTTCTGTGTATTTTGAAAATGTAAGAGCATTATTGTCTTATACAAAATAGGTGCTAGCAGAGTGAAGAGACAACCAAAAATAACTCAATAAGAAATGGACAAATGATCCAAATAGACATTTTTCAAAAGAAGACATACAGGCCAACAGGCATATAAAAAATGCTCAATATTACTAATCATTAGAGAAAGGCAAATTAAAAACACTTTGAGATATCACCCCATACGTGTTAGGATGGTTATTATAAAACGACAAAATATAACAAGTGTTGGAGAAGATTTGAAGGAAAGGCATCATGGAAAATAGCATGGAGGTTCCTTCAAAAATTAAAAATGAACTACCATATGAACCAGCAATCCCACTACTGGGTATATATCCAAAGGAAATGAAATCCGTATGTCGAAGAGATATCTGCAACACCATATACATTAAATCTTATTTATATATTAGCCCAAGATGTGGAAACAATGTAAGTGTCCATCAATGGATGAATGAATTTTAAAAAGTAGTATATATACACAATGAAATACTATTCAGCCATAAAAAATAATGAAATCTTGTTATTTGTGACAACATGGATGAACCTGGAGGACATTATGTTAAATGAAACAAGCCAGGCACAGAAAGACCATATGATTTCACTTTTATGTCGAATCTGAAAAAGCTAAACTCATAGAAGTAGAGAGTAGACTGGTGGTTACCAGGAGCTGGACTTGGGGTGGGGAGTGGGGATGTTTATCAAAGGATTCAAAATTTCATTTAGGAGAGGGGAAATATTCAAGAAGAGATCTACCGCACAACATGGTCACTATAGTTAATAACAACATATTGTATTTTTGAAAAAAAATGCAAAGAAACAAAGTAAGTATTAAATAAAAACTGGTTCTTTGAAGCTTTGGCACTGTAATATATGAAGGCCAGAAGCCACATTTATATAGTTCCGTTTCTTGAGCATCCAAGACAATGGATGAGATGACAGTGTTGAGGAAGACAGGTCACCCACTGTGAACACTAGATTCAGCTTCTCCCCCTGCTGTTTGACTCATTCTGCAGAAGGTGAGAATTTATCTGAAGGAGTTTACATATTTTTATGTGACAATGTATTCCTGAGAAGATACCAAATTCTTTCTTCTACATCAAAAATACAGCATGAAACTGACAAGAGAGCATATAAATGATGATTTTTTTTAAGTTTCCAGGAATATCACATGTATCATATTACTGAAAAGAAAAAGAGCATTTTATGCCGTGAAAAACTTTGGATATCCTTGAATAATGTTGACTAAAAACAGTGAGTTTATTTAGTATTCATCGTGTCTATATTTGGAGTGTATATTTTTAGTATTTGTCATCTTGCTTATCAAACTCCTGAATCTCACTTAAAAAGTATTTTCCAAAGTTTTTGAAATTTCTCCAACAAAAGAAGAAAAAACAAAAAAGCAAGTATTGGAAGTCAAATAGGTTTGAGAAATATTATGACACATGTCCTTCTTGCACATCATAAAGCCTCTAACACTTTTCATAGTAAACCAATAAATGAAACTCAGACTTCTTGCTTTGCTTAATCAAAAAATTAAAGTTTTCCAAACTTCTTTGACTACAGAATCTTTTGACAACACAATATTGATCATTGCACACTTTGAGAGATATTACTCTACAAAAGTCACTGCACAGCACCACTAAAATATGGTGACCGATAAAACGGACAAAGGTCATTCAGTGAAAGTTTCAAAGCAAAGAGAATGAATGAATATATATATATATGGATGTTTACTTTTTGGATTACAGTTTTCAGATTATGTTTGTTTTAAATAAGCCAGTCTGCTTTCATAATAATTATATTTTAAGCCATTTTCTGATGAGACATTTGTCATCATGAGAACAATGTAGTAAAAGTTTGTTACACTGGGGATTAAGATATTAGAGTTTCCATTCAAGATTCCCTAATACTGGAAGAGGTTCACTTAAATTCCATGATTCTATGAGAGGAGTCAAATCTGAGGTGCAGGCTCTGCACCTTCCCAGGCCTGCAGGGGCTTTGCACCTTCTTGCGGAACAGTTGCCAGCTGTTATCGCTTCACACTTAGGTCACTGCCTTCACTCAAGTCTTTTTTTTTTTTTTTTTTTTTTAGGCAGAATTTCGCTCTTGTTGTCCAGGCTTGAGTGCAGTGGTGCAGTCTCGGCTCACTGCAACCTTCACTTCCCGGGTTCAAGCAATTCTCCCATCTCAGCCACCTGAGTAGCTGGGATTACAGGCACCCGCCACCAAGCCCAGCTCATTCTTTTTGTATTTTTAGTAGAGATGGGGTTTCATCATGTTGGCCAGGCTGGTCTTGAACTCCTGACCTTGGGTTATGCACCCACCTTGGCCTCCTAAAGTGTAGGGATTACAGGCGTGAGCCACCATGCCCGGCCCCAAGTCAAGTCTTTTTCACAGCCTTGGTTCACCATAAAACTAAGGTGGACAATTGTCATGGACAGAATTGTGTTGCCTCAAATTTATGTTGAAGTCCTCACCTCTAGTACCTCAGAATGGGGCTGTATTTGGAAAGAGGACCTATAAAGAGGTAATTGAGGTAAAATTAGGTTATATGGGTGGGCCCTAATCAGTAAGACTGATTTCCTTGTAAGACAAGGAGATGTGGACAGAGACCACACACAGACCACGGGACAATCATGTGAGGACACAGTAAGAAGGTGGCCATTGGCAAGGGAAGGAGAGAGGCCTCAGAAGAGACCAAATGTGCTGATTCCTTGATCTTGGACTTCCAGTCTCCAAAACTGTGAGAAAAGAAATTTTTTATGGCTGCATAGTATTCCATGGTGTATATGTGCCACATTTTCTTAAAAATGATGAGTTCATGTCCTTTGTAGGGACATGGATGAAATTGGAAATCATCATTCTCAGTAAACTATCGCAAGAACAAAAAACCAAACACCTCATATTCTCACTCATAGGTGGGAATTGAACAATGAGAACACATGGACACAGGAAGGGGAACATCACACTCTGGGGACTGTTGTGGGGTGGGGGGAGGGGGGAGGGATAGCATTGGGAGATATACCTAATGCTAGATGACGAGTTAGTGGGTGCAGCACACCAGCATGGCACAGGTATACATATGTAACTAACCTGCACATTGTGCACATGTACCCTAAAACTTAAAGTATAATAATAATAAATAAAGAAAGAAAGAAAGAAAAAAAGAAATTTATGTTACTTAAGCCACTCAGTCTGTGGTATTTTGTTATGGCAGCCCTAGTAAACTAATACAAATATTTTTAGGGACAACAAACCATGGACTTTGTTATTCTAGTAAGATGACTTTAGCACTATTACCTACTTCTACCTTGAAGTGGTAAAAAAAGGCAGTGAGAAGCATTTCCATGGAATGTATAAATCGTGTCCCGTGAAACAGAATTAGCTAATAAGGTTAACACCTGTCAGCTGTATATGATGCTGCGTCTCCAATCTCCATCCGGACAGCAAAGGGGAAGGCATGGACAGGAGACCTGCCTTCAGAAGAGCACCTGACAAAGGGGCCCACAGCCTGGGGACGGTGACGGCAGTAGCCCCCCGAGGCCTGGGATCCCACAGCACAATTGTGAAGGGAAAGTCTTACTTGCTGGGCCCAGATGTGTAATTTTCTCCCACCACTGGTTTTTTGTGAAAAATTCTTCTGAATACGTAATTTTGCCCCTAAATAAACATGGTGTTGGACATTTTTCTGACTAGGAAGTTAGGATATTTGCTTTTCTAGCATCTTTATTAGATGACTTTTTATGTTTGCAAAGTCACTCAGAAAAAACTTCATCCTCCCAACACCTCCCTGGACCACAGTCCCCACAAATGACATTGAACTCACAACATAAAGGAACTCACCACTAGGTAAATAGGTGCTTGACTGTGATTTAACACCTGAATTACTAAAATTGATTGCAATAATTATCCAAAGAAAAACAGCCAAGTGCAACAGTAACGACAGCCTCTGAACTCTCTCCACATCTTCTTGTGGACAGCCTTTGAGCTCTCTCCATGTCTTCTCTGGGACAGCCTCTGAACTCTCTGCACGTCTTCTTGCAGACAGCCTCTGAGCTGTTTCCATGTCTTCTCCGGGACAGTCTCTGAGTCTCTGAGCTCTTTCCACGTCTTCTCCAGGACAGCCTCTGAACTCTCTCCACGTCTTCTCTGGGACAGCCTCTGAGCTCTCTCTTGTTTGGGACATCCTCTGAGCTCTCCACGTCTTCTCTGGGACAGCCTCTGAGCTCTTTCCACGTCTTCTCCGGGACAGCCTCTGAACTGTCTCCACGTCTCCTCCAGGACAGCCTCTGAGCTCCCTCCACATCTTCTCTGGGTCTCCTGTGGAGTCTGATCACCTTTCAGTTAAGGCATCTCCTGTGAGCAACCCAGTTGGCTACTCTGAGTTCTGGGGGTAGCTGTCCTTGGTTTCTCTGAATTGCCCAGAAACCAACCTTTCTGTTGCCCATCGTAGTGCCTACGTGGCTTAGCTGGAGCCCTACCCTGCTTTTGTTGCCCAACCAATGCCTATGTGACAGGGCTAAATTCCCATTCAGCTTTAACTGCTTAGTTTTAGAAAACAGGATGTCTGGGGTCAGAAGTTCCTTCTTAGGACTAAACTGGCTGAAGCTGGCAAAATCCGCAATGGCAGCTTGACCTCTGAAAAACCTCTAGCTTCATTATGATCCAATTTCCATGCTAAATGACACTCCCACTGGCACCTTGACAGTTGACAATCACCATGACAATGGCCAGAAGAGACCAAAAACAGGCAGAAAAGAGGTGGCTCTTTGATTCCAAAAAAACCTACCTCCCTTCCCAAGAAAAGCTATGAATATTTCTCCCTTTCCTCTGTATACCCAGCCCCTTCATTAAGAATCCTCAGTTCTCAGGCTCTGAGAAGTTGATTTGCAGGCTATGCTCCCACTTCTGCAATTCCATGGCCATTGAAAAAAGCCCACACTGTTTGATACTCACTCTCGGTTTGGTGTATTGGCTTCACACCAAACAAGAAAGAGCTCCTTTAGGGGTAGTCAGGACCCTGATTATATTCCCACATAGAAACTGTTCCCACTCACTACTGGCACAGCAGAACACATAAACTGTCAGATGGCTCCATTTCAATGATTTGACTTGTAATTCTCAATTGTTTCTGTTCCTAAGATTTTAGGACTTTCTATCAACTCATAAAAAAAATTTTAAAAAGGTAAGGCAACCTTCAAATCTAAGATGCTCAGCTTTAAACTAGTAAGTTCTTAAGGATGTTTTTTTTCCTCCAAGGAAACAATTCTCCTCTTTGCTGAGCAATAATACAGGTTTTAATATTAAATAAGTACACAAAGTAAAAGAAACAGACAAAAATGTCTTCATAGCAAGGCTGTTAACAGATTTCTTTCTTTTTTTTTATTTTTGAGATGGGGTCTCACTCTGTTGCCCAGGCGGGAGTGCAGTGGCACAATCTCAGCTCACTGCAACCTCTGCCTCCTCAGTTCAAGTGATTCTCCTGCCCCAGCCTCCCAAGTTGCTGGGATCACAGGTGCCTGCCATCACGCCCGGCTAATTTTTTTGTATTTTTAGTAGAGACGGGGTTTTGCCATGTTGGCCAGGCTGGTCTCAAACTGCTGACCTCAGGTGATCCACCCACCTTGGCCTCCCAAAGTGCTGGGATTACAGGCATGAGCCACCGTGCCTGGCCAGATTTCTAATATATGTAAAGAAAAAAGAAAAATTTTCAAATACTTGTTTAGATAAGTACTGATATTTAAAAAAACAACCAAGCCTAAATCCCTAGATTTACAATTTTTAAAAAATAAGAAAAGCAATGTAATTCACAGAATAAAATCTTTTGGAGTAAAGTAATATAACTCTAACAAATTGGTAAATCTAGGCAAGAAATGACTTGCCCAAGTAACAGACCTAGTAGGTGGAGAGCTCATCTGACTCCAGAAACCACACTCTACAAAATAAACTTATTGACGTGAAGTATGTATATAATCTGTAACTGGTGTGAAACTGTGGCAGAAATACAAAGAGCCGTGGTCTTGCTCATGATGTTCAAAGGCAATATTTGAACTGAGGGATGGCTGTGTGAATTGAAGTGGTCACTGGAGAAACGTGGTTGAGATTGTGAACCATGGGGAACAGGGGGTGGTAATTCTGGATTTTTGGCATAGAGGAGAAAGAAAGAACTGCAAACATCATTACAGTGAAGGAGGGTGAGGCCCTCCGAAAACTGATTGCGTTTCACCAGAAACACTGATCCAGTGGGGGCAGCTGAAGCACGAAAATGATTAGAACCAGAGTGATGTCACCCACGTTTCTTTCTTTTTCTTCTTTTTTTTTTGAGACAGAGTCTCGCAGTCTCGCTCTGTCTCCCAGGCTGGAGTGCAGTGGCGCCATCTCGGCTCACTGCAAGCTCCGCCTCCTGGGGTCACGTCATTCTCCTGCCTCAGGCTCCCGAGTAGCTGGGACCACAGGTGCCCCCACCATGTCCTGCTAATTTTTTTGTATTTTTAGTGGAGAGGGGGTTTCACCGTGTTAGCCAGGATGGTCTCGATCCCCTGATCTCGTGATCTGTCCGCCTCGACCTCCCAAGGTGCTGAGATTACAGGCGTGAGCCACCGTGCCTGGCCGATGTCACCCACGTTTCTTAGGAAAGACGTTAGCATCCTCTAAATCCTCACCGACTGTGCCTGGCGCAGCATTATTTTGCAGTTTTCTGGGATTTACAGTTGGCATCATTTGCACAGCGGCAGCGTGACGTGGCTGTGGAGAGCACGGAAGATCTGTCCCCACGGAAGTGGGCTCTTCTGGTTGCAACATGGTGGAGGCCAGCCCGGCCTCAGGTGAGGGAAGATGCCACAGCAAACCTCTGAGCAACCAAGATGACAAGCACCTGCTTGGAAAAGGTGACAAGCCACAAGGCCATAGGCCCAGTTATAAGGATGAATTGTGTTACACGAATGGTTATAAACCTGACCGACCTCAGAAGGTATATGGAGGAGGCAATTATCAAGCCCCTTGATGGTCTGTGGCTGGATGCACCATACTTTGCCAACAGTGTGAGCATGGCAGAGAATGTAGGTGTGTATATAGGGGAAAACCTCCAGAAAGTTTTTTCTGTGGGAGTTCTTTGTAAAATAATAACAATGCAACTGGAATTATATTGCAATCTATAAAGGGAAATCACTCTTAGGGATCAACATTGTAGAAAGACAACTTGTTTTTTGCTTCTTTGCTCAGTGTTAAGAAGTCATCACATCATTGTCACCCTCCCCACATTCTGTTCTGTAGTGCCCGATTTGTTGAAAGCAGTATGAGGCCTGTTTTAAACATAAATCTATTCTAAATCTAAATTTGTAATACATTCTGAATGTCATTTAGACAGTCTTTTGCCTGGAGATTAAAAATTACTTTATTTCTAGCAAAGTGCTCTGAAGTAAAATATTTTAACAACAAAGAAGATCTGTGTTTGTTGTTTTCTCCATTATCTAATTATTGATATCCATTTCATCTGGGCACATATAAATGGTAAAAATATTTACAAGCTTTGAATTAGGTGAATCTAATTAAAAATAAAATATAGATGTTAATAGAGCCTGGAAATATTGTCAATATCTTTTTAATAGATTGAGCCCCGTTGATTATTTCTTCTGGGATAAAGGCTCAAATTTATTCTGTGAAATTAGACACTCAAATCATCTGAGGCAATATATGGCAGATGAATATACACTGATTGATGGAAATGTTGCTTTAATGCACATTGTTCATTGCAATTTTGCGTAGGTTACTGAACTATGAATTACTATTGAGGAACAGCACATTCAACGTGTCATAGCAATCAACTATTTAGTATGGACATTTTCTATGTTTCTAGATTTTCTGGCCACTCTGAGCAAATTTAAATCAAATGACTGAAGTATAATCACTTATTTTAACTCTGTTAAAACAGTCAACTTGAAAAGTATATTTTTCTGTATGAATTTTTTTTCTAATTGACTCTATTTTGTTCTGATAACTAAACTTATTTAAGTTGCGCTGTTGAAAAAAACTATAGGCCAAGCGCGGTGGCCCATGCCTGTAATCCCAGCACTTTGGGAGGCCGAGGAGGGTGGATCACGTGGTCAAGAGATCCAGACCATCCGGGCTAACACAGTGAAACCCTCTCTCTACTAAAAAAAAAAATACAAAAAAATTAGCCAGTCATGGTTGCTGGCGCCTGTAGTCCCAGCTATTCAGGAGGCTGAGGCAGGAGAACGGTGTGAACCCAGGAGGCTGAGCTTGCAGTGAGCCAAGATCACACCACTGCACTCCAGCCTGGGTGACAGAGCAAGACTCTGTCTCAAAAAAAAAAAAAAAAACAACAAAAACAAAACTATATATATATATGTATATGTATAATCTGAAGATCCATGTCGATTCCATTATTTTACAATGCAGTGACATTATAAGGAAGTGGAAAAATTAAGTCAAAATTTTTTAATTATGATGAATATAGAAAGGGGATTTCTTGTTGAAACAAATAGGCTAAAAGAGCCTTGATGTCAGCTATGCCTCTCTTAGAGAAAAGACTGTGACCCTGTCATCCCGTTGGATAATCTAGTGATGCGCTTTAACAGCTATTGTTAAAATAGATTTTACCAAGGCAAGGACAACAGTTTGCTTATGAGCAATGAGAAGTAAGTAGTCTTACCAGAGTGCACCCTTTGGAAAGTGCTGCATATATAATTAGTGAGGCCATTCATAATTCATTTTTATTATACAAATGCTGATTAAATGTATACCTTCTTCCACTCAAATGTTAACGTGTCCCTTCCTCAATATATTTTATTAGGCTATGTATATATCTCAAGCATAGATTAATTTGTTTTGTAAGATTTCAAAACATTCCTTTTTTAGCCCTGTAATGAATATAAAATGGATCCCTACTGCCCATCTTAGAGAATGCGTGTTTCATAGAACTGTTTAAAAAATAAATCCTTTTAAATTGCCCATCTGCTTAAGCTATGTTTGTGGAACATTAGGACTAAGTCATGTCTGACAAACATGTGTCATACTACTATTTGAGAGCATTACTGCATTTTCAGGAATAAAATAATATTATTAAGAAGTATAATTTTTCCAAGTGATACAATAAGAATATTGCTAGAGATTTGACCTATTTGTGAAAAATCTTTGCATGATTATTAGCTTCCTAAAAATAAAATGAACTCTGCAAATGTGATCCAAGCTGTTCTGTATGAAATTATGTGCTAGTTGCACAGTCCCCTGGGAGACCAGTGTGAGTCCAGATGCCTCTTTGCTGGTTTGTTTCATTTCTGGGGTTCATTTTCTAGAGGTTTTTATCATATTTTCAAAGTACAGAAGTCAGGCATCTCAAATTCAAGTCTTGTCTCCCCCAAACTTTAAAAAATATATGACATTGATATAATTTGGCTGGATAATAACAAACTGAACAAATAAGATATTTTCTTTCATTGAAGGTTGGTAACATTTTCCTCACTTAAAAATTTTTGGTTGGGCACAGTGGCTCATGCCTATAATCTCAGCACTTTGGGAGGCCGAGGCGGGTGGATCACCTGAGGTCAGGAGTTCGAGTCCAGCTGGCCAACATGGTGAAACCCTGTCTCTACTAAAAATACAAAAATTAGCCGAGCATGGTAGTGCACACCTATAATCCCAGCTACTCAGGAGGCTGAAGCAGGAGAATCTCTTGAACTCCAGAGGCAGAGGTTGCAGTGAGCCAAGATTATCCCACTGGACTCCAGCCTGGGTGACAGAGCAAGACTCCATCTCAAAAAATAATTTAAAAAAATGAATTTTCTAAATTGTGGGTCAGAATTCAAGCTAATGGAAACCTGTGGAAGAAGGAATTTTGCAGGTCTGCCTGTGGAATCCATAATTCTTTTCAGAGGCAGCGATATTACAAAAAAAAAAAAAAAAGTGTGAGGATGTCCCCAAGCAGAAAACCGCCTTCACTGCAATGCTGACAGTATCTGGGTGTCCCAGGGTTCCTGGGGAGTGCAACTGTTATCCCGGCTGTGCTGCTACTGTGCTGAGTGGTTTTATATCCACTGAGAAGGACGTGTCAACAGGTGGCTGCTCAGGCCCCTAAAGAATGGATGGATGTGAGGTCTCTGTGAAGCCTCTGGGCCAGATCTCTGAGGAGTATCTGTAAGGGGCATCTCACCTATGGTGAGGATGCTGTGTGAGCGCTGCATGGGAGGCCTCAGTGCCAGGCTCCTGGTGAGAACTCTGAGTGAGGTCTCTGTGGAGCCTCAGTGTGAGGTTTCTGCGTGAGTTCTGTGTGGAAAGTCTCTAAGAAATCCGAGTCAGTTTCTGTACGAGGCCTGTGAGGCCACATGAGGTCTCTGTGGGAGGACTCCATGGGGCAGCAAGAGGGCTCCATTGCCTCTTGTGAGGCCTCTGTATGAGGCCTTTGCAGAAGGTCTGTGTGGGAGGTATCTTCCAGAGGTCTCTGTGGGGTCTCTGTGGGAAGTCCCTGTGTGAAATCTCCGTGCTAGGTCTCTGTGTGAGGGACCATGGACTATATGAAGTCCCTGTGTGAGGACCCTGTGTGAGGACCCTGTGAAAGCCCTACAGAATCTCTGTGTGGAATGTTTGAGGGAATTCTATGTGAGAGGTTTCTGGGCAATGAGTGTGGAGCAACCTGAGGCCTGTGTGAGGAATCTATACAAGGTCTCTGTGGAGAGTGGGAGGTCTCCAGGCAAGGTCTCTGTGTGAGGAGGACTCTGAGAGAGGTCTCTGTGAGGCAGTGGGGGGTGCCATGTGCCATTTCTGGGGCTGGAGGCCAGAGGTTGCAGTGAACTGCATGAGTCTCTGCATGAGGTCCCTGTTTTATGACTCTGTGTGAAGTCTCTGAGGTCTTTGTGGGGTCTCTGTGTGAGATCTCCCTGTGAGAACCATGGAAGGTCTCTGACATTTGTGGGAGATCTCTGTGGGACTGAGTGAAGTCTCTCAGCGTGGCCTCTGTGGGGTTCTCTGGGTGAGGACTCTGGGAATCTCTGTGCTAGGTCTCTGTGGGGCACCATGAGGACTCTGAGAGCTCCGTGGGGTCTCTGTGGAGGCTGCAGTGTGTCTCTTTCTGTGGCAGTGAGAGGTCCCAGTGTTCTCACTCTGTACGAGATATCTCTGTGAGGTTCCTGTGGGAGGTCTCCGTGGGTCTCTCTATTGTTGGCCTCACTGCATGTCATGGGAGACTGAGCTGCAGAAGGGCTAAGGGGTTGTTGCTTCCTGTGTTCTTTCTGGTCTCTCAGCATTGCCTGTGGCGCTTCTCCTGGTCTGAGCCATGGGCTCCAAGTCCAGCTCCTCCACATCCCAGAACTCACGTCTTGGTTTCCTGAGGGAACCCAGCAGCAGCCAGGCATGGCCCATCCTCAGTGGTCAGGGTCCCAGCTCTGTGCCACACTCTCCTGAGCTCCTGGAGGACCGGGGCTGCTCTCTGCTCCAGGTCCCAGCTCCTCCTGCTGATCCTGGCTCCGCTGTCACCGCTGGGCCCACCTTGGAGGCTGCTTCAGTTATCCAGGCCTCAGAGAGGACCTGGCCCCAGGAGAAGCCACAGGCTGGGGACTGTGCCCACTGCCCCCTGCACCCCGGTGCCGGCCAGTCCCACATGTTGGGGGCAGGGCCATTTCCATTGTCATCTAGATCAGTGGCACTGCCTGGCACTGGCCTCTCCACCATTGAAATGAGGCCCCCGGAAGTGGGCCTCTTGCACGCCTGTATGTGGCACAAGGCAGAGAAAACTCCCTCTAGAGACCTGGCTCCTCCTGTCCATGATTTGTGGAGACCTCCTGCTTTCCCATATGGACAGGGCCCAGAGAGGAGGAAAGCTGTGCTGAAAGCAGAGGGAGACAGCAGGGACGGCTCCTGTCCTGCCCATACCCTGCCCATTCTGGACAGGTCACTTCCAGCTCCCTTGTATGTTCAAATCCTGCCTGCCTGCATCTTCCCTTGCTGGTCTCTGGGGCAAGCAAGGATGTCAGGAGCCAGGGAAGATTTGCTGTGTGACCCCAGCTCAGCTGCTGGGCCCTAGTAAGTCACCACCTTTCCCCAGGGAGCAGTCCTGGGGCTACGTGTATATTAAAGGTCACCAGACTTCGACTCATGCCTGGGGTTCTCTAGTCCTTGCTTTTCCACCTGTTGTCAACACATCCTTTAAAAAATTCAATAAGTAGGCCAGGCACCATGGCTCATGCCTGTAATCCTAGCTCTTTGGGAGGCTGAGGCCCGTAGATCACCTGAGGCAAGGAGTTCGAGGCCAGCCTGGCCAACATAGCAAAACTCCATCTCTACTAAAAATATAAAAATTAGTCGGGCATGGTGGTGGGTGCCTATCATCTCAGCCACTTGGGAGGCTGAGGCAGAAGAATCGCTTGAACCCAGGGGCCAGAGTTTGCAGTGAGCCAAGATTGTACTACTTCACTCCAGCCTGGGCAAAACAGTGAAACTCTGTCTCAAAAAAAAAAAAAAAGTTCAATAGATTATTATGTGCAAGCTTATCGAAGATGTTAAGAAATTCATCTTCCTTATTCACTTCGCCTTCTCACTAATATGGCCCTCTGTGTTGGGGGTAAATGTGGTTTTTCTAGGGGTCTGTGATCTGGGAGCTGGAGCAGAGACAGACCCTGGGGTGTGGCCAGGATGAGACACTAGGCCCCTCTAGGCCTATCTAAGGGGTTGGAATGTCAGAGTCTCCTGGCTCACGGCACCACTGATGGCTCCCTCACACACGCCACTTTGCCTCCTTTTCAATTCTCTGTCTGCATCCCCTGTAGCTCTACAGAGTCCCACCATCAGAAGCCTCTGCACACACAGGCATACCCTACTCCATTCACCCAGAACTACTTCACTGAAGCTGAGAGACATGTAGGTGAGATAGACAAAGGCCGGTGACCCAGGAGCAGGGTCATTCACTCATCTGGGGCAGGGGAGTTCACGGCCCTCAGCAACCTCCATAAAGGCTGCCCCCCTGACCCCCTAGCCCCCACCTACACATGCACAGAGCTGGAAGGTCTGTCCCCACTGCCACTCCAGAGTGCGAGAAAGGGAGAGGCAGTGGGATGGGGACTCTCTGCTTCGCATGTTGGCTGAGCTAAGAGGGCCCATCTCCATCCCAGCCTTTGTCAGGGAGAGAAGGGGCTTCCCAGGGGCAGACGTTATCTATTCTCCACCAGGATACCCAGGGTCAAGACTTCTCCCACTTCTGAACTCAGGGCCCAGCACTCTCCCACCCAAACTTCCACTATTTTTTGACACATGAAGGTACTCGGCTGTGGCACTTCCTGGAGCCTGCATGGAGATGTTCAGTCCCGTGACATCTCTGCAAACCTTCTCCCTACAGCTGCATGAAGTTTGAGGTAGAGTAAGTAGTGGAAAGATGGGTTGAACCTTATTTCAGAGTGGGACCTTCATAGGTTTTTCTCATCTTGTTTTTAGAATTTTTTGTTGTTTGTGTAAAGACGATATTACGGAAACATAAGGTTCAGTGAAGGAACTCAGGATGAAGGTGGGCTTACAGCACCACTGTCAACATCCCTCCATGTCCTGTCGCATCTGGAAACCAAGCCCACACCAAGCATGGCACAAATAGAAGCCATCACCCTCTTATAAATAAAAAACCATATATATTGTGGAATATTAAATGTTCTGCATTTACTAACATGAGAGAAAATATTTTTTCTCTACATAGAGTGAATTTTTTCTTGGGGACTTGTTTTTCTCCAGGGAAGGCTAAAAAAGAATTTGTGACTGACCAAATCAGATACCTTCCCAAAGAAGACAGTGCCTTGGACAGTGGTGATGGTGGCTAGAGGCACCGGATGTCTTCGGCCAGTGCTGAGGGGGACTGACTGGGGATACAGCTTTCTTGGGGTGCAAGATTTGGGGATGTCGCAGGCCCCATTGCTCATTGTTGCACCGCACACTTTTCAAGGGCTGTTGATTTCTGATTTGCCTGTCTCTGTTGGGACAACCCTGGCTCTTGAGAGTGGCTTGTTGACTGCTGGCTGCATAGCTCAGTATTCTGCCATGTTCTGAGTAGAAGAGGTGCCTGTGGTTGCAGGGAAACCCACAGACTGGGGCTTGAAACTTCTGTTTGTGCTGATTTACCTTCGAGGCATGGTGCGCATGGCAAAGTGACATTTTCTTGTCCAGCATTTGTCCAACTGCCGTCATGAGACCCTGAGCTTCAGCACTGCTGCTGTACACACATGATCTGTTTTTTACTGTTTTTTGGCTCTCAGCAGTGACTGGTGCTGGCTTGCTTTTTTTCTTTGAAAAAATCCACTGAAAAAATTGCTTGATGTTTTCTCCAAAGTGGCTTACTGAAGGAGGCTGTTTCTTTGATGGCAGTAGCTGGACGCCTTCATCCTGATGGGTGTCTTCTGTTTTCCTGACTGGGGTAAGTTGAGGAGTCCTCAATCCTTCAAGCCTTTCTTCATGTTTTTCTAAGTTGGGCTTCCTAGACTTCTCACTCTTGTGAATAGGGGGAAACATTGGCCTTTGGCTCTTGCATGAGCCTTGACAGTTTGGGTTTCTGGGCTCCTCTTGCACCAGTTTGCTCCTTCTGGCTGCCATGAGGTCATGTAGCTCCTGGGAAGCCCGCATGTTCCCAGTAGGCATGCTCTGGAGATGGCCCTGGGGCACTTGAGAAACCAAATTCTCTGAAGCGTGGGGCACAACAGATGCTTGCCCATCTGGAAGGAGCACAACAGCGGCACAAACTTGAGGCTGGGTCTCTGACTTTGTGGCCATTCCAGGCTCAAATTCACTAACAACCTCCTCCATAAGACACAGCTTTCTTGGATCTTGGGAGACAGACACTCTAGGGTGTAGAGAGCTTTTGCTGGTCCCTGGAGCCTCGAAACCATGCACATCCTCACTTGTGGCTTGGAGGTTTGCCAGCATACAGGTTTCCAAGGGGACTCTGCATTGTGGCACTGCCTCCCTTGTCTCTCCAGCCTTTGAAGATTGGGCTCCTAAGCTCCTGCTCTGCTGGGTGCTGCCTGTGAGGCTGTACGTGAGGGGCTTAGATGGCCACCTGCCCTCCTGTCCAGCTGGAGGAGGCTTCAAGGGCCCATGATCATTCCAAGATGGGATTCCTCGCGGTGCCCTCTGGAACTGCTTCCATGCAGGTGAGGAGGCCAGAAGACTCTCTGGCATGTGATCAGATGCTTTGGTCAGCACCTGCTTTCTCAGACTTGCCATTGGTGGCTTTCTAAGGAACATGTCCACCTCAACTTCTGAGCCAGCCCCAGATTCACAGGTGGCTGAGGAGGGACCAGCAAGCTGCGTAAGGGACAAGGATGAAACCTTTTCCAGTTTAAAGCACTGAATGGGCTTGAGGACCCTGAGGGGTAGACCCCACCTGTGTTTGGCCCAAAACCTCACAATATGGGCTCCCAACCCCTGCTGAGTACACGGCTCGAGGAAGGAAAGCACCTGGGCTGTGTTCACACAGGCTTTCCCACTTTTCGGGGCTGCTAGATTGCTGGTTTTCACATGGGTGTTGGACACGGGAAGAGCCTGGTTGACAGCAAGCCAGGATCGACGCACACGCACGGGGATCAAGCCCTCGTTGGTCTGGCCCAAGTTCCTGCCCATGTGGGCTTTCAGGATGTTTTCTATATGAGTCCTCTCTGTGCATCTTAATAAATCACTTCCCGAGTCACTCCTCAAGGGCTTCCTCAAGTTCCTTTCCGACTCCTCAGAAGTCACCCCCAGAACCTTCCGTGGGAAGCTTTTCATGTCCCTGGATAGATTTTGTGGGGTCTCACCCAGAATTTGCCCCAGATGTGGGCACAGGTCCCTCTCTAGCTGGAACTTCACCTTCTGTGCCTCCTTGCTGCTTTCACCTGTGGACGTGGAGGACTGCCAGGGACTGGGTTTGCCCTTGGCCTGACTTGTCCCTGGTGATTCGTCCCGAAGCTGCATCAGATCCAGAGACTCTTGGATCCTTCCCAGGTTGCCCCAGTGTTGGATGATCCACTTTTTTATGTGTTGCTCCAGTTGTCTCCGGAGTTCAGGACTGACTGGAAAGTTCTCAGGCAGAATGGATGTCAAACTTTCCTGGGGAAGGTTAGGAGTGGAGACACTAAAGACGTCCTGAGATTTTTGGACCCTAGAGGGTAAAGCCAACCTACCTTCTAGTTGTTTCCTCAACAAAGGCCATTCAGGGTGCTGAGTTTCAGGTAGGGAGAGAGCTTGCACTTTATTCTGCGATGCAGGGCAAGCTACTCCAGTGTTCTTAATCAGGGATGGAAAAGCAGGAGATAGGACTGGGAAAGAAGACTGAAGATGGGCCTGAGCCTCGGCCTGAGCCATAGGTGTGGGCAGGAATTGGGGTGTGGATGAAATAAAGGGTTGGCGGTGGGACAGGGGCTGGGCCTGGAAAAGCAGTGGGGACATTGTAGTCTCCCTTTGAATTGGGCAGACATTGGACATTTCATTGAACAAGAAAGGAGGAGACTGTAAAGTATAAGACCTGTCAGTTACCCAGGCGTTAGCCACCAGGGACTCGCTGTGCAGAGAGGGGAGGCCCCAGAAAAGCTGGCTATAATTCTTCCAAAAACTTTCCTGCAAGAGCCTAGGATCTGAGCACTTCTGAGGTCCGGGCAGCTGTTTCGAGTTCTCTCCCATGTTCCAGAAGGGTTTTGGGTTTGTGGTGTCCTGCTCAGCATCCAATGATTTAGCCAAATTCCCCAAAGAATTTAAGTGCTTTTCTGGGGTCATTTGATTTGTAAATGATCCAACATTTTCTTTTTCTTCCCAAATGTTGACCTTGGCTGTTTCTGTGACTTGTATCCCCACGACATTCTGGCCATCAGAGCTGAGCAAAAACAGGCTACCAGCTTCCATCTGACAGGTCTCTGGTGGGTGGCGGGAAAGAGGATCTTGCTGGACTGATGAGTTAAAGGCGCACGAGGTTCTGGCAGTCTCCTGCCACCGGGAGGAGGCAGAAACATGACTGTTTGAGCCACCAAGGCCTGAGATGGCTGGGACAGAAGCCACCAAATCCTCATGTGGAGACAAGCTTTGAGGGACGGTGCCCAGTGGAAGTGCCACTGAGTCACAGTGAGATGGAGTTATCAGTGTGGAGTCCCGCAGGGGAGGAGCAGTGAAGCCTTTTGGAGGAGGCGGAGAGCAGGCCAGAGGATCAGGGGTGTGTGGTGGGTGAGGGAAAAGTGCAGGTGGCTCGGGTGAGGGGTGTTCTAGGGGAAGGGAAGGTTCTGGTGGCTGGGAGGCACTTAGGGAGGAGACTGAGGTGGTCATTGGGCCTGGTGATGGGGTGGAGGCCAGATCCTGAGGATGCTTGGCTTGAGGATCCGGGGAAGCTAACGGGGAGAGAATGGGAGCAGCATCTTCCATAGGCTCATGAGAGGACTGGGAGGCTCCATCAGGTGCTCTTTCGCCCACCTCACCTGGGGGGTCTGGACCGGAGAGCTGACCAAAGTCACCTTTGTCAAGGTGTGGCCCCAGGAGGCTGCAGGAGACAGGAGGCACGAGCTGCAGCCAGGAGCCGGTGGGGCCGGAGGGCAGAGTGGGTGCTCGGGCCACAGCCCCTCCACCATCCCACACCCTGATTGCCCAATTCTCCTGCTACCCCTCGCCCCAGGGTTTTACTCCCATCCTCTGTCCCCCTGGTCTCCCCATCCCAGGTCAGCTCCAGGCTGCCTGTGGCCCTTGGGTCATGTCCCAGCCCTGGTAGGAAGGATGCAGGGAAGGGGAAGTGCCTCACCTCTGCAGTTGTGAAAGAAGGTCCGAAGTCTCCTCCAGGCCTCTCGGGCACTCTCTACCAGCTGGAAATCAGGAGACTGGGTTAGGGCAGTGAGGGAGGGGCCTGGGATCTCACAGGAGGCTGAGTGGCTGTTTCTTTAGGGAGGACCATGGGGAATTAGACCCTGGACCCCACCCATCTGTGTCCAAAGCCACATGACCCCGACGTTAATAGCAAGGCATGGAGGACAGGGCTTTTTCATTCACAACAGGCTTCCACACACGGACCCCCCACCCCCACAGTCCTCACAACTGCCCTGTGGGGAGAAAGGACTGAGGTGGTCTCAAAGAGGAATCAGCCTTAGCAGAGTTGGACAGCTGTTCCCAGGGAGCGGGAGGCCCCCTCACCCCCCTCCGCATCCAGGCAGGCATTGGTCTCCCCAGGACACACACACTGCCCCCTGCTGGGTAACGCCCAGTCCCTGGCCCACCATGGCTTCATTCCCGCATGGAATCTGAGAAGGACCCGGGGTTCTGATTTCCTTCCTAGGAGCCCCCACCTCAGGCTTCTTCAACTGACTTCTTCAGAGTCAGTTCCCTCCGGGACAGATGAGATCAAATTAACTCTAGTGTGCTCTGGCAGAGCCTTACCTCTCAGACTGTGGTTTTTCATCCTGCCTCTGGGCCTCCGCCTCCGCCCTACTGGACACTGGGAGACATGATGACGTACGGAGACAAGATGACGCGGAGAGACAAGATGACAATGGGAGACAAGAAAGGGCGAGAAGCTAGGACTGGCTCTCCCTCTCTGCTCCAGCCCAGCCGCAGCATGCTGCACTCAGGAACCGCATGACTCTCTCTGTCTTGCTCAGGGAGCTCTGTGTGCTTCCTCCCACTCATGTTTAACTGGATGATAAACTGCTTTTCTTCTTAGAAAAACAGCAAGAGGGGGCTGGGCGTGGTGGCTCACGCCTATAATCCAAGCACTTTGGGAGGCCAAGGTGGGTTGATCACCTGAGGTCAGGAGTTTGAGACCAGCCTGGCCATGGTGAAACCCCGTCTCTACTAAAAATACAAAAATTAGGCAGGCATGGTGGTGGGCGCCTGTAATCCCCAGCTATTCAGGACGCTAAGACAGGAGAATCGCTTGAACTCGGGAAGCAGAGGTTGCAGTGAGCCTATATCACTCCATTTCACTGCAACCTGCGTCACAGAGCGAGACTCCATCTCAAAAAATAAAATAAAATAAAATAAAATAAAATAAAATAAAATAACACACAAATAAAATAAAAATAACACACACACACACACACACACACACACACACACACACACACAGAGGGATTTTCAATATGAGGTCCACCACGGACACCTTCAGTCCCTGTTCCTCTGCTCCAGGAACACCCAAGTTCAGGCCCGCAGGCACTGCTGAGCTATCAGGTAGGATTCTGCTTCCCAGAAGACCAGAGGAGACACCAGGCCCTGGTGGGAGGCCCTCGGGGGCCCAGCACAGGCCCCAGATCACCCCACACAGGGGAGGCTGGGCCCTGAGCCACCTGCCCCAGAAAGGGGCTGATGAGCCAGGGCTCAGGGCCTGGTCTCGGACAGAGACCTCCCCAGTCTCATGACTGGTACTGGTGCTGAGTCCACTGGTTTGATTTTGCCTTGATGCCTCCTGTGCTCCCCCACAGATGGACTGAGATCTTGGGATGGAAATCCCAGTACACTATCTACCCCTACCAACCCCTGGCTGCCCTGCCTCTCCCTGGAAGGATGATGTTCTGGTCTCTTCTGAGACTTCCCATCATAGAAGGCTCTCCACTGGATTTGGAAAAGTGGAACTAATAATAAAAAGAAAGGAGAGAATCAAGCTCTGTGGGTCGGGACTGAGGGTTCCTTACCTTTCTCTTCCCAGGCGATGGTGAGGGTGGGTCATCACAATGGAAGTAAGATAAGTAGGGGAGTAATAGGAAGAAGAACCCCAGGGCAAACACCAAGGTGAGGAAGATATCCAACACCCATGGTGTGGAGCTGGGGGCGTTTAGCGATGAGGCACTAAGTAATTTTAAAGGAAAGGGAAGATTCTCCATGTGAATAGGCACGTTGCTTTCAAGCAACTGAGCTCTGGGCATCCCCGTGGAGACTAGGGACTGGGGCCCAGGCCTGCGTCACAGAGGTGGGGCCTTGATGTCACAAAGGGCTCCTTTGTTGGGGAGGGGCAGTGGGAGGGGGAGGGGCAGAGGGAGGGGGAGGTGCAGCAGGAGGGGGAGGGGGAGGGAGAGGGGCAGGGGAGGGGGAGACTGGAGCACAGCCCCTCCCCACCCCCAAAGCTGGGGATCCCTCCACCATCCCACCTTCTAGATCCCTCCTTCCCACTAAGTTTTGTCAGTGATAGCCAATTTTCTATTCTTTCTCCCTGGAATATAGATATTACCTGGTTCCTTTTATCTGTTGGAGACGGTGGCTTGAGGTTACCTATTTTATAGCCCTTGAAAATCTGAAGTTCTGAAATTTTGGCTATGAACCAGGGATTTTCATTCTCAGAATCTCGTTCATCCTCAACTCCAGCTTTCCCACACTATGTTTTTGTCTTGTATCAATCCAGGGACAAAATGTAAATTTCTTTTACTCTTATTTAGTTTTGCAAATTTTGAATAGTAAGTTTTAAAAAATTATTTCTATCTCACTTTCAATCAAAGGGAACTACCCACATACAATTAAGATTTTTTTTTGTCTTTTAAAGTTTTATTTATGTACTTATGTATTTATTTTATTTTAACTTTCAGGATACATGTGCAGGACATGCAGTTTTCTTACATAGGCAAATATGTACCATGGTGATTTGCTGCACCTATCAACCCATCACTTAGGTATTAAACCCAGCATGCATTAGCTATTTTTCCTGATGCTCTCCCTACCACCAGCCCTCCCTCGACAGGTGCCAGAGTGTGTTGTTCCCCTCCCAGTGTCCATATGTTCTCATTGTTCGGCTCCCACTTGTAAGTGAGAACATGTGGTATTTGGTTTTCTGTTCCTGTGTTAGTTTGCTGAGGATAATGGCTTCCAGCTTCATCCATGTCCCCGCAAAGGACTTGATCTCATTCCTTTTTATGGCTGCATAGTATTCCATGGTGTATATGTACCACATTTTATTTATCCAGTCTATCATTGGTGGGCATTGGGTTGATTCCATGTCTTTGCTATTGGGAACAGTGCTGCAATAAACATACACGTGCATGTATCTTTGTAATAGAATGATTTATATTCCTTTGGATATACAATAATGGTATATCTGCCACAGCCTCTGTACTGCACTGTGGGGAATTCTGCCCAGTGCAAACCACCCAGTCTCCCTAGCACTGGCGGGGGAAAACCACCGGCTAGACCCGCAGTAATGGCGGTCACCCTTCCCCCCAGGAACTTGGTCTTCTTAGGCAGACTCCAGGTGCTGTGCTGGCCAGTGGGGATTCCATGCTAGTGGGTCTTAGCTTGTGGGGTTCTGTGGGAGTGGGTCTGCTTGGCTCCCTGGCTTCAGCCCCCTTCTCATGGGAGTTGATGGATCTCCTGCTTCACTGGATTTCTGCGAGCCACCAGAGTATGCAGAAACTCCTACAGCTCAGTACCTGCCCAAGTGGCTGCCAGCTGGAGCCCCTGCTATGGGTCTGCACAGCTTTGTGCTTGGGACCCAAGGCCCTGGTGGTGTGGACTCACAAAGGGATTACCTGTTCTGGGGTTTGCAAAAATCTGTGGGTAAAGCACAGTTCCCTGGGTGGGTAGCACAATCCCTCACTGCCTCCCTTGGCTGGAGGAGGGAGGTCTCTTTGCCCTGTGTAGCTCTTGGGTGAACTGTCACCCAACTCTGCTTTTCCTTGCTCTCCATGGGTCACACCAACTGCCTAGTCAGTCCCAATGAGGGAATCTGGATACCTCAGTTAGAAATGCAGAATTCACTCGCTGTTTATGTTTGTCTCAGTGGGGGCTGCAGAGTAGAGCTGTTTCTACTCAACCATCTTGGCCCCTCCCCCCAATTAAAATAATTCATATTTAAAATTTGTAATTCTAATTATGAAACAGTTATAAGTAGTTAAACCTTCAAGTGGTATTTCTGTAAATGTATAGCATTTACAGTTCTGGACTTGGTAATGCTTAAAGTGCACGATAACTTATGGGACTGCTACATAGGCATACCTCAGAGATACTGTGGGTTTGGTTTCAGGCCACTGTGGAGATGAGCTCTTTAGGGCAGTGCCCAATGGAAGTGCCATTGAGCCACATTGAGACGGAGTCAGAATGCAGTCCAGCAGTGGGGGAGCAATGAAGGCTTTTGGAGGAGGTGGAGGGCAAGCCAGACAATGGGGGTGGGTATGATGGGTGAGGGGAAAATGCAGGTGGCTTGGGTGAAGGGCGTTCTAGGGGAAGGGAAGATTCTGGTGGCCAGTTCTGCAATAAAACAAATATGGCAATAAGGCAAATCACACAGAATTTTTGGTTTCTCAGTGCATATAAAAGTTAGGTCTATACTATACTGTAGTCTATTAAGTGGGCAATACCATTATGTCTAAAAAAGTCAATGTACATACCTTAGTCAAAAATTATTTTACTGTTTAAAAATGCTATCGATCACCTGAATCTTCAACATCAATATCTTTTTGCTGGTCAGTGGCCTTGCCTCAGTGTTGTGGCTGCTGACTCATCATGGTGGAAGCTGCTGGAGGTGAGGTGGCTGTGGCAATTTCTTAAAATAAGACAACAATGAAGTTTGCTACATCAGTTGACTATTTCTTTCAAGATTCCTCTGTAGCATGCAATGCTGTTTGATAGCATTTTACCCACAGTAGAGCTTCCTTCAAATCGGAGACAATCCTCTCAAACCCTGCCACTGCTTTATCCACTAAGTTTATGCAATTTTCTAAATACTCTGTTGTCGTTTCAACAAGGTTCACAGCATCTACACCTGGAGTAGTTTCCATCTCAAGAAACCACTTTCTTTGCTCATCCAAGTTCTCATTTGTTAAAATTTTGTCATGAGATTTCAGCAATTCAGCCACATCTTAAGATCTCTTCACATCTTTTAATCTTAGTTCTCTTGCTATTTCCACCACATCTGAAGTTACTTCTTGCACTGAAGTCTTGAACCCTCAAAGTCATCCATGAGGATTGGAATCAACTTCTTCCAAATTTCTTTTAATGTTGATATTTTGACCTCCTCCCATGAATCACAAATGTTCTTAATTTTAACCTCCTCCCATGAATTGCAAATGCTTCTAGAATGGTGAAACCTTTCTAGAAGGTTTTCAACTTACTTTACCCAGATCTATCGAAGGAACTACTATACATGGTGGCTACAGCCTTATGAAATGTATTTCTCAGATAATCAGGCTTGAAAGTCTAAATTACTCATTGATCCCTGGGCTGCAGAATGGATGTTGTATTAGCAGGCATACAAACAGCTTTAATTTTCTTGTAGTTCTCCATCAGACCTCTTGGGTGACCAGGTAAATTGTCAATGAACAATAATATTTTGAAAGAGATCTTTTTTTAAAGCAGTAGTTCTCAGGTGTGAGCTTAAAATATTCATGTCGTAACAGATGTGATGTCATTCAGGCTTTGTCCCATTTATAGAGCACAGGCAGAGTAGATGTAGCATAGTTCTTAAGGGCCCTAGAATTTTCAGAATGGTAGATGAGCTTTGGCTTCAGCTTAAGCCCCTAACAAAAGAGTCATCCTGTTCTTTGAAGCATTGAAGTCAGGCATTTATTTTGCTACCTGGCTGTAAAAGTCCTGGATGACATCCTCTTCCAATATAAGGCTGTTTTATCTGCAGTAAAAACCTTTGTTTAGTGTAGCCACCTTTGTTGCTTCTCTTAGCTGATCTTATGGATGACTTGCTGCAGCTTCTACATCAGCACTTGCTGCTTTTCCTTGCACTTTTATCTTATGGAGAAGACTTCTTTCATTAAACCTCATGAACCAATCTCTGCTAGCTTCAAACTTTTTTCTGTGGCTTCCCAACCTCTCTCAGCCTTCAGAGAATTAAGAAGAATTAGGTCCTTGCTCTCGATTAGGGTTTGGCTTAAGGAAATGTTGTGGTTGGTTTGATCTTCTATCCAAACCACTCAAACCTTCTCCATATCAGTGATAAGTCTCTTTCACTTTCATACCACTCATGTGTTCATTGGAGTAATACTTTTAATTTCCTTCAAGAACTTTTTCTTTTCATGCACAGTTTGGCTGTTAGGTGCAGGAAGCCTAGTTTTTGGCCTGTTTCAGCTTTTAACATGCCTTCCTCACTCACCTTAATCATTTCTCACTTTTGATTTAAATAAGAGATGTGTGACTCTTACTTTCACTTGAACACATAGAGGCCTTTGTAGAGTTATTAATTGGCCTAATTTCAATATTCCTGTGTCTCAGAAAACAGGGAGACCTGAGGAGTTGGGGGGATGGAGGAAGGGCAGATAGATGGAACCATTCAGACACATATATGTATCAGTTAGGCTCATTGTCTTTTGGAGCATGGTTTGTGATGCCCCAAAACAATGACAATAGTAATATCAATGATCACTGATCACAGATTACCGTAACAGATATAATAATAACAAAACATTTGAAATATTGCAAGAATTACAAAAATGTAACACAGAGATACAAAATAAGCACATGCTGCCAGAAAAGTGGCACTGGTAGACTTGCTTGATGCAGGGTTGCCATAAATCTTCAACCTGTAAAAAATGCAATATCCGAGAAGCATAATAAAGTGAAGTGCAATAAAACAAGGTAAGCTTGTATATGTATGCATGCACACACCAGTATGCATCCACCTATCCACACACAAATCTTTGTACAAACAAATCCTGTATTTTCAATTCCAACAATACATCATTTGCACCTTAAAAATATCTGTCAACCTTGTAGTATCCTTTTCTGTCTTTGTTATCAGGGTAATGCTGGTCTCATAAAAAATGTTTGTGTTCCCTCCTCTTCAACTTTTGGAAGAGTTTGTAAAGAAATGGTACTAATTCTTCTTTAAACATTTGCTAGACTTCTCCACTAAGCTATCTGGTCTTGGATTTTCCTTTTTCAGGAGCTTTTTGACCACTGACTCAATATTTTTACTCATTATTTGTGTTGATTTTCTATTTCTTCATGTTTCAATCTTAAGGGATGTATGTTTCTAGAAATCTCTCTATTTCTTCTAAGTTAAACAATTTGTTGACACATAGTTGTTTAGACTATTATTATCCTTTGTATTTCTATGGTACCAATTTTAATATCTGCTTTTTTGTTCTAATTTTATTTATTTGAGGCTTCTCTCTTTTTTCTTAGCCTAGTGAAAGGTTGGTCAATTTTTATTATTTTTATTTTATTTTATTTTATTTTTTTGAGACTCAGTCTGGCTCTGTCTCCCAGGCTGTAGTGCAGTGGCGCAATCTCTGCTCACTGCAAGCTCTGCCTCCTGGGTTCATGCCACTCCCCTGCCTCAGCCTCCCAAGTAGCTGGGACTACAGGCGCACGCTGCCCCGCTCTGCTAATTTTTTGTATATTTAGTAGAGGCGGGGTTTCACCATGTTAGCCAGGATGGTCTTGATCTCTGACTTCGTGATCAGCCCGCCTCCCAAAGTGCTGGGATTACAGGCATGAGCCACCGCGCCCAGCCATTATGTTTTCAAAAAATCAGCTTTTTGTTTCATTGATCTTTTCTATTGTTTTTCTAGTGTATTTCATTTACTTCTGCTATCATCTTCGTTATTTCCTTCCTTCTTCTAATTTTGGGCTTCATTTTTTTTCTTTTCTATTTCTTTGAGGTTTATTGTTTATTTGAGATCTTTTTTCTTCATTTAGCACTTAACCTGTATAAACTTCCCTGTTAGAATTGCTTTTGCTTCATCTCATAAGTTTTAGTATGTTGTGCTTTCATTTTAGTTTGTCTCAAGATATTTTATTTCTTTTTTGATGTTTTCTTTGATCTATTGGTTGTTCAGGAGTGTGTTGGTTGATTTCCACATATTTGTCACTTTTCTAAGTTTTCTCCTGTTTTTAATTTTCAGTTTCATGCCACTGTGGTCAAAAAGAATACTTGATAAGATTTCAATCTTCTTAAATTTGCTAAGACTTGTTTTCTCCCCCAATATATGACCTGTGTAGGAGAATGTACTGTGTGTGCTCAAGAAGAATGTGTATTTTGCTGTTTTGGAAAGTAATGTCCTGTATATGTCTGGTCCATTTGATCTATAGTGTAGTTCAAGTCATCTGTTTCCTTATTGATTATCTGTGTGAGTGATCAATCCATTGTTGAAAGTGGGATATGGAAGTCCCCTACTGTTATTGTATTATCGTTGTCACTTCTCTCTTCAGATTTGTTAATATTTGCTTTATACAATTAGGTGTTCCAATGTTGGGAGAATATATATTTGTAGTAATTATATCCTCTTGATGAATTGACCCTTGTATCATTCTATAATGACTTTCTTTCCCTCTTGTTACAGTTTTTGACTTAAAGTTTATTTTGTTTGTTGTAAGAATAGCTACTCTTTCTTTTTTTTTTGTTCCCTGTCTTTCCTTTCAGTCTATGTGTGTCTCTAAAGGTGAAGTGAATCTCTTATAGGCGGCATATATTTGGTTATTGTTTTACTGTCCATTCAGCCACCCTGTGTCTTTTCTAATTTGATCCACTGATATTTAAAGTAACTATTGATAGGCATTTCGCAGTTTCTTTGTTCTTTTATTTCTCTCTTGCTGTGCATGATTTGATTATTTTGATTATTTTCTGTAGTGGTATACTTTGGTTCTTTTCTGTGTCTTTGTATTAATTCTTTTTTAAACATGTGGTAAAATTCTCATTTGTGTAACTATTACATGTTTTGTCTTTGTGATTATCCTGAGGCTTCCATAAAACATCACATGCTCTCATCTGCCACATAAGGATGTTTTGGTCAATGATGGGCCACATATACAACGGTGGCCCTGTAAGGTTATAACATTTTTATTGTATCTTTTATATGTTTAGATATATTTGGATACACAAATGCTTATCATTGTATTATAGTTGCCTATAGCATTCAGTATAGTACAATGCTGTACAGATTTGTAGCCTGGAAGCAATAGGTTATACCATATAGCCTGGGTGTGTAGTAGGTGGTATTATCTAATTTTGTGTAAGTATACTCTATGATATTCACACCATGACAAAATTGCATAATGAGGCATTATTCAGAACATATCCACATTAAGAAATGTATGATTATAGTTATAATGGTCTATTTTAAGTTGATAGCAACTTAACTTCAAGCATATACAAAACCCTACACTTTACTCCCCTCCACTTTTTATGTTTTTTTGATGTCAGCGTTTATTTCTTTGTTTATTTTGTAGTTATATTTATTTGTAATATTTTATGTCTTTTAACCTTTTAAAAGTTAAAGTGATTATACTCCATCATTACAGTATTAGGAATATTTTGAATTTGACTGTTTAGTTACTTTTACTGGTGACTTTTTATAACTACATATGTTTTCGTGATGCTAATTAGTCTTATTGCATTTCAGTTTGAAGAACTCCCTTTAGAATTTCTTATAAAGCAGGCCTACTGACAATGGACTCCCTTAGATTATTTTGGGGGGTTTCTGAAAAAGTCTGTAAGTCCTAGCCAGAGCAATTAGGTAAGAAAAAGAAATAAAAGGTATCCAAACTGGAAAAGAAGTGAAAGTGTCTCTATTTGAAGATGACATGATCTCATATAGAGAAAATTCTAAAGGCTCCAATTAAAAACTGTTAAAATTAAGAAACAAGCAAATTTGCAGAACACATAATTAACATTAAAAAAAAACCTGTTACGTTTTTATATACTAATAGTTGAGTATCCCAGAAAGAAATTAACAAAACAATCTCGGGCCGGGCACAGTGGCTCACGCCTGTAATCCCAGCACTTTGGGAGTCTGAGGTGGGCAGATCACAAGGTCAAGAGATCGAGACCATCTTGGCTAACACGGAGAAACCCTGTCTCTACTAAAAATACAAAAAATTAGCTGCGCGTGGTGGCGGGAGGCTGAGGCAGGAGATTGGCGTGAACCCGGGAGGCAGAGCTTGCAGTGAGCCAAGATCACACCACTGCACTCCAGCCTGGGCGACAGAGTGAGAGTCCGTCTGAAAGAACACGATCTCATTTACAATAGCATCAAAAAATTAACTACTTACGAAGAAATTTAAATAAGACAGTAAAATTTGTATATACCAACAACTATAAAACACTGATGAAAGAATTTGAAGAAGATACATATCCCTATTACTCAGTGCGATCTATAGATGTAATGCAACCCCATCAAAATTTCAATGGCATTTTTCAAAGAAATGGAAAAAAGCAGTTCTAAAATTTTTATGCAACCTCAAATGACCCCAAACAGTCAAAACATCCTTCAGCAGAAAAAACAAAAGTGGAAGCATCACATTACCTTATTCCAAACTAAATTATAAAGCTATAGTAATCAAAATAGTATGCTACTGGCATAAAAACAGACATGTAGGCCAAGGGAACAGAATAGAGATCATAGAAAGAAATAAATCCATGACTTTACAATCAATTGATCTCTAGCATTGGTGCCAAGAGTACACAATGATAAAATTTAGTCTCTTTATTAAATGGTGTTGGGAAAACTGGATATCCACATGCAGAAGAATGAAACTGAACCCTTATCTCACTGTACATACAAAAATTGTCTCAAAATGGATGAAAGACTTCAACATAGGACCAATATTGTAAGACTCTTAGATATAAATATCGGAGAAAAGCTCCTTGATACTGGTATTGGTAATAAATTTTCAGATTTGATACCAAAAGTATAGACAACAAAAGCAAAAATAGACAAATGGGAGTAAATCAAACTAAAAGCTTCAGCACAGCAAAGGAGACAACCAATACAATGAAAAGATAACCTAAAGAATGGGAGAAAATATTTACAAACTATACATCTGATAAGAAGTTAATATCCAAATAAATTAGGAACTCAGACAATTCCAAAGGATCTTGTATTAGTCTGTTTTCATGATGATGATAAAGACATACCTGAGACTGGGTAATTTATAAAGAAAAAGGTTTGGCCAGACACGGTGGCTCACGCCTGTAATCCCAGCACTTTGGGAGGCCGAGGCAGGCGGATCATGAGGTCAGGAGATAGAGATCATCCTGGCTAACATGGTGAAATCCTGTCTCTATTAAAAATACAAAAAATTAGCCAGGTGTGGTGGTGGGTGCCTGTAGTCCCAGCTACTTGGGAGGCTGAGGCAGGAGAATGGCGTGAATCTTGGAGGTGGAGCTTGCAGTGAGCAGAGATCGCACCACTGCACTCCAGCCTGGGTGACAGAGCCAGACTCCATCTCCAAAAAAAAGAGGTTTAATGGATTCACAGTTCCACGTAGCTGGGTAGGCCTCACAATCACAGTGGAAGGTGAAAGGTATGTCTTACATGACAGCCAGCAAGACAGGATGAAAGCCAAGCAAAAGGGGAAACCTGTTATAAAGCAATCAGATCTCATGAGACTTATTTACTACCACGAGAACAGTATGGGAGAAACTGCCCCCATGATTCAATTGTCTTCCACCAGGTCCCTCCCACAACATGTGGGAATTATGGGAACTACAATTCAAGAGGAGATTTGGGTAGGGACACAGCCGAATCATATCATTCTGCCCCAGCTCCTCCCAAATTTCATGTCTTCACATTTGAAAACAAATTATGCCTCCCCAACAGTCCCTTAACATCTTAACTCATTTCAGTATTAACTCAAAAGTCCACAGTCCAAAGTCTTATCTGAGACAAGGCAAGTCCCTTCCAGCTATGAATTCATAAAGTTAAAAGCAAGTTAGTTACTTTCCAGATACAATGGAGGTACAGGGAGCAGGTAAACATACCTGTTCCAAATGGGTGAATTTGGCCAAAACAAAGGGGCTACAGGCCCCAAGTCCAAAATCCAGCAGGCCTGTCAAATCTTAAAGCTCCAAAATGAACTCCTTTGACTCCATGTCTCACATGCAGGTCACAGGTCACACTTATGCAAGAAGTGGGCTCCCATGGCCTTGGGCAGCTCCACCCCTGTGGCTTTGCAGGACATAGCCCCCCTCTTGGTTGCTTTCATGGACTGGCATTGTCTGTAGCCTTCCTGTGTGCATGATCAAGCTTTTGGTGGCTGTACCATTCTGGGGTCCGGAGGACAGTGGCCTTCTTCTCACAGCTCCAGTAGGCAGTACCTCAGTGGGGACTCTGTGTGGGGGCTTCAACCCCATATTTCCCTTCTGCACTGTCCTAGCAGAGGTTTTCCATTAGGGCACCACCCCTGCAGCAAAATTCTTTCTGGACATCTAGGAGTTTCCATACATCCTCTGAAATCTAGGCAGAGATTCCCAAACCTCAATTCTTCTGTGCACCCACAGGCTCAACACCATGTGAAACTGCCAAGGTTTGGGGCTTGCACCACCTGAATCCACAGCCCAAGCTGTACCTTGGACCCTTTTAGCCATGGCTAGAGTAGCTGGGATGCAGGGCATCAAGTCACTAGGTGGCAAACAGCAGGGGGCCCCTGAATCCAGCCCAGGAAACCATTTTTTCCTTTTAGGCCTCTTGGCCTGTAATGGGAGGGACTGCTGCAAAGGTCTCTGACATGTCCTGGAGATATTTTCCCCATTGTCTTGGTGATGAACATTTGGGTCCTTGTTGCTTATGCAAATTTCTGCAGCTGGCTTGAATTTCTCCTCAGAAAATTGGCTTTTCTTTTCTATCACATCGTTTGGCTGCAAATTTTCCAAAGTTTTATGCTGTTTCCTTTTAAAACTGAGTGCTTTTAACAGCACCCAAGTCACATCTTGAATGCTTTGCTGCTTAGAAATTTATTCTGCCAGCTACCCTAAATCATCTCCCTCAAGTTCAAAGTTCCACACATCTCCAGGGCAGGGGCAAAATGCTGCCAGTCTCTTTGCTAAAACATAGCAAGATTTTCCTTGACTCCAGTTCCCAACAAGTTCCTCATCACTATCTGAGACAACCTCAGCCTGAATTTCATTGTCCATATCATTATTAGCATTTTGGTCAAAGCTAGTCAACAAATCTCTAGGGAGTTCCAAACTTTTTCACATTTTTCTGTCTTTTTCTGAGCCCTCCAAACTGTTCCAACCTCTGCCTGTTACCCAGTTCCGAAGTTGGTTCCACATTTTTGGATAACTTTACAGCAGCACCCCACTCTACCAGTACCAATTTACTGTATTCATCTGTTTGCATGCTGCTGATAAAGGCATACCAAAGACTGTGTGATTTATAAAGAAAAAGACGTTTAATGGACTCACAGTTCCATGAGGCTGGGGAGGCCTTACTTATGGTGGGAGACTAAAGGCACATATTACACAGCAGCAGGCAAGACAGAATGAAAGCCAAGTGAAAAAGGAAATCCCTTATAAAACAATCGGATCTTGTGAGGCTTATTTACTACCACAAAAACAGTATGGGGAAAACTGCTCCCATGATTCAACTATCTCCTACTGGGTCCCTCCCATAACACATGGGAATTATGGGAGCTACAATTCAACATGCGATTTGGGTGGGGATGCAGCCAAAGCATATCAGACCTGAAGAGATACATTTCTAAAGGACATACGATTGACAATAGGTATATATTAAGAAAAAGATGTTTGCCGTCACTAATCATCAGGAAAATGCACAATGAGATATCACCTCACATCTATTAGGATGGCTTTTATAACAGTAAAAAGGTAACAAATGTTGCTGAGGATATTGAGAAACAAAAACCCTTGTGCTTAGTTGATAGTTGATGGGAATGTAAATTGGTACAGCCATTACAGACAACAGT
Source organism: Homo sapiens (assembly GCF_000001405.40). Taxonomy (NCBI): domain Eukaryota; kingdom Metazoa; phylum Chordata; class Mammalia; order Primates; family Hominidae; genus Homo; species Homo sapiens. The sequence continues at coordinate 42,171,926 of NC_000009.12, read as the reverse complement.
ATGGAGTTTCCTCAAAAAATTAAAAATGGAACTCCCATATAATCCAGCAATCCCACATCTGGGTATATATCCAAAGTAAAGAAAATCACTATCTCAGACAGATATATATACTTACAGGTTTATTACAGTGTTATTTACACAGCCAAGGTATGGAAACTACCTGTGTCCATTGACAGATGAATGGATGTTTTAAATGTATTACACACACACACACACACACACACACACACACATATGTAATGGAATATCATTTAGCCTTTAAAAATGAGGTAATACTGCCATTTGTAACAAGATGGATAAACCTGGAGTTTATTATGGTAAGTAAAATAAGCCAGGAACAGATGCAAAAAAATCCTGCATGATTTCACTTATATGCATACTAAGAAAATGTCAAACTCATGGTAACAGAGTAAAATAGTGCTTACTAGGGCCTGGGAGTTGGGGGAAAAGAAAAAATATTTGTCAGAAAGTACAAACTTTCAGTTATAAGATGAATAAGTTCTGCAGATCTAATGTACAGCATAGTGACTAAAGTCAATAATAATGTATACTTGAAATTTGCTGAAAGAGTAGATCTCAAGTCTTCTCCACCACACAAACACAAAAAGGTAACCAGGTGAGGTGATGAATATGTTAGCTTGATTGTGGTAATCATCACTTCACAATGTATATGTATATCAAAATATCACACTGCATACCTTAACTATATACAATTTTTCTTTGTTAATCAATAAAACTGGCAAAAATATCTTTTACATGTTGCCTTGACTCCATTTCTTATTTTGTCAAAATAGATAGTCCTCACTGTTTGCATAAGTTTAGAAACTTGTGCTATATCCAGAAGTCAGGAGTGCGGTAGGGTGAACTAAGTTACTGATTCTTTAGGAACCTTAGGGTGTGAGGTGGGACTGGAGTTCAAGGTCTAGGAGCTCAGTCTGGTCTTGAGCAGCTTCTTTTTTGTTTTGTTTTGTTTTGTTTTGTTTTGAGACTGGGTCTCACATTCTTGCCCAGGCTGGAGTGCAGTGGCAAAATCTGGGCTCTCTGCAACCTCCGCCTCCTGGGCTCAAGCAATCCTCTCACCTCAGCCTCCCATGTAACGGGAACCACAGGCATGTGCCACTAGGGCTAGCGAATTTTTTTGTATTTTTGGTAGAGATGGGGTTTCCCTTGCTGCCCAGGCTGGTCCTGAACTCCTGAGCTCAGGTGATCCACCCACCTTGGCCTCCCATAGTGCTGGGATTACAGGTATGAGCCACCATGCCTGGCCATGAGCAGCCTCTTCTGATATCCCTAGAGTGTTCTGTACACATTTTCTTTGTCTGAATGCGCCTTCCTTTCTCTCTATTGGTCTACAGATTTTTTCCTTCTTTAGGATATTATTAACTTGAATTCAAATTTTTATCAAAAATTGGACCTAGCTCTTTTTATTCATATTTTCCTGCTATATTTTTTACACTAATTTATTTTCGATAGGTTTTATTGAGTGTTTTTTTGACACTTAAAAATTTTACCTGACAATCTTAATCTTTGATTTATGTAATTATTGTTCCATTATGACTTATTTCTGTCATCTCATTTTATGATTTTTCATACTTTCTTTACTGTTTATTTTTTCCTATTTGTACCTTTCACTCTATAGATCAAATCTTTTTCTATTTGTTTGAAATCTGGAAATTTTTAACATTGTAATGGTGGTTATATCATTATTTATGTTAATTTTCTCAATTTCTGATATGTGTCAAAATTAATATCATCTCAGCAAACCAGATAAGTGCTCTAGCCTCCTCTGGCCACCTCTGGTTTGCTTTCTCTGTTACAACAGCACTTTGTCTAAGGGGATGCTTTCTGAAGTTTACTCGGGGTTTGTTTTCAATATGTTATGTTTTCATGTATTTTTTAGGGTATGATAAACACCACTACCATTGATTCTGGAACCCTCAATTCTAACACCACGGTGTATTTCTCTTCTTAGTGGAGTATGTCCTCTAAGCATTTTCAAAGGGATTTATTTGAAATAAAACTTTTCAGGCCTTACTTTTTAATGTCTTTTTCTGGGCTTTCATATTTAAAAGATTGTGGCTGCAAATAATTCAAGGATTAAAATTGGTTTCCTTTTAATCCTTGAAAAATATTACTTCATTTTATTCTTGTCTCCAGCATTGCCGTTGGAAAGGCTGACGCCAATCAAAACCAATTTTTCCCTAAAGGATGATCTGTCTTCTCATCATTTTGACAGGATGTAACAAAACAAAGGAGTCTTCAATGTTCTGAGTATAAATCATTTTGCAATTATAAACTTAACTTAAATATTAATGCAATACAAAAAGAATTAAAACCTTCTTGAGACATGCAAGTGCACAGGAAAATTAAGTATCATGCACTCATTCAGGAAGAAAAGGTGCAAAAGAAATTGAATGAAAGAGATGGTCGTTAGATGCAAGTGTGGTTGAATGTAGGGATGCGATGCTGACACGTGGCAGCAGGCCTGGCAAGCTGTCTGTCCCAATTCAACGACTTCAGAAAGAGAAGAATATTAACTAGGCTATCTTGGTGATGTGCTGAAAAAAGTGCTGTGTTTCCTTTTTAATCATTCAAAACAAAGGTAGTAAAATTCCCGGGAAATAAGAAATAATGCATCATAAATGTATAAAAGTTGAGGAAAATACTATATTTTTATGAATTTAAAATGCCATCTCATTTAGATTGTTATGTCTTTTCAGAAGTGCTTTAAAATTGATGGCATATAGTAAAAAATGGCATAAATTCCAACAATTAATGGAAAAACATTAATCCATCTTCTTGAGTCTTGGAACCAGGATTCTTTTGGGAGGCTTCGGTGTATCTGTGTATCCTTTCATTGCCTTCAGACAAATCAAATCACGCCACCTGCGACTGTGGTTTGAAAAAAAAAGAAAACATAATAATGATGCTGTCAATTCACTTGAGATTCCATGATCAAAATTAACCTACGAACAAAGCACAGACTTTATTATAATTACAAAATAGGATGTAATTTACATAAAATGTGAAAATATAAGCATAGAACGAAATTTGATACAAGTCGAAAGCTATGACAGGGACTGTTGGAGGGGAGGGAAGTTGTACACTAATCTCCACATCCTACTGAGCCAATCAGTGGTGTTCAAATTGGATGGACCATATATTATCTAAACAGCATATTATTTAAGCAAAGAATTAAGCACTGTAAGTATATTATTTAGAGAAAGCAAATTTTTAAAAAATCCCATAAAATTATATATTAAAGACTAAATTGGAAATATAGTTTTAGAAGAAGAAAGTAGGGTAAATGAGCTATGTTCTCTACCGTTCATAAAAAGTCAAGGGATATTACTTAAAATTGTTAAAACAAAATTAGGTGATTGTATAATATTATTTACAGTTCAAGAGAATAGCATATAGTAAAAAAAGAAAATGATAAACCTTGCCTAACTCTGAAAAACAGGACCAAGGTCTGTGGAAGGAAAAAAAAATTTTCTGGTTTTCACTGGTTTTTTGCCCATGAAACTGTTTGAATGATTTTCAATGCACGTGTGTTGGTTTAATTTTAAAATGTTCTTACTTACAGATCCCCTTGAATTACGTGTAAAATTAGGTTTCCTTTAGTCAATGGTGTATGAAAAGTAATCAACTCATCTAATTGAAGTTAGACATTAATAAATAATAAATTGGGGAGAACATAAATATACTCATTAAAAACAACCAGAACATAGCACTTGGCTCTATGTTCTGCTTATCTAGGAAGTGGAATTCTTAAAATTAAAACAAAAAAATAAGGAGCTTCACATTTTCTTTTTCTTCTTTTTTTTTTTTTTTTTTTTTTTTTTTTTTTTTTTGAGATAGAGTCTTGCTCTGTTGCCCAGGCTGGAGTGCAGTGGCACGATCTTGGCTCACTGCAACCTTCACCTCCTGGGTTCAAGCGATTCTCCTGCCTCAGCCTCCCGAGTAGCTGGGACTACATGTGCGCATCACCACGCCCAGCTAATTTTTGTATTTTTAGTAGAGACGGGGTTTCACCAGATTGGACAGGATGGTCTCGATCTCTTGACCTTGTGATCCACCTGCCTCGGCCTCCCAACGAGCTGGGATTACAGGCATGAGCCACTGCACTTGGTCGGAGTTTCACATTTTCTAAAAAATGTTAGAAATAAAAATGCAAGTGTTTCACCTAGATAAAGCTCTCATAATCACTGGTAGACTAAAGTCAATTTAGATTACCATTTATATTTTCAAATTTATAATATGACCAATATTGCCATGAAAATGTTCAGGCACAGAATGGTTTAAAGTAGCTGTCTTATTATTTCTCAATATTCTCTTTTCTTCTATGATTGGCATCACCAATCATGGTTGGAGCATCTTTTTTTTATTTTATTTTATTTATTTATTTTGAGATGGAGGCTCACTGTGTTGCCCAGGCTGGAGTGCAGTGGCGTGATCTCGGCTGACTGCAAGCTCCACCTCCCAGGTTCTAACCATTCTCCTGCCTCAGCCTCCCGAGTAGCTGGCACTACATGTGCACGCCACCATTCCCAGCTAATTTTTTGTATTTTTTAGTAGAGACAGAATTTCACCGTGTTAGCCAGGATAGTCTCAATCTCCTGACTTCGTGATCTGCCCGCCTCAGTCTCCAAAAGTGCTGGGATTACAGGCTTGAGCCACCGCACCCAGCCATGGTTGGAGCATCTTACCAAAGAACTATACTTGTAGTTTTTGAGTGGAAACAAGGGAGAAATTTTATTCATGCCTTGAACTTATTAATAATGCGTAACTAGATTCTGATGGCCGTTATCAATAGAACTGTCATCAGATTCAAAGAGCACTGTTTGTCTCCTCTAATATGGAGAAATGCCACAAATAAGTGGGAAATAATTTAATGACTGTAGTTCATTTTTAATCATATAGCTGAGTGATATTTTAAGTCTGACAAGAATAGATATTTGAACAAAAATAGCCAATTCTCTGTTACATAATTTAATACATTTGTGTTAAGAGGTTTAGACAATAAAGTTAATTTTGAAATGCATTATAATAACTGAGTAATTAGCAATCATTAAGTTCATTTTTAAATAAGTGTTTAGATAACTAATTAGCAATCATTAAGTTCATTTTTAAATAACTGTTTAGTCCACAAAAAATAAAAAATGTATTTTAGAAAGGGAGGGCATTCCAAAATCTGTCTCAGGAGCATTCAATCTCAAATATATTTTAATGAAGCAGAAATGTAAATACATGTTTAGATAATTTAGGTTAAAAAAGGTAAATTTTGGTTGCCTGCTTAACTTTTATGAAACAGATATTTTTCATTCAAGTCCAGCATATATTTTGCTATGACTTTCACATCCTTTCCTCAGAGACTATTTACCTAAACATTAGGGTACCAAAGGAACTAGGAAACAAAAACTTGTTAGAGAGAGAAATTTTAAGTGAGGCGCACATTCTGGTGACATTAATTTGTTTTTGACATTTTATTAATATTTTGAGAACACTAAGAAAATAAAATCCAAAGGGGCAAGCAGGTATCATTGTCTCAGCGTGGGCCCTCTTTTGTCATCCTCTGTAAGATGGCAGTCATCAAAGAGCGTGACCCAAGAAGAAAGTAAAACAGTGGAACAAATGAGCATTTCTCTAAATACAAACAGTAGAGTCCCTGAGAAAGAATCCTTTAAGGCCTTAGATTTCTTTAAACATTTTTAGATAAATAGTCTGGCCTATGCAGAACAAAATGAAATGGTGATAATGAACAGGATAGTGAAGTTTTGTACTAACTGACATAAACGACGAGTTGATTAATGCTTAGGATAGTGTGAAAGAAGAATTGAAAGCAAAATGCAAATCAAAAGAAGAAATATCCAGACAGACCCTTTCCTAAAACATGTATCATAAAATATTTAAAAGCATCTGCTTTAATGCATGGGCTGAGTCAAAGTAAGGCAAATTTTCAGATATCTACAAGAGCAAAAAAAGTTTGAATCCAGAGGTGTGAGTGCCTCATCTGGCATTTGCCCTGGGGTGTCTCCCAGGAACTATTGGCCCAGAACCATGAGCACCTAATTCAGGAAACAGAGACTGATGCCCATGCAGGGAGGAGTATAGGCTAAAATGCCTTCTGCATAAATCTAGGATTTCTAAAGAGAAGCATGTTAAGTGGGGCTAGGAAAATCCCACTCCCATAAGAAGAAAGTGAAAAATCTATGCTTGTCTTGGTTTCAATAGGGTAGACAAGAAAAAAGAAAAAAAAATGGTAATTTCTAAATATAAGTCAATAGACATATTGGTTTGGATTTGAATTCACACTATCTATGGGCCTGAGAAATACCAGGATGGAAATTAGCCTCTGGCAGTGAGAGGTTAGGCCAGCTGCACTTCCTGGGTCGAGTGCGGACTTGGGGAACTTTCCTGTCCTACAAGGAATTTGTAAAATGCACCAATCAGCCTCTGTAAAACACACCAATCAGCAGGATTCTAAAAGTAGTCAATAGTGGAGAGGATTGAAAAAAGGGCACTCTGATAGGACAGAAACGCAACGTGGGCGGGAAGACATAAGGGGATAAAAGCTGGCCACCTGCAACCAGCAGCAGCAACCAGGTGGGGTCACCTTCCAGGGTGTGGAAGTTTTGTTCTTTCGCTCTCAGCAATAAACCTTCCTAGCCTCACTTTTGGTTCCGTGTCATCTTTAAGAACTGTAACACTCACCAGGAAGGTCCACAGCTGCATTCTTGAAGTCAGGGAGACCACGAACCCACCGGAAGGAACCAACTCTGGACACAGTCCTGCAAACTAGTTAATCTGAGTACAATCATAAAGAGAAATATATTTTGCACTAATACTGGGAAACAGATTTTGTAACACAGCTTTCATTGTTGTTAAGTGAAGATAGTATATTTTACAATAAGCAACACTGGGACCACTGATCTCCATAAGGGAAAAAAATGAAATTGAAACTTAATCCCGGAGAACAAATATAAAAATATATTTTAACGGATAAAGATAGCTTCTCAACATTTTTAGAAAAAATCCTGGGAAGAATTATTTTTTCTTTTTTGAGATGGAGTCACTCTGTTGCCCAGGCTGGAGTGCAGTGGCGCGGTCTCGGCTCACTGCAAGCTCCACCTCCTCTCCCATGTTCATGCCATTCTCCTGCTTGAGCCTCCGGAGTAGCTGGGACTACAGGCGCCCGCCACCCCGCCTGGACTAATTTTTTGTATTTTTAGTAGAGACAGGGTTTCACCGTGGTAGCCAGGATGGTCTCGATCTCCTGACCTTGTGATCTGCCCACCTCGGCCTCCCAAAGTGCTGAGATTACAGGCGTGAGCCACCGCGCCCGGCCATATCTTTTATCTTTACATGGGGAAGAAGAACAAACTGAAAGAGGAAAAATTGATTTGATAACACAAAAATTTAATACTTCTGTTTATTAAAGGATACTGCAAAGTGAAAAAAAATACCCAAAACTTGGCAGAGCTATTTGCAACACATCTTACCTAGAAAGGTCTGGTATCCAGAATATGCCTCCTATAAATAAGTGAAAAATAACATGTCCGTTGAGAAGTTAGCACAAATAGCCCATAAGCATGTAAAAAGTGCTCAACCTCATAATAATCATGAAAATGAAAATTAACAATTAGATATCCTTTCACACATATTGACAATTTTTTTTTGAAGTTCCGAAACGTGTGGTATTGGCAAGGATAAAGAACCATGGAAGTATTCATCCCACACGCTAAAGTAGGACAGCCATTTGGAAAACAGACAGATGCTGGCTCATACAGCTGATCATAATGTACCCTATGACCCAGTGACTTCACTACAACCTAGTGCAACCTAGTCAGCCTGTTACAGGCCCCAGAAAAATTCTTGCGTTTGTTTACCTAGAGATATATGAGAATGTTCCCAATTTTAAAAACCTGGAAACAATCTAGTTATCTCTCAATATGGGTAGATAGTGGACTGGGTAATTAAATGATCATATATTCCAATAATAGAGTACCTCGCAGCACTAAGAGTAAATGAACTGCAGCTATTCACATTCTCAAATACAGCACTGCAATGAGATACTACTGCATGCGTATTAGAATGGCAAAAATCCAGAACCCTGACAACACCAAATGCTGATGAGGATGTGAAGCAACAGGAGCTCTCATTCAGTGCTGATAGAAATACAAAATGGAGAACAGTTTTGTGGCTTCTTAGAAAACTAAATCTACTCTTATTATACGACCCAGCAATCTTGTTTCTTGGTATATATCCAAAGGAGTTGAAAACTTATGTCCACACAGAAACCTGCACACAGATGTTTATGGAAGCTTTATTTATAATTGCAAAAACTTGGAGACAAGCAAGATTTCCTTCAGTAGGTGAATTAACAAACTGTGGTACATCCAGACAATTGAATATCATTCAATGATAAAATAAATGAGCTGTTGGCCGGGTGCGATGGCTCACGCTTGTAATCCCAGCACTTTGGGAGGCCGAGGCAGGCAGATCACGAGGTCAGCACATAGAGACCATCCTGGCTACCACGGTGAAACCCCGTCGCTACTAAAAATACAAAAACTTAGCCAGGTGCAGTGGCAGGGGCCTGTAGTCCCAGCTACACGGGAGGCTGAGGCAGGAGAATGGCGTGAACCCGGGAGGTGGAGCTTGGCTTGCAGTGAGCGGAGATCACGCCACTGCCCTCCAGCCTGGGCGACAGAGCAAGACTCCCTCTAAAAAAAAAATAAAAAAATAAAATAAATAAAATAAAAAATAAAAAGAGCTGTCAAGCCACGAAAAGACACAGAGGACGCTTATATGCATATTACAAAGTGAAAGAAGCCAATCTAAAACGGCTACATACTGTCACTTCCAACTATATGACCTTTCTGGAAAAGGTAAAACTATAGAGATAGAAAAAAAAAAATCAGTGGTTTCCAGGAGTTAGGAGGAAGAGAGGAATGAATAACTAGAGCACAGAGGATGCGTAGGGCCCTGAAAGTACATGTATGATATTTTAATAGTGAATACTTGTCATTGTAAATTTGTCCAAGCCCGAGTGTGAACCTTAATGCAAACTATAAGATGTATCATGTAGGTTCTTTAATTGTAACAAATGCACCACTCTGGTGGGGGATGTTTATTATGGGGGAGGCTATGCATGTGTGGGGGACAGGGAGTATATGGGAAATCTATACCTGCTGCTCAGTTTTGCTGTGAACTTTGAACTGCTCTTAAAAATAATGTGTGTATGTGTATATATATATACCTTCTGCTCAGTTTTGCTGTGAACTTTAAACTGCTCTAAAAAAATAATGTGTGTGTACATGTATATATATATATATGCATACACATGTTTGTGTGTATGCATATCTAATCACAAGAAACAATACATAGTTGGCCAGGCACGGTGGCTCACGCCCGTAATCCCAGCACTTTGGGAGGCCGAGGTGGGTAGATCACGAGGTCAGGAGATTGAGACCATCCTGGCTAACAGGGTGAAACCCCGTCTCTACTAAAAATACAAAAAATTAGCCAGGCATGGTGGCAGGCGCCTGTAGTCCCAGCTACTCCGGAGGCTGAGGCAGAAGAATGGCGTGAACCTGGGAGATGGAGCTTTCAGTGAGCTGAGATCTCGCCACTGCACTCCAGCCTGGGTGGCAGAGCGAGACTCTGTCTCAACAAAGAAAAAAAAAACTTGTAAACAAATGATGATGAAAATAAGAAACTGAATACAATTACGAACAATGAATTTAATCATTAGTTTCTTCTGCATTATACTATATGTGAATTTGTTCTAGAAAATACAACATAAAAGGAAATAAGTAAAAACCAAATGTTGAGCATTACTAAGGTAAAAATGTTGAATGGAATACTTTATTATTTATTTATGTATTTATGTATTTATTTGTTTGTTTATTGAGACATGGTTTTACCCTGTTGCCCAGGCTGGAGTGCAGTGGCATGACCATGGCTCACTACAGTCTTGAACTTTCATGCTCAAGCTATCCTCTGACCTTAGCCTCCTGAGTAGCTGGAACTACAGGTGAGTGCCACCATGCCTGGCTAATTAAAAATAATTTTTTTTTTTTTTGTAGAAACAGGCTCTCACTATATAGCCAGGGCTGGTCTCAAACTCCTGGGCTTAAGGGAGACTCCTATCTTCATCTCCCAAATTACTGGGATTATAGATGTGAGTCATCAGGTGTCGCCTGAATGATATATTTTAATGATGTACCTAGCACATGAGTTTCAAAGTTTTCACTCTCCAAGAATTTTCATAAGGTCAGTTTAATTATTAATAGCATGTTTTACAGTTATAGAATTAATGCATAAATACAGTAAAACAAAACAAAATGTGAAACTATAGAATTGTATGAAATAAAAAATAAGAATATTTCTTCTGTCTCTATACATTTTCCATCTTTACCATGTTCAACATATCTTTATTACTATTATTATAAAAAATTTAAGAATATACAAAAGGAAATAAATAGCATAATGAATGAATAGTATAAGTAACTCGTTGACCTAATACCCAGCTTCAGTTTTAGACAGTCCTGATTCCTCTGATCCCACTTCCCTGACATAGATTAATTGAAGAGCATTTCTGGCATCCTATCATTTCATCCATGAATATTTTAGTATCCACCTCCAAAGGGTAAGGATCCCCTTTTTAAAATAATACATCTAAAAAATTAGCCAGAATTACTTACTTTTAACCAAAATCCAGTCGCTGTTCAAATTTCCCTGATTGTCTTACTTTTTTTTTTTTTTTTTTTTTTTGAGATAGAGTCTTGCCCTGTCACCCAGGCTGGAATGCAGTGGCAAGATCTCGGCTCACTGCAACCTCCGCCTCCTGGGTTCAAGCAATTCTTCTGCCTCAGCTTCCCAATTAGCTGGGATTACAGGTGCCCACCACCATGCCTGGTTAATTTTTTGTATTTTTAGTAGAGACGGGGTTTCACCATATTGGCATGTTGGTCAGGCTTGTCGGCCAGGATTGATCTCCTAACCTCAAGTGATCCACCCACCTTGGCCTCCCAAAGTGTTGGGATTACAGGTGTGAGCCACGCTGCCTGGCCAGTCTTACATATTTTTTCACACCATTTTTCTTTTTTTTAAAAGAGCAGAATCCTTGTACGGATATTACGATGGATTGCAGAGTCTCTAAAGCATTCTTCATTCTTATTCTTCCCCTTCCATCTTTTTTTTTCCATGCAATTCTTTAAAGAAACTAGGACAGAGTCCACAGTGTAGATTTTTATGATTGTGTCATCACTGTGGTGTCATTTAACATGCTACTCTGACCTCAGTATTATCTGTGAAACCCACATCTCAGGGGTGTTGGGCAGATTTGTTTGCTTCTTGTTGTGTTCCCAACACTCAGACTCAGGACCTGGTAACAATCCCCTATAGCAGTTCATAACTATTTGCTTAATTTTGACTGAACACCAGAGGGCAGTGCAGGTGGACACCAAGAGCATTGCTGTCAACACACAGAGGCCTGTGGGCACAGGGGTCCTGCACTGCGAGGCCAAAGCTCCCTTCTCTGCTCCTAAGCAATCCATTTCCCTCCTCTGAAGGACAGCCACATACTCTAGGTCCTAACCTCTGGAGTGCACTAATGACCAAGAGGTGCATGAGCACCAAATGTGAGAGTACAGGAGTCTGGAAACCCAGCACAGGAGTCTTCTCAGAACCTTAGGACATTCCTACTGTTGTGAGGGTAGGAGAAGAATGCCTAGCTAAGGAAACAAGTGTTTAGTGTCCAATGTGAGTAAGTGCCATGGGGAAGAATAAAGCAGGGAAGGGCAAGAAGATGCCCAGGGTGGACAAAGAAGCTCTCACTGATAAAGAGACATTAGAACACGCATCTGAAGGTGGCGAGATAGTCAGCCTTTCAGATATCTGGAGCAAGCTTGTTGCACTAAGAGGAAAAAGCAGGTGCAAAGGCCCTGGGGCAGGAACATGCTAGTTTTTTTTGAGGGGGGCAGCCAGCTGTTGTAACTGGAACAGAGAGAGAAGGGGGAAGATGGTAGTGAATGAAATCTGAAAAGGAACAGATTATGTACGATTTTTAGGCCATTATAAGGACTTTGGCTTTTACTCCTGTGAATCAGAAAGCTAAGTGACTGGGGTGGGGTAGTGCTTTACTAAGAGGAGTGGCGCTCTCTGATAATTTTTAAAGGATCACTCTGGTTGCTGAGTTACAAATACATAGAATGTGTCAGCTGGGAGATCAATGGGGAGGTGATTGCAATCATCTGGGGTGGCTGCTACAATCTATGTTAGAAACTTGCATGTTTCATGCCTTTTATTCTAGGCAAGTTCATCAACATTTGCTTTTCAGATACTTAATGAATCTTTCAGTCTATTTAGAGAATAAGGCATGTGTTGAAATGATCAGTACACAGTATTAGAAAATGGAAAGCCATGAGTATAATAACAGAGACGCCTTTAGGGGCAAAGTGAGGTCAGGAGAGGAAGGGACTGCAGCCAGCTTGGCAGGTGAGCATGGCATAGGACAGGCCTTCCTTGAGATGGTCACAAATACAGTTTTATCAGTTTTCCTTGTGATGGTCACAAATACAGTCTTATCAGTTTTCACAAATAAAACCTTACAAATGTTCACTAATAAAATGCTACAACATATCGTATACCATATGCCAATTTAAGATAGGTTTTACTCCAATGAGTTAGGTTATCTGTAAATAACACATGGTCAAATCCCATATGTCTGTGTAGCAAATACTTTCTCAGTGTCCTGTTGTTTTTAATCCAGCATGTTCCACCAGCCTGGCCTAGGCTAGGGCTGGCACCTAGATAGTCATTAGGGTAAGTGTGTGTTTGTTTTGGGGTGTGTGTGTGTGTGTCTGTGTGTGTAAGACTCATTGGCTCTACTCTCAGTCCCCTCTATCAAAATTTCTGGAGGTGGGAATCAAGTGTGATACTGATTTGGAAACCACAAATTCAGTTCACAGTCTTCTAGTCCAGTCTGTAACAGCTGCCTTCATGACAAACTGAATGTTGAAAGCTTTGGAAGGTGCCGGTAAATAAAAATAGAGGTGGAGGGAAAGCCATTTCAGACAAAGGGGATAGAGCACTAAAAAACATAAGAGTCAGACCGGATTGGTTTTGCAGTGACTTCTGATGGCCTTTGCAAGTGTTCCATAACTGGATTTGCCTGGAATGTGGGGTTCAGGGTCCTTGGAAGAGAGTAGGTAGAAATAAGGTTTTGGAGCGTGTGAAATTAGATTGTGGAGGGCCTCACATGTTGAGCAAAGAACACTAAAGTTTATTTTCTAGGTAATAGGGAGCCAATCAAAATTTTTAAAATGAATGATGACACCACAGAACTACGGTTCAAGAACCCCACACATCTGACAGTCGTGTGTAATAATAACTGTTGTGTTAAGAGTCCAGAGATGAGAAAGCTTTCTGCATTCATTCAGGAGAGAGGGGGTTGGGTGCTTAAATAGGAATAGGCCACTGGGATGTGTAGGTTGGAATGAATGTGAGAGACAGAAGATGTGAACAGCAGAAGAGAAAGGACAAGGTCCAATGTGGCACTGGGGTTTTAAATACAGGAAATTGGGAGGATGAACCAGCAGCCTTAGCAAGATACAGAAGAAAAGAGATTTAGGAAAAACGTAGTATGGGTCAGCCAGATTTGGGGATGCTGATGCCATAACCAACTATAACCAATGGAAGATGATTTAACACAGTTGTAAGTATCTTGAAGCCAATGGTCTGTTTAGATGGGAAACAGTCTTTCATTTTCAAATTTAAAACTTTATTCTTAAAATGTGTACATTTAATCCAGAATAATCTATGGATATGTACTGAATAAATGTGTTCATTTTTAAATTTATATTTGATTTGTAGTGTCCCATTTCACTATAGTTTTCTGAAGAAATCTCAGTTCTTTATGCAAACTGTATCATAATAGTCAAGAATTTAAGATTACTTTCGTGTTCAAGGTCCTATCTCCAATTATCCTCTTGTTTAACATGATTGCCTTTTGACCTACTTTCCATCTTAACATTAACATTATATTTTTAAATTATCCTGAATCAAATTTCGATTTAAGAAACTCCAAAAATAACAAAAATTGGAAACAGCCTATAACATTTTAGGAAATCAAGAAATATATTTAATTGTAACACCCAGTTTCATACTCCACAAGAGAAAAATAAAGCAAAGCCTGATCAAGACGTGCCTTTAACACAACTCAATCACCTTTGAGCCTTCATTCTTTACCAGTCTCTCTAGTCTCTGTGCCTATTTTCTACTCTCCCTGAGCAGAAATTTAAGTGTCATATTTTGCCAAGGCCTCCATTACATGAGTAATGAGTGCTTACTTATATTGATATCCCCTGATTTTCTATTGGTGAAGTTTCCAGGAACATTCATTCTTTTGGGAGGAGTAGAGACTCACGTAAAGGTCATGTTATGTCTCTTCATCTTCCATCCTTCAGAGACTACTGGTGGCCAGAACACCTATGTGGGAGAGTGGGTATGGGAAGTGGGGTGTGTGGATAAAGAAACTCTGTTCGGGAGAGGCTCCCAGGGATCTGTGAGTCAGAGGAGTCACCTATCTTTAGGGTCGCACAAATCTAGCACCTTCTATGAAAACTGCATTCACCCAGAATGTGAAAAGAAAAAAGGGATGGCTGAGAACTTTTAAAATTCAGCAACAGACACCTGCCCACAAATCAAAGAAGCTCGGAGAACACCAGATCCTACTTTCCTACTGTCATAAATTAGGTAGTTTTTTTTTTAAATAAAAAGATAGGGCCGGGCGCGGTGGCTCACGCCTGTAATCCCAGCACTTTGGGAGGCCGAAGCAGGTGGATCACAAGGTCAGGAGATTGAGACCATCCTGGCTAACACGGTGAAACCCTGTCTCTACTAAAAATACAAAAAAATTAGCCGGGCGTGGCGGCGGGCACCTGTAGTCCCAGCTGCTGGGGAGGCTGAGGCAAGAGAATGGCGTGAACCCGGGAGGCGGAGCTTGCAGTGAGCCGAGATAGCGCCACTGCACTCCAGCCTGGGTGACAGAGCGAGATTCTGTCTCAAAAAAAAAAAAAAAAAAAAGATAGAAAATAACATTAAACTTGAAGGACGCTTTAGGCCAAATGGACCTAATAGACACATACAGAAACTTCACCCAAAAGCAGCAGAATACACATTCTTCTCAGGGACACATAGAACATTCTGCAGGATAGACAACAGGTTAGACCACAAGACGAATCTTTGCAAATTTAATATTAGAATCATATCAAGTACCTTTTCAGACAACAATGATATGACACTAGAAACCAACAATAGAAGGAATTCCAGAAAATGTACGAATACGTGGAAACTAAGCAACATGGTGGTGAACCACCAATAGGTCAATGAAGAAATGAAAATTAAAAGAATTAAGCAACATGCTCTTGAACAACCAATAGGTCAATGAAGAAATTAAACAAGAAATGTAAAAACATCTTGAGAAAAACAAAAATGGAAACACAACATACCGAAACTTATGAGATACAGCAAAAGCATTTCTAAGAGGAAAGTTTATAGCAATAAACATCAACAGCAAAAAGAAGAAAGATCTCAAATAAACAACTTAGTATTACGCCTCAAGGAAATAGAAAAAGGATATCAAATTCTTTCAATGTTAGCAGAAGGAAATAAAATAATAAAGATCAGAGCAAAAATAAGTGAAATGAAAACTAGAAAATGACACAAAAGATGAACAAAACTAAGTTTCTTAAAAATATAAAACCAATAATCTTTTAGCTAGACTAAGAAAAAAGGAGAGAAGACTCAAATAAATAAAATTAGAAATGAAAAAGGAGACATTATAACTGATACCACAAAAATACAAAGGATCATAAGAGACTGTTACAATTACATGCCTTTACAAAAATCATTTTTTCATTGGCAACAACATTGGAAAATATTACGCTAAAAGAAATAAGCGAAGCCAAAAAAGACAAAAACTGCATGTTCTCACTTATATGTGGAATCTAAAACAATCAAACTGTAAGAAGCAGAGAGCAGAATGGTCATTAGCAGAGGCTGGAGGTGTGGGGTGGAACGGATATTGGTCAAAAGGTACAAAGCCTCATTTATACAAAAGGAATAATAAGGTTTTTTTTCTTTGAGATATATCGCAAAACTTGGTGAAAATAGTACATAGTAAAGAATTCTACATTTTAAAAATCACTAAGACAGTAAATTTCAAATGCATTCCCCATTAAAAATGACAAGTATTTGAGGTGGTGGATGTTAATTAGCTTGATATAATTATTCCAAATTGTATTCATAAATTATATCATCATTTTGTACTCCATAAATATACACAACTATGATTTGTCAATTTACAATTTAAAAATAAAAATTAAAGCACAAAACAAGAAAACACAATACATGTGTGTGTACCTATGCATGTGTGTGTCCATAGAAGTGCACACACACACACCCCCTTCACCTCCATTACTTTCCAAAGTGGACAAATGTGTAATTATTTTGACTTAGGCTCCAAATATCTAATCTAATTCTAATATTTCCTTGCAGAATTATCAGTGACCACTTGAGAAAGGAAGAGCTAGCTGGCAGACTACATCAGCTCAGGATTTTTTAAAAATGACTTTTTAATTTGTGTGTGTGTGTGTGTGTTTGTTGTTGTTAATGAGAGCTGGAGGTAATGTTCATCAGCAATGGAAATGAACTCTGGCGGTCAATGCTTCCACATTGTCTAAAACCTGCAGCTGAAAATAATGGGCGTTATTCAACTGTAAACTATGCTTATATCGTCTTTACATCCATAATTCTCTATATCTTGTGCTGTCTGATATAAGAGAATTCAGAAGAAATTCTCATAAAGCAAGTTGTCTCTTTAAGAGTTATCAGTCATGTTTCACTAGAAAAGTATAAAACACAAAGTTACAATAAAATGACATTATGGAGAAATAAATTCAATAGATAGAGCTGATATATATGAGGTTGTAAACAAAAGGAAAGACAGGGTTTTAGCATGAATTTGTTCTGTTAGTGTAAAGAAAGAAAGAAATAAAAAAGTAAATCAAATTCTACTTTGTTGTTTATTTGGAAGGGATTTATCTTATCTTAAAAGGTACTACAGTGGGAATTTTGGTGACTTCTAGACTCATTACTTTCTGAAGAGCTCATGATAGTTCTTATTCATTTAGTGTATTCAAATACAACACTTTATCTCACAATTGTTCAGGGGGTACAAATGTAAGTCTTCAAAGAATGATATAATCATTAGAAATACATCAAGGAACAAGTACAATAAGGCAAGTAAATTTACTGATATCCCATCAGAGATAAGTGGGACATTGCAAATTAACAACAATGGAGGAACAAACCGCAGTTTATTTTCTTACTTTATGATACATCCTTTTTGAATTTTTAAAAATTATAGAGAAGTATCTTTAATTTGGTGTAGATGCTTAGTTATTCAAAAGGGAACTTAGAAAAATTAGAAGCAGACCACTTCATTATTTTTCACAATAATAACCAATATGAAACTTTTCCTGGAAGACTAAAATCTTACCACAAAGAAATTAAGCAAAAACATTGGGCACTTCTTATATAAATACAGCCTATTTTGAAATGGTGTGTTTTTTAATTTTTACAAACATTTTCACTTGCAGATAATTTCGCATGTGCATGAAAGTTGAAAAAATACGCAAAGAACTCCCATATACCTACCTTTACCCAGGTTTATCAATTGTTAACATTTCGTCACACTTGTTTATTCTAGATAGGTATTGATATAGATATACACACACATTTTTCTGAATTATCTAAGAGCAAGATGCAGACAGTATGCCCCTTTATTTCTATACACTAGTGTAGATTTCCTAGGAACAAAGTCATTCCTTAAAGGAGGAAATTCAGTGAGGCTTTCTGCAGTTAATGACATTCTGAGCCAGCTGATTTGGCCTTGTGACCAATATGAGGGACTATTTAACTTTGTATTTTTTTATCTCCTTCTTTCTTTACACCCAGTTATATTGTTTTCCATTTCGTTTACTCGCATAAATGTCAGATTTGTCCATGTGATTTATCAGGTTTATCAGAATATCAACTTGAATCTTTTCTCTAACATTTATCTAAATATCTCAGGAGACTCTCATCCTTCCTTCTCTCCTTTATTCCATTTCCAAAGTTAAAAAAAAAAGCCTCAATTATGGCATTTCAGTATTCATAGTAGTACAGATAATACATTTATATCAAGGAAAAGAAACGCATTTTAGGCCAGGCGCGGTGGCTCACGCCTTTAATCCCAGCACTTTGGGAGGCCAAGGCGAGCGGATCAAGAGGTCAGGAGATGGAGACCATCCTGGCCAACATGGTGAAACCCCGTCTCTACTAAAAATACAAAAATTAGCTGGATGTGGTGGCGCGTTCCAGTAGTCCCAGCTACTCCGGAGGCTGAGGCAGGAGAACTGCTTGAACCCGGGAGGCGGAAGTTGCCGTGAGCCGAGATCGTGCCACCGCACTCCAGCCTGGCGACAGAGCGAGATTGTCTCTCAAAAAAAAAAAAAAAAAAAATGCATTTTAAAGGTAAGGAGACATAATATAGAATTTGTACACCAGATTCTGAACTTATGACTATTTTTAAAGGATAATTTGAAAGTTATACCAGAATACGCTGCTTCTTGATTTGGTCTTATTTTGTTCTTTTTATTTCTTGATTTTGTTTGTTGTTTGAGGTAGGAATTTAGTTGGTTGAGGACTTTATCACTTCTAATATAAACATTTAGTAATAAAAATTTTCCTCTCACCTCTGCTTCAGCTGCATCTTACATATTTTCATATACCTTATTTTTATTTTAAATCAGTTGTATGAACTTTAGTATATATATATATATATATTTTTTTTTTTTGAGACGGAGTCTTGCTCTGTCGCCCAGGCTGGAGTGCAGTGGCGTGATCTCGGCTCATTGCAAGCTCCGCCTTCTGGTTGCACGCCATTCTCCTGTCTCAGCCTCCTGAGTAGCTGGGACTACAGGCACCCGCCACCATGCCCGGCTAATTTTTGTTTTTTGTATTTTTAGTAGAGACGGGGTTTCACCGTGTTAGCCAGGATGGTCTCGATCTCCTGACATCGTGATCCGCCCACCTCAGCCTCCCAAAGTGCTAGGATTACAGGCGTGAGCCACCGCGCCCGGCCTGCACTTTAGTATATTGTCAACAAGATAATATTTCTAAAATAAAAACCAAGACATCAAGGGTTTACTTTCTGAACATTTCTTAACATTAAATCAGCACAGCATCTTCCCAGATCTTTTCGTTTTTGGATGGCTCCATACTTTATTCCCTACCCACTTCCTCTTTCCTTTAAAGAATGATTAACAGATTCCATAGACAACATCAAATAAAACCCGAAATATAACCAAAGTAATTGGAAGTAAAAGAGAAGGAAGGTTAAGATAGTTAGCATAAACATGAACCAGTTTATACACTTTTTAATAATGTTTTTCTTTTACTTAAAAAATAAGTAGAGTGTAAAGGTAGTCCTTTGTTTAATCACTGAATCTCAAACTGTTTACTATAGAATAAAACAAGTAAAATAATCATCATCCATTATAAGCTTAATCAAGATGAGCACTGTTTAATCCTGATTAATTTATAACTAATTTTCTGCTGCTAGTACACTTTTTAAAAACAGCTTTGTTTAGCCATAATTTAAATTTTGTGTAATTTACTCACTTAAAATATTTCATACATATTAATATATTCATTCAGTTGTTCAATCATCACCAAAGTTTAATTTTATAACATTTTTGGTACCCTCAAAGAGTCCCAGTACCCATTAGCAGTCACTTCCCATTCCTCCTCCACCTTACATCATTAGGCAACCACTGTCTAAACTTGCCTGTTTGGGAGATTTTATATAAACGGAATAATACAAAATGCACTCTTTGGTTCTGGTTTCTTTTACGCAGCATGATATTTACAAGAATATAATATTTTCACCCAGGTTGCAGCATGTGTCAGTACTTCATTCCTTTTGTTGGTCAATAACATGATATCATGTATACGATATATGATACACCATATTGTATTTATCCATTCATCACTTAATTAACATTGGGGTTGTTTTTACTTTTTGGCTATTATAAGTAATACTGTAATAAATATTAAAATTTTTTAAGAGCTTGTGAAGAATGGCACTAATTCTTCTTTAAATGATTGGTAGATATTATTCTAGAAATGATATCATTTCGTCAACATTATCTAATATGTTGACATTCTTTTTTTCATAGTACCTTTTATAGTTCTTTTTATTTCTATAAGGTCAATAGTAATGTCCCTCTTTCATTCTTAATTTTAGTAAGTTGAATCTTTCTTTCTCCCTGTAAATGTAGCTAAAGTTTGTTAATTTTGTTAATCTTTTTAAAGACCCAACTCTTGGTTTTGTTGATTTGATCTACCATTTTTTCTATTTCTTTAATTTCTATTTCAATGTTTATTATATCCTTCTGCTTATTTTTCATCATGATCTCATCTCTGACTCATTGGTTATTTAGAAGTATGTAGCTAATTTTTATAAGTTCTGCTTTTCCCAAAGTTCTTTCTGTTTTTAATTTCTAATTTAATTCCACTTTGATCAAAGAACAATCATTTTCTACTTTTTTTGAGGTTTGGTTTTGGGCCTAGCATGTCATCTATTTTAGGAACTGTTCCATGTGCACTTGAGAGTAATGTTCTGCTTTTGGGTGTACTGTACTGTCAGTTCTGTTACACCTAGCTAGTTTATACTGTTACTCAAATCCTCCATATTCTTGCTAGCATCTATTTAGCTTCTCTGATTATCGAAAGTGAGATACTGATGTCTGCTACGATTACCATCTCCAACTATTATTGTTGAATTCTACCTTTAATTCACCTTTAATTCTACCTTTAATTTTTGCTTTGTAGATTTTGGAAAAATTTCGTTCAGTGCACATAGGTTTATAATTTTTATGTCTTCTTGATATATTGTCTCTTTAACATTACAGCATGTCCTTCTTTATCTCTGATGTATCAGCCTGTTCTCACAGTGCTAATAAAGACATACTTGCGACTGGGTAATTTATAAATGAAAGAGGTTTGACCTGGCTAGGGAGGCCTCACAATCACGGTGTAAGGCAAGGAGGAGCAAAGTCACATCTTACAATCATGGCGGCACGCAAGAAAGCATGCTTTATAAAAGCATCACATAACTGGTATGAGATAGTATCTCATTGTGGTTTTGATTTGCCTTTCTCTAATGACCAGCGATGATGAGCTTTTCTTCATATGTTTGTTGGATGCATAAATGTCCTCTTTTGAGAAGTGTCTGTTCATATCCTTTGCCCACATTTTGATGGGGTTGTTTGTCTCTTGTAAATTTGTTTAAGTTCTTTGTAGATTCTAGATATTCGCCTTTTGTCAGACGGATAGATTGTAAAAATTTTCTCCCATTCCGTAGGTTACCTGTTCACTCTGATGATAGTTTGTTTAGCTGTGCAGAAGCTCTTTAGTTTAACCAGATCCCATTCGTCTATTTTGGCTTTTGTTGCCATTGCTTTTGGTGTTTTAGTCATAAAGTCCTTGCCCATGCCTATGTCCTGGATGGTATTGCCTAGATTTTCTTCTAGGGTTTTTATGGTTTTAGGTCTTATGTTTAAGTCTTTAATCCATCGTGAGTTAAATTTTGTATAAGGTGTAAGGAAGGGGTCCAGTTTCAGTTTTCTGCGTATGGCCAGCCAGTTTTCCCAATACCATTTATTAAATAGGCAATTCTTTCCTCATTGCTTGTTTTTGTCAAGTTTCTCAAAGATCAGATGGTTGTAAATGTGTGGTGTTATTTCTGAGGCCTCTGTTCTTTTCCATTGGTCTATATCTCTGTTTTGGTACCAGTACCATGCTGTTTTGGTTACTGTAGCCTTATAGTATACTTTGAAGTCAGGTAGCATGATGTCTCCAGCTTTGTTCTTTTTACTTTTGCATCTTTTAAAGAAGCTGAGGTTTCTTCCTTTCTTGGAGGGCAAGTATACATTTGTAAAGTTTGTGATATTAATCTTCTTTTCTGCCATTTCTGGTTCTCTTTATTTTTGTACACCTGAAAAACCATCTGGTGTCAACCTCTTGGTTGGTCCAATATAGATTTGCTTCTGCTCATATCCTTTGTGCCATTATTGTCAAATATATTACATTTCCATAGATTACGAATCCAACAATCTGTGTATATACATATCATTTTATGCAATTGCATTTTAAATCATTTAAGGAAAGAAGACAAAATATCCAATTATACTCTAACAATTATCTACATAATTCAATTTACCAGCCTCTTTGTTTTCTCATATGGGGTTGAACACGTATCAGGAATCAGCTTGGAAATCTTTTGTTAGTGTTAATAAATATCAAGATAAATCTTCCAGCAACACATTTTCTCAATTTTTGTTTATATGAAAATGTCTATTTTTTTTTTTTTTCGAGACAGAGTCTTGCTCTGTTGCCCAGGCTGGAGTGCAGTGGTGCGATCTTGGCTCACTTCAAGCTCCACCTCCCAGGTTCACGCCATTCTCCTGCCTCAGCCTCCGGAGTAGCTGGGACTACAGGCGCCTGCCACCACGCCCGGCTAATTTTTTCTATTTTTAGTAGAGACGGGGTTTCACCATGTTAGCTAGGATGGTCTCGATCTCCTGACCTTGTGATCCACCCACCTCTGCCTCCCAAAGTGCTGGGATTACAGGAGTGAGCCACCATGCCCAGCCAGAAAATGTCTATTTAATCTTTAGTCTTAGCATATAGTTTTGCTAGATATAAGATTCTTGGTCTCTTATTTTCTTTAATCACTTTTAATATGTCATTCCACTTTCTTCTGCCTTCTGTTACTTATGATGAGCAATTAGTTTTTAATCTTATTGGAGTTTCCTTTATGTGATAAATCTATATATGAATATCAATTGGATCCTGTTGGTGAACTGTGTAGTTCATATTTTTCTATATCTATGCTAATTTTCTGACTAGTAATTCTGTCAGCTAGTGAGAAGGTTGGAATCCCCAACTATAATTGTAGATTTGTCTATTTCTTCTTTCAGTATTCTCTGATTTTGCTCCATGTATTTTAAAATTCTGTTGGTTTATATACATTTAGAATCATTGTGTCTTCATAGTAGCTTGGTTTTTAAAAATATGTAATATCTTTCTTTGTCTTTAGTAATTTTCCTTACTCTGAAGTCTCTCCATCAGATATTAATATAGCCATTCCTGCATTATTTTGTTAAAATTTGCATATTATGTCTTTTTCATGCATTTAATTTCAATTTACCTATTTTATTAAATGTAAAGTAGGTTTCTTATAAACAGCTTATGATTAGGATATTTTGAAATCTACTTTGCTAATCTCTCACTTTTTATTAATGTATTTAGATAATTTTAAAAAATAAGATGCTTCATTTTTTACTAAGTTTTAGGTTTACAGAAAAAAAGATGAAAGAAAAAAACAGTTCCCGTATACCTCCCTGCAGTTTCTCCTATTTTTAGCATCTTACATGAGTGTGGCACATTTGTTAGAATCCATGACCCAGTATTGATACACCATTAGTTACTAAAGCCCATAGTTTATATTAGGCTTCACTCTTTGTGATTGACGTTCCATGGGTTTGGACAAATATATAATGGCATGTATCCAAAATTACTGTGTCATACATAACAGTGTTACTATTCTGAAAATCTCTTGTGTTCCATTTACCCCTAGTCCCCTTTCCCTCAAACTCCTGGCAATCACTGAGCTATTTACTGTGTCTGTAATTTTTCATTTTCCAGAATGCCATGTAGTTGGAATCATACAGAAATTAGTTTGTTAGACCTCGAACTTCATTCTTCTCCTTCAATATTATGTTGGCTGTTCTGGATCTTTTGTTATTTCATATAAACTTTTGAACCAGTTTGTGGATATCCACTTAATAATTTGCTGGAATTTTGATTGGGGTTCCATTAAATCTACAGATCAAGTTTTGAAGAAATGACATTATGACAATATTGAGTCTTCTTATCCATGTACATAGAATATCTCTCCATTTATTTAGATCTTCTTTGATTTCTTTCATCAGTTTGTAGTTTTTTCTCATATAAACTTTGCACATATTTTATTCTATTTATACTCCATTTATTTAGATCTTTGATTTCTTTCACAAGAGTTTGTAGTTTTCTCATATAAACCTGGTACATATTTTATTGAATTTATGCCTAAACATTTCTCTTTTCAATGCTAAAGTAAATGGTATTATGCTTTTAATTTCAAATTCCAATTGCCCATTGCTGGTATATCAGAAATCAATTGACTTTTGTACATTAACATTATATTCTACAACCTTACTATAACCACATGTTAGTTCCACAAATGTTTTGGTTGATTTTGGGGGGATTTTTTACATAAACAGTCATGCCATCTGTGAGCAGAGTCTTATTTCTTTCTTCCAAATCTGTTTAACTTTTATGTGTGTTTCATGTTTTATTGCATTAGCTAGGACCCTCAGTATGATGTTGAGTAAGGTGAGAGCAGGCATTCTTGCCTTGTTTTTCATCTTACCAGGAAAGCATCTAACTTCTTACGAGGGAATATGATGTTAGCTGTAGGTTTCCTATAGACATTGTCACTTTGAGGAAGTTTCCCTCTATTCCTAATTTGCCGAGAGTTATCATTAATGGATGTTGGATTTTGTCAAATGTTGTTCTGCATCTGGTGATGTGATCTTGTTTTTTTTCTTTTTCTTGTTAATGTGATGAAATATATCAGTTTATTTTCAATTGTTGAACTAGCCTTTCATAATTAGGATAAGGTCCACTTCATCATCTTTTTACACATTATTGGATCCAATTTGCTAATACTTTGTTCAGGATTTTTGCTTAATGAAAGATAGTGCTCTTTGTTTTTTTCTTTCTTGTAATGTCTTTGGTTTTGGTGTATGGTAATAATGACCTCATAGAATAACTAGGGAAGCATTCTGTATGCTTCTATTTTTTGGAAAAAATTCTGGAGAATTGTTATAATTTTTCTTTTAAGTGTTAGAATTTACTAGAGAACTCTCTGGGGCTTGGTACTTTCTATTTTATCAGCTTATTAATTATTGATTCAGTTCCTTTGATAGATATAGGACAACTCAGATTGTCTTTTTCTCCTGGTGTGAATTTTAGTAGATTGTATATTTCAAAGAAGTGCTGCATTTTATGTTGGTTATCAAACTTATGAAGTTGTTAATAATATTTCTTTATTTTTTTAAGTGTTTTAATGTCCATAGTATCTATAGAGGTGGTTCTTCTTTAAATATTGATATTAATAATTTGTATTCTTTTTCTCTCTTACTCTGGATAGAGATTTACCAATTTTATTTATCTTTTCAAAGAATCAGATTTTTATTTTGTTGATTTTTTTCTATTGATTTTTCTGTCTTCAATTTTATTGATTTTTATATTTTTCTTCTCCTTATTTTGAGTCTAATTTGTTCTTCCTTTACTAGCTTCCTAAGGTGAAAAGTTAGATTATTAATTTTAGACCCTCCTTGGGATGCAACATGTACATTCAATGCTATAATTTTGGTCTAAGCATTGTTTTACTGCATTTCACACACTTCCGTGAGATGTAAGCGAAAATGAAAAGCTATGACCACCCTCTATAACTTACCGCAGTAGCTTTTCCATCCCCTTAATTTTTATCTCTATGGGTCTTCAAATTTAAAGTTGTATTTTCATTTTCATTTAGTTCAAAATATTTTACAGTTCCTCTTGAGACTTCCTTGATCCATTTTTTATTTAGAAGTGTGATGTTATGCCTTCACGTATTTTAATGTTTTCCAGTCATCTTTCTGAAGTTGATTTCTAGCTTAATTTCACTGTAGTCATAGAACATAATTTGCATGACTTACATGCTTTTAAATAAGTTGCTTTTTAATGGCCTAGATAGTGATGTGTCTTTGTGAACATTCCATGGGAGCTTCAGAAGCATGTGTATTCTGCTGTTGGGTGAATTATTCTACACATGTCAATTGGATGCAGTTGATTAATGTCACTGCTGACTTGAATTATAATATGTCTTCCCTAATTTTTTGCCTGCTTAATCTGCTAATTACTAGTAGAGAGATGTTAAAGTCTCAAA
This sequence comes from Homo sapiens, assembly GCF_000001405.40. Lineage (NCBI taxonomy): Eukaryota > Metazoa > Chordata > Mammalia > Primates > Hominidae > Homo > Homo sapiens. The sequence continues at coordinate 42,145,774 of NC_000009.12, read as the reverse complement.
GTACAGTAGTAAATTCATCTATTTTTCCTTGAAGTTCTATTAGTTTTTGCCTAACATATAGTGATGCTCTGTTTTTAGGTGTGTAAACACTAAGGATTGTTATGTCTTCTCGGAGAACTGACCCCATTTTTATTATGTAATTACTCTCTTTATTTCTGATAATTCCTCTTGTTCTGAAGTGGGATATGTCATTAATAGAGCTACTCCTGCTTTCTTTGGATTACTGTTAGCATGCTATTGTTGCCAGTGGGCTGTTTCAGGTTCTTGACTTTGCTGCACAAAAGAATTTGAGAACGAGTCCAAAGTAACAGTAAGCAAAAGAGTTTATTGCAAAGCAAAGTACACTCTGACAGCTGATCAGAGCAGGCTGCTCAAAGGTGAGACAGCCCTGTCTGATGCAGGGGGATCGCCCTTTATGGGAGATTTACATGATTATTCATGGAGGGGTGGGAAGGGGTGTTCTGATGAGTATGTTATGGGTAGTCCCCTGGCTGCACAGGTGCTGTGGTTGTGCACGCTAGGACTTACATTGCATGTATCATTAGCATCTTAAATCTCCACCCAGGGGTGTTTTTCTTTTACTATTATAGTGAATATAGGTCAGTCCAAGGACACTAATCATGGGTTTCTGTGCTTGTGTGAATTTGGGAATTCTCCCTTCTATTTTTCTACCTCCTTGCTGCAGGATGTTCTAACCCTGAGCCCATGATGTGGTTTGTGCACTGTCGGGTAGTTTATTCTCTCCATCTATTTAGCAAGTTTGTTCTCCTTTAAGGGAGGCTATGACCACCCTTTATAATTTACCTCAGTATCTTTTCCATCCCCTTAATTTTTATCTCTATGAGTCTTCAAATTTAAAATGAGCTTCTTGTAGACAGCTGGGTCTTGTTTTTTGATTTACTATGACAGTCTCTGTATTTTAATTGGTGTGTTTTAGACCATTGACAGTTAAGATGACTATTGATATAGCAATTAATATGTACCATCTCTGTTAATGATTTTTCTTTGCCGTCCTTGCTCTTAGTTATTTTTGTTGTGCATAGTTTTCTACTTTTTGTGTTTTAATTGAGCACTTTATATAATTTCATTTTCTCTCCTTCCTTAGCATATCAATTATACTTTTTTAAAGTTTTAAAACATTAGTCCTAGAGTTCGCAATATATTTTTACAACTAATCCAAGTACATTTTCAAATGACACTATACCACTTCACAGGTAGAAGATATATTAATAACACAATATTCCTAATTCTTCCTTCCTTTCTCTTTTATCATTGCTATCACTCACTTCATGTATACAAAAGTATACAAAAGCATATATATGCATACATAACCATATATTGTTGCTATTATTATTTTGAACAAACTATTATGTCTTTGATCAATTAAGAACAAAAAAATGAATGTTTTACTTTACTTTTACTTATTAATTCATTGACTCTCTTCTTTTATTTATGTAGATTGGAGTGTCTGACCTACATCATTTTCTTTCTGAACTTCCGTTAACATTTCTTGCAAGGTAGGTCTACCAGTAACAATGCCTTCAGGTTTCGTTTGTCTGAGAAGAACTTTAGTTCTTATTACTTTTGAAGGATAATTTTACAGGGTGCAGAAATCTAGGCTGGTGGTTTTTCTCTCAACTTCACTCTTCTTGCTTGCATGGTTTCTAAGAAAATTTAAGAAGTAATTCTTATTTTTGCTCCTTTATATGTAAGGTATTTTTCCTCTCTGGCTTCTTTCAAGACTTTTTTTTCTTATTTTTGATTTTCTGAAGTTGAATATGAAATGCCTAGGTGTAATTTTTCTTTTCATGTATCCTGTTTGGTGTACTCTGAGCTTTCTTGATCTCTGGTTTGGTGTCTGACACTAGTTTGGAAGGAATTTTCAGTCATTATTGTTTCAAATATTGCTTCCATTTTTTTCTCTCTTTCCTGTCCTTTTAAAATTCCCAATATATATATTAACTCCTTTTGTAGTTTTGTTACAGTTCTTTGATATTCTATTCTGTTTTTACTGAGTATTTTTTTCCTTGCTCTTTAGTTTTGGAAATTTCTATTGTCATATCATCAAACTCAAAGATTCTTTTTTGGCTATGTCCAGTCTATTAATGAGCCCATCAAAGCCCTTCTTTATGTCTATTACAATGTCTTTGATCTCTAGCACTTCTTTTTTGATTTTTTTCTTTGTATCCCCATCTCTCTGTTTACATAATTCATCTGTTCTTGCATGTTGTCTATTTACTAGAGTCCTTAGCACATTAATTACAATTATTTAAAATATCTGCTTTGATAATTCCAACATTGCTGCCATACTTGACTCTGCTTATGATGCTTGTTCATACTTTTCAAACTGTTTTTTTTTTTTTTGCATTTCAGTCTATCTTGGAATTTTTTTTGTTGAAAAGTGAACACAATGTACTAAGTAAAAGCAGCTATAGTAAATAGGCCTTTAGTAATGTAGTGATAGAGTGTAAGGGGAAGGGGAGCATTCTATAGTCCTATGATTAGGGCTCAGTCTTTTGGTGAGACTGTGCCCCTTGACTGTGAACTTCATCAGTGCTTCTCAGTTCCTCCCTGACTTTAGATGAGACATAATGGCTGAAGGGAGGATGAAGTTGTATATTTCCCTTTTTCCATGTGGAAATCTAAAAGGGATTGTAGCTGAGTGTTTCTCTTCCCCCACATGAAAGGCCAGAAGGAGATGGAGTTATTTATTCCCTTTTGTGCATGTGGAAGGCTACAGCCAGTTGAGTATTTTCCTTCTGTCACGTATAGTAGGCTCTGATAAAACCCCAGCAGATTAGGCTCTAGTAAAATAGTTTCTCCTGGTGCAGGTCTTGTGAAAAATAACTGAATACTCCAGCATGTTTCCAAATGGTTCCTTTCCCCTTCCTCCTGCCAGAAGCATGAGGACATTTTTTCCAACATTCACTGAGAACCTAGTAGAGTTTCTGGAGGCATAATTCACAAAAGTATGGAGACCTTCAATGAGTGTACCCACTTGAAGTTTTTAACTTTTAGAGTTGTTCACATTGAGCTCCAGCAATTTGTTAATTACAGTTTCAGGTTTTTCTACTTCAGCACTGGTGATTTTTTTTGTGTGTTTTTTTGTTTTTTGTTTTTTCTTTGGTGGAGTTTTGCTCTGTTGCACAAGCTGGAGTATAATGACATGATCTTGCCTCACTGCAATCTCCACCTCCCGGCTTTAAGCAATTCTCCTGCCTCAGCCTCTTGAATAGCTGGGATTACAGGTTCCCGCCAACATGCCCAGCTAATTTTGGTATTTTTAGTAGAGATGGGGTTTCACCGTGTTGGCCAGGCTGGTCTTGAACTCCTGACCTCAGGTGATCTGCCCACCTCAGCCTCCCAAAGTGCTGGGATTACAGGCGTGAGCCACTATGCCCAACCCAGCACTGGGTCTTATGGAGATTTCTGCTCATCATTTCTGCATGAGTTAAGTTTTGCTTCTATGTATCTGCCTGTCTGTCTCTCCAATTTGGGGGGCCTTGGTTTGCTCTCTGATCTCATTTCCATGACAGATCTGAGAAGAGGTGTTGAGTTTTTTGTTTGTTCAACTTTTTACTAGTTGTTAGGATAAAGTATGACTATCAAGCTCCTTACATACTGGTTTAGAACCAGAAGGTTTTCCTCTCATGTTTGAAGGACAGTTTTGCTAATTATAAAATTTTCAGTTGACAATTTTGTTCCTCTGCCTACACTCCTTTTGTTTTATCATACTTGGAGTTCATTGAGATTCTTGGATTTGCATATACATGTCTTAAAAATTTGGGAAATTTTTGATCCTTATGTTACCAGAAAGGAGTCCCAATACAGACCCCAAGAGAGGGTTCTTAGAGCTTACACAATAAAGAATTCAGGGCGAGTCCACAGTGCAAAGTAAAAGCAAGCGGTGAAAGAACAGCTACTCCATAGACAGAGTAGGACATTCCTGAAAGTGAGAGGAAGAACACATCCATCCTAGGTACGATGGCTGCATATATGGGGAGATGTGCTCTCCTACAAGAGTTTTTGATAAAGGATTAATTTTCTTAATTACCATATTTTGCAAGAATCAATATTATTATCTTTAATGCAAAATTAGGAATGCCCTTATTCTCCAGATATTGAGATATCTGGACACTCCCAAGTCTGGGTCTGTTTTAATAAGCATCATTAATTTGTTCACTGATTCATAAACATCTAGAAGCTAGGAAAACGCCTAATTTTCTGAGAATGCAGTCCAGCAAGTCTCTGCCTCATTTTCCTAGCCCTCACTCAAAATGGAGTTGCTCTGGTTTGAACGCCTCTGACACTTATGTTGTCATATAAATCACTGCCTCCTTCTTTCTCCTGTTTCTGGAACTTCTGTAATGAATAATTGGACTACTCAATGGTGACTATTAAATACCTTAGACTCTATTCACTTCTTTTTTTTTTTTTCCGTTTTGGTCCTTAGACTCACTACTTTTAAATAATCTTTCTTTTTGTTTGCTGCTTCTTTCCACTGCCTGCTAAAGTCTTCTGTTAAAGCTGTCTCATAAATTTTTCAATTCACTTACTGTATTTTTCATCTCTAGAATTTCTTGTTGGTTCTTTTAAAATAATTTCTGTCTCTTTGTTGATATTCTCCTTTTGTTCATATATTATTTTCTTCACTTTTTAGTTATTTGTCTATGTTTTTCTTTAGCTCCTTGAGCATAAGATAGTTGTTTAAAAGTCTTTGTCTAGTATTTCAAATGTCAATGTTTCTTCAGGGACAGTTTCTGCAGCTGTATTTTCTTCTTTGATCGGGCCATGGCTTTCTTGTCTCTTTGAACACCTTGTAATTTGTTATTGTTATTGTTATTGTGGAAAATGGGGCATTTAGAAAAAAAGGCATTTCCTCTCCCAATGTTTGCAGACTGAGTCTGTGTAGGAAAAGCTCTTCAATAATTAGAAAGGCATGTTCTTTGACTTGAGATCAGCCTGGTCTGAAGGCTTTCATCTTCTGTGGTCTTTTATCAGACTTCATTTTCTCTGGGCCTGTGTGTGGTTTTATTTATTTTTTCCTTGTGTATACAGCCTTTTAGAAAATGTCTTAATTTTCCTAGGGGTCATAGCCCTGCTTCTCCTCAGAGTTGTGAATATTCTATTTTATTCCTCTATCTGTAATCTCGTGCTCCAGGTATTTGCACGTCTATCTTGCATCTCACAGCAACATTCACGAGCTATGTCTGTTGTCTCTCATTGGTTTTCATAGCCTGAGATCTGAGCTGTTCTGATCTTTGCTGTCTGACCTATGAGTTAGAAACAACAGAGACTAATCCAACATGGAGCTCCCAGACAGGTTAGAACATTTCAAATAAAGTCTGGTTTACCCTTCCAGTTCCAGGGAAGGAACTGGAAGCTCAGCCATCACTTTCCTAAGACCATTCTGTGCAGTTCCAGGTATGGGATGTGGCAAAGCCAAGTAAAAATGCCTCACAATTTTCTACTGCTTTGGATGTGGCTCTGTTTTGTTTGGATGTTCATGTGTTTTCTGTAAACCTTGAGCTGTTTTCCATAGTTCCTAAATGTCAGTTTAACCAATTTGTAGTTTTTTCTTTAATGTCTCCGTGGGGGACAAAGTTCTAAAGTTTTCTAGTCTGCCATTTTTCTGACATCACTGAGATTAATTTTATGCCCCAGCATATGTTTTTTTCTAGGTAAATATTCTGTGTACATTTTTTAAAAAAATGTGTATCTGACAGTTGGTATTTGAAATTTTCTATACATGTCAATTAGGTCAAGTGGTAATGTTGGTCAAATCTTTTACACTCTTACTGAATTTTTGTCTTCTTGCTGTATCAGTTTTTGATATAGGGGTATAAAAATATCTGACTAGGCCAGGCGTAGTGGCTCACACCTGTAATCCCAGCACTTTGGGTGGCTGAGGTAGGTGGATCACCTGAGGTTGGGAGTTCAAGACCAGCCCGGCCAACATAGTGAAACCCCATCTCTACCAAAAATACAAAAAATTAGCTGGGCGTGGTGGTGGGTGCCTGTAATCTCAGCTACTCAGGAGGCTGAGGCAAGAGAATCGCTTGAACCTGGGAGGCGGAGGTTGCAGTGAGCCGAGATCACACCATTGCACTCCAGCCTGGGGAACAAGAGTGAAACTCGGTCTCAAAACAAACAAAAAAAATCTAACTGTAATTGTGGAAAGAAAAATGTTTATTTTTCTTATAATCTTTATATTTTGCTTCATGTATATTGAATGTACATGATTTGTTATATAAACATTTAGGTTTTTTATTTCTCTTGACAAACTGACTCTTTCATTATTTTGAAATGACTTTATCTCTAGTAATAACCATTCAACTGAAATTTACTTTGTGTGATACTACTATAGTCACTCCAGATTTCTTTGAGGTAGTGTTTATTATATATTTTTTCATCTTTTTGCTTGTGTTTTTGCATTTAAAGTATGTTTTTTTGGAGGCAGAATACTGTTAGCTTTTGCTTTCTTTGAATCTAATCTGTCAATATTAGAGTTTTTGGGCAATTGATACTAATGTGATTATTGATATGGTTAGATTTAAGTTTATTTTCTTAAAATGGTTTTTCATTTGTTCCCTCTGTGCTTTGTTACTTATTCTCTTTTTTAGCCCTTTTTAAAGGATAATTGAGAATTTCTTTAAGAATTTCATCTTATCTCTTTGATTGGCTTATCAACCTTTACTCTTTGTTGGCATATTTTAGTGGTTGGTTTAGGGTATGTAGCATATATTTTTAACTTTTCACAGTGTATATTCAAGTTATATTATATTACTTCACATATAAAATTTTTCAAAAGCATACTTCCATTTTTCTCCTCATAGGCATTGTGCCATCACTGCCATAAATTTGACTTCTACATGTGTTATAAACCTCATGCTATATTGTTATTACTGTTACTTAAACAATTGTATTTTAAAAATACTTAAATAATAAGAAAACCTTCCAGAATTTTATTCATGTAGTTACCATGTCCAGTGTTCCACAGTCCTTTGTATGCATTTATATTTCCATCTAGTATCAGTTTTTCAATTTTCTTCTGCCTAAAAACTTTAACATTTATTGTAAAGTGGCTATGTTGGAGATGAATTATTTCAGGTTTTCTAAGTCTGAAAAATGTCTTTATTTTCATTTTTAATGTTATTTTCACTGCCTCTAGAATTTTAAATAGAAATATTCTTACTTTAAGTACTTAAATAAAATTTCTAGTTATATCATACAATGATTAGATTTTTTAAAAATATTTCTTCACATGTACTGTTCATACAATGCTGCCATTATAATGGCACTTAAATATCACTACAACCCAAGCATTTTTCTGAGTGTCCAGTACGTATCCATTCACTTAATGTTCACAGGAAGATTTGGAGGCATGCCCTGTTATTATCCCCACTTAAGAGGCCAAGAGAGTACTTGCCCAGAGTTGCTCAGTTAGTAAACCATGTTCCATAGGTGAATAAAACTTTGCCTTTGCAAACTTTAAATGTTGAAAGATAGGTTTAAAGGGTGATTATTGTTATTATTTTTTAACTTTTATTTTAGTTTCGGGGTACATGTGCTGATTTGTTAGGTAGATTACACATCATGGGGGTTTGGTGTACACATTATTTTGCCACCCAGGTAATAAGCACAGTACTAGATAGGTAGTTTCTCAGTTGTCACCGTCTTCCCTCCCTTTACCCTCAAATAGGCCCCAGTGCCTGTTGTTCCCTTCTTTGTGTCCATATGTACTCAGTGTTTTGCTCCCACTCATAAGTGAGAACATGCGGCATTTGGTTTCCTGTTCCTGTGTTTGTTTGCTTCCTATAATGGCCTCCAGCTCCATCCATGTTGCTGCAAAGGACATGATCCCGTTCTTTTTTATGGTTGTGTAGTATATTCTGTGGTGTACATGCACCACATTTTCTTTCTTTTTTTTTTTTTTTCAAGCGGGAGTCTTGCTCTGTCACCCGGGCTGGAGTGCAGTGGTGCGATCTCGGCTCACTGCAAACTCCGCCTCTGGGGTTCACGCCCTTCTCCTGCCTCAACCTTCCTAGTACCTGGGACTACAGGCGCCAACCACCACGCCCGGCTAATTTTTTGTATTTTAAATTGAAACGGGGTTTCACCGTGTTAGCCAGGATGGTCCCCATCTCCTGACCTCGTGATCCACCGGCCTCCACCTCCCAGAGTGCTGGGATTACAGGCGTAAGCCACCGCGCCGGGCCTATGCACCACATTTTCTTTATTCAGTCTACCATTGATGGGCATTTAGGTTGATCCCATGTCTTTGCTATTGTGAATAGTGCTGCAATGAACATACACATGCCTAGGTCTACCATTCTCATTACTGGGTAGAATAGTAATTCTGTTTTGAGTTATTTGAGAAATCACCAAACTGCTTTTGACACTGGCTGAACTAATTTACATGTCCACCAGTAGTGTCTAAGCATTCAAAATGGTGACTTTTTGTTTGTTTGTTTTTGAGAAAGTCTCACTCTGCTGCCCAGGCTGGAGTGCAGTGGTGCGATCTCGGCTCACTGCAACCCCTGCTTCCTGGGTTCAAGTGATTCTCGTGCCCTAGCCTCCCAAGGAGCTGGGATTACAGGCATGCACCACCACGCCTGGCTAATTTTTGTATTTTTTGTGGAGAAGGGGTTTCACCATGTTGGCCAGTCTGGTCTCGAACTCCTAACCTCGAGTGATCCGCCCGCCTTGGCTTCCCAAAATGCCAGCATTACAGGCATGAGCCACCGCACGCAGCCTCAAAAGTGTGATTTTTTAAAGAGCAAATAAAATACATCAAAATTAACTTATATCTGAAAAAAAGAAACTTAATAGACCAGTACTTTGATATGTGATTCAACTAGAGCTTTCATAAAAAAACTTTAGGCTCCCTAAAATGGCTCTTTATTGGATTAGTACAATTGGCTGAATTTTTATTTAAGGGTAAAATTTGCCCAAGAATGTAGGGCTTTAAAATTTATTTGCCGGCGGGGTGTGGAGGCTCACGCCTATAATCCCAACACTTTGGGAGGCCGAGGTGGGTGGATCACGAGGTCAGGAGATCGAGAGCATCCTGGCTATGGTGAAACCCCGTCTCTACTAAAAATACAAAAAATTGGCCGGGCGCGGTGGTGGGCGCCTGTAGTCCCAGCTACTCCGGACGCTGAGGCAGGAGAATGGCATGAACCCAAGAGGCGGAGCTTGCAGTGAGCTGAGATCTCACCACTGTACTCCAGCCTGGGCGACAGAGCGAGACTCCGTCTCAAAAAAAAAAAAAAATACACACACACACACACACACACACACACACACACACACACAGCCGGGCGTGGTGGCGGGCGCCTGTAGTCCCAGCTACTCAGCAGGCTGAGGCAGGAGAATGGCCTGAACCCGGGAGGCGGAGCTTGCAATGAGCCCAGATGGCGCCACTGCACTCCAGCCTGGGCAACAAAGCAAGCCTCCTTCTCGAAAAAAAAAAAAAAAGAACAAATCATATGAAACAAAAAAATAGCAGTTCTAACATGAATGTGAATCTGTATTTAATGGCAACTACACTTAGGTGTTTATGAGAGAATATTAAAATTTCATAAATTTACATTGAACACTTAAGAAAAGAAACATTGGCACAAAACTCTTTGAACCATGAAAAGTCCACTTTATTCAATATTTATGTGGAAATTGTTCTGGCATAACTTCATTCTACACTGCTACAACAGGAAACTATAGGAACATAAGGACAAAATGCCAACATTTAACTGCAGCCTTTCCTGGGAAACATAATATGTTTATATAGCCTTTAGAGACAAAGAAGAGTCTATTTAATTTATGGAATGAAAAGAAATGTGACAACAAAGCATTTTGTAGTCATGGTTATCAGTCTTTGAAAAAGTTCTTAATAGGATTTGGGTTTATTTTAATTAATGAAAATAAAATATGAATAATTTATTGAACTCAGTATATTTTAGCAGTGGGAACTTCTCATAAATTATTCTCAAATAATTTTCACAAGCTAATCAAAAAAGACATAAATCTGTTTATTATGAAAAATGGGATCCAAGGTTTCGAGAGAACTTTCGTGTCTTGCTATTGTTTCTAAAGTCTCCCTCCAGACCATCTCATTTCTGAGTTACAGACTTTCCTAAATAACAAATGCAGCCAAATATTTTATCACTTCAGGGTCATTTTTGTTTGTTTGTTTTCTCCCTTTCTCTCTCTCTTTTTTTGTATCCTTATACCCGGCAGCAGTTTCTTTGAAAATTTGGACCAGAAGATGCATAACAAGTTGTTCTGCAGAAGTTCTTATCTGATATTCTTAGGGAGCTATCCTGCATGTAATCTTCATTTTTTTTCTCTACCATCATGTAGGCATACTCAGTGTAGACTACCACAATCCTGGATACCTCTCTGCTTAGATTTACAATCTCTGCTAAGATTTGCCACTGCAGAAAGTGTAGTAGCTTCACTACATATGAAAAAAAAGACTGCCTTCTAACTGCGTACTTATTTCTAGCTTCTAGATTGCACATTTACAGTGTTTGCAAAAGCAATAACTATTCTTACCAGTAGGAGATGATTACACACTCCTTCTTCTTCTATAATAAGAGTTATCTACCTTCTGGTCAAAGTGCTTCCTTAAGGCACTTTGAAGCTCATCTGCTGGCAGGCATGAAGCATGCTGTTCCCCTGAGACTTCACGAACTGGATCTACTCAAGACAAAACAGTCTCTGCTTCATTATATTCAGAAATTCAGGCTTGCCATGAGGCTGTTTAGTGTTCTGAAACACAAATGCTGGCAAATCTAAAAATTCTCCCAAACACATATCTACCAATTTTTGCTCCTTAAATAGGAACAGTATTTTCTCATATCCTTAGATTAGCTGAGTTAAAAAGATGCCCCAAACATTGAGTCCCATTATTTTAAGCTTGAAGTTTTATAATTATAGCTTTATCCTTGCCCCATGAGAGAGGCATTCTCTATCAAGCCATTCAAGCAAGGATCAGTTTTCAGTTTAGATAAAACTACAAAATGAATAAATTCACTTCTGACATTTAATTAATGCCTTTCTTTACTCTCTCCTACCCCTACACTCCACCCCTTATAGTACTTGCCTCCTCTCATTCTCCCCATCTCCAGCCCAAATCCAGATGACTTCTGCTATATTAAAGTTTGCTTTCAGGAAAAGATCTGAAATCCGTAAGCGGTTTCATACTAAATATTAGCACACTTCAGTGGTGGAACATTGATTTGCTGAAGTCTGGGGTTGATTTCCTAGCCCCTAAAATCACATTCTAACTGTGACTACCTGTTCTTTCTATAAGTTTAACATTGATTTAGGGTGAGACTTATCTTTTTATATAAACGAAAATATTTGGGAGAATGCTTTCTTTGTTTCTTTGTTTGTTTCTTTCTTTCTTTCTTTCTTTTTTTTTTTTTTTTTTGAGACAGAGTCTTGCTCTTTCACCCAGGCTGGAGTGCAGTGGCGTGATCTTGGCTCACTGCAAGCTCCGCCTCCAGGGTTCAAGCGATTCTCCTGCCTCAGCCTCCCGAGTAGCTGGGACTACAGGCACCCACTACTATATCCGGCTAATTTTTTTGTATTTTTAGTGGAGACGAGGTTTCACCATGTTAGCCAGGATGGTCTCGATCTCCTGACCTCGTGATCTGCCCACCTCGGCCTTCCAAAGTTCTGGGATTACAGGCATGAGCCACCGCACCCAGCCAAGAATGTTTCTTTCATATGTGACCACATAGGGTATTTCATGTATTAGCGTTAATGTTCCTTATCAAATATGCAATCAGGGGCTCTCTATAGAATCAATTTCAATAAAACAGTTAAGCAATTTTTTAATGGAGTAGGCATTGATTATAATTTTCTCCTCTTCTGACTTTTCAATTCTTCCCAATTAGCCAGTGATAAGAAACTGGAAAGAAAATTTCAACTTGTTTACCATTCATTCACTTGTTTTTTTTAACCTACTGTAGTTTGGAAGGATTAAATTTTAGGCTAGCTGATTCGTTTCACAAAAAAATTTATAATGTTTTAATAAAAAATATTTCCCTTTGTATTTGAGCTCAACTTAATTCCCATTTGGCCCTGAAATGTGAGAATTGTTTTCCTAAAATATTGATGGATGTCAGAAGGCCACAAGAAGTGAGACCTCATCTTTTTTGCTCTATGAGAACATCAATCTTTCTATTTCTGTTAAAAATAAGGAAAGGTAGGTGGACTCTGGTGATTTCCTGATGTTGAAGTTAATAAAAAGCTCCATTCAAAACTACGATATTCAGCACAATTAATCTTCCCTGTTAATATAAACAGAAGAAAGAGTAAACTATTTGACCTCAAAGCTCTGGTTTAATTTCTAGCAAGTACGATTACTTCGGTTCATAATTTAAAAAATAAAAGCTTTAGATTTCTATTCCAAGCCATTACTTTATAAATCATTCATTAAAGAACATGAATGCACAAAACAAAAATAAACTTTTTTTTTTTAAATTTGATAAGTATCAGTGTTCTAGGATGTGCTGGCCATTCTTTGTGGAGGTCCTCAGAACCACCCTCTACTCTTCCAGCCCCAGTGTCACCCTTCCTGCCCGAGTGTCACCCTTCCTGCTCGAGTGTCACCCTGCTCCCCTCCCAGCTGACTTCCAGTTGGTTTTGGCTAATGAGAGACACCCACAGAAACAGGAAGGTTTCAGAAGTCAGAGCTCAAAAAGTTTCTTCCCTACTCACTCCTGTTTCCAGGTTCTGACAACAAATTTTTTTACTTCTATGACTGCGGCTCCTGCCAGACCTTTGTGTTCCCCGGCTGCTGCCTTCTGGGGATCTGGCAGCAACCGTTCCTCCCTCCGCGCCTCTGCTGTAGGTGGTAAAGGCTTTCTGCTAGTGCTTGTCTTTGGTTGCCACAAGGTCACCTGGTGGGTCCCTTCACTTTTCTTTACAGCCTGTTCCTTTAAACTATCTGAACAAATCATGCTTTCTTTCTGGGCCTTGACTAATGCAGTAGTGCATTTAAAAAATCTGAGTAATATCACATTGCATTGCTTAGAAAAATATCATAAGAAAAATAATTCTTTGAGAAGTAGCATATTTGTGAAAGTAGATCTATTTAGGAATTAAAATACTATTAGATTGGCAGGCAAATGTTATATTTTTGTATTCTCACTCTATTTTCTAGAACTGAAAACTAAGTTCTAGCTTAGACTGGAATGCACACGGTATACTACAAAGAGAGATGATAAAATTGCAGGATGAGAGTATAAAGTACAAGGTAAAACCTTATTAAAACAAAATAAGCACAACTGTATGTACAGGTTGTATGTGTTTATATATGAGCCAAGGCCGGTGTGATGGCTCACGCTTGTATTCTCAAGACTTTGGGACGCCAAGGCGGGTGGATCACTTGAGCTCAGGAAGTTCGAGACCAGCCTGGGCAACATGGAAAAACCTTGTCCCTACCAAAAATACAAAAACTTAGCCGGGTCTGGTGGCACTCACTTGTTGTCCCAGCTTCTCAGAAGGCCGAGGCACACGAATTGCTTGAACCTGGGAGGCAGAGGTTGCAGTGAGCGAAGATCACACCACTACTGCACTCCAGTCTAGGCGACAGAGCGAGACTCTGTCTCAAAAAAAAAAGAAGAAGAAGAGCCAAAACAAGGATACATAAGGATACATACTAGCCTGTCAGCCTGTTATGTATCATTGGTTACCTCAGTGGGGTTGGGGTGATGGTAGTGGCAATTATTAACATTTTCTTTATACAATTCTTTTAAAAATGTTCCTTTTGTAATTCAAAATATTCAAGAACAAATTTCAAAAGAGTCTATCTTAACAAACATTTACATTCTTATAATCCAGAAGCTAGTCATCAAACACACCTCAGTATCATCATTTGTTCCAATATAAATATACTCACTTCCTAAATATGTGCTATTACAAAGTAGATCTTATTCCTTTTTTATTCTGGTTGAATCATGCAACCATTATCCAGATTGAAATAAAAAATATAATTGTATTTATTATCCATGTTAAGGTTAAATAAAAGGTAAGTAAGAAGTTTCAAAGTTTAAATTGCATTATCATGGAAAGTAGGGAAGAAAGGAAATAAAGCAGCAACACATAAAACATTTATATTTGTGATATTCGACATTTTTTCTAGGACATCCAGTGTTCTAGTTACATCGGCCATCTCGAATTCATGCCTTCATTTGTTCAGTAAGTGTGTAGTGTGTGATGATTGTGACGGATGCTTCTCTATTAGGCAAAGTAATTTTTAGAGCCTCACTACTCTTAGTCTGCAAAGTTCATTGCCAGCATTATCACCACGGCAAATGTCTATGCTGATTTAAATAATAACCATATAGCAGCAATTATAGCCACATAAAATGCATTTCAAGACACACATTTATGTCTAAGGACTTCAAGTTCCCTAACCAAACAACTTAAGTAGAATAAACCTAAATATGTTTTAAGTCAAAAGCAGGGGAATCAAAACAATTACAAGCCTCCTGTCTTAGAAGAAAATGCTGATGCTTATTGGCTTAACCATATAAAATAGTGTATATATGTTTACTAGACATGAACAATTTGGAACAAATTTTGAGTGTACCTATAAGTGTGTAAAATGTATATTTTATGTATTGGGAATAATATTCATAAACATATTCCTCCAATGTTGTAAAAAATGCATTCACCCTCACTACGCTAGTGATTTTACAGTTTAATGAAGCCATTTTTTTTAATTGCAAATGTCTACCACCGTAGAAGTTTCTTGTCCTTTCTCCATTAAGCCTAACACTTTGAACACCCAAGTTCACTTTTTTTTTTTTTTGTCTTGAGACGGAGTCTGGCTCTGTCGCCAAGCTGGAGTGCAGGGCACAATGTTGGCTTGCTGCAACCTCTGCCTCCCGGGTTCAAGCGATTCTCCTGCCTCAGCCTCCCGAGTAGCTGGGACTACAGGCAGGCACCACCACGCCCGGCTAATTTTTTGTATTTTAATAGAGACGGGGTTTCACCATGTTGGCCAGGATGGGCTCCATCTCCTGACCTCTTGGCCTCCTCAGCCTCCCAAAGTGCTGAGATTACAGGCATGAGCCGCCGCACCTGGCCAAGTTCACATTTTTAAAGACTCCATCTGATGCCTGACAAATTGGTATAATAATAGATTGACATTTGTTGTTTTACTCTAGGTCCAATTTAGAAAATGATTTCCATTTTCTCTCTTTCTGTCTCACTGAAGGCAACTGATCTGTCAATCAAAACTTTAGATTTATAATTTTTTCTGTAATAAAAGACGTGCTATTTACAGAGTTCTTGTGCAAAAGTAGTTTAAGTGAACCCAATTAATAATTCAAGAATGACTTTGTAAGTTTCTTCCTCTATTACATCTGAATTCATTTTACATTTTACATCTATTACATTTGAATTCATTTTAATGAAAAAGCCTTTCAAAGTTGTCTTTCCAAAGGGAAGATTAATACACTATTTCTTAGAGATACCATCTAAAAAAGTTAGTATCTTTCTTTCTTTTTTCTTTTTTGGAAACTCGCGGTGGTGGTAATGTGAGTGAGTTTGTCAATCTTTGCCCCTACTGTGAATTTGAGAAGCAGAGGAAGAGAAAAAGAGAAAGACCCCCCCGCCCCCTGCCTCCCACCTCCCGCCTCCGCCCCTCCCTCTAGCACACAGCAGGTGCGCAAGGAGTGCAGTGTTAGCTGCTGCTGGACTGAGCTCCTCATCCTACACTTGCAGGGGTTGCTCTTTTGGACAGAAAGCTGGAATAAAATGTAAATTTTAGACTTCCACCAAGGCCAGGACTAGGGTGAAGGGACTAACGCACTAGTCTCAGGAGCAACTGTTAAGTAACGCTAATCCTGAATGAATGAAATAGTTTTAAAATTGAATGTAATCGCAAAGAAAAAAAACCCATGATAGACAAAATATTAAAACTTTAAATAAAGGCTTGCACTTGCAGAACCCAGGCTCACCGGCCTCTCCCTGCTCCTGGCCCGGTTTCCCAGCTTGGTTCTCTACAAGTCAGAATTCCTAGCAAAATCAAAGTGTGCGCGCGTCTGCCCGAGTACACGCCGCAGAGTTATTTCTGCCCCATCTTCCCTATTTGAACTCAAACAGGACAGCATTTTCCTGGGTGCAGCCCCTGCGTTGGGTGAACAGCGCAGTGATAAAGCCTGGCGTTCTCCACCTGCAGGCGGAGGCTGACGGCGCGGTCTTTGGCGCGAGTCCGTGCACCGCGGCCGCCCCGCCCCGGTGGGAGAGAGGGACGGAGGAAGCTGCCGGTATAACGGGAGGAGAGCGCCAGGCGGAGCTGGGGCGTCCCTCCCGCTCGCTTCTTGACTCGCGTTGGTGCCGGCCGCCTCCCGCGCCTAGTGTCCGGGACGCGCCTGAACCTGCCGCCTCCGTGCCTGGGGCGGCGCCGCGCGGCCCCCAGGCTCCCGCGGGGCCGACCTCGGAGACGCAGCTGGGGCCGGGCGCGGCTTGGCGGGAGGGTCTGCAGCGCCGAGGGAGGCTGCCAGTGCGTGAGGAAGAGAGCTAGAGACTGGACAGGGGAGACAGAGCAGCGTCGGAGCCGCGCAGGGGACGGGAGTGAGAGCGGGAGTGAGAGCAGGAACGACGCAGAGCGGCCGTCGCCGTGCCCGGGTCTCAGGGCGCCTGGCTGAAGTGAGCATGGCTTCAGTGGCCTGGGCCGTCCTCAAGGTGCTGCTGCTTCTCCCCACTCAGACTTGGAGCCCCGTAGGAGCAGGAAATCCACGTAAGTACAGCAAATGGTTTAAAACTTGCGCTAGGCTGTCTGGAAAACTTTGTATTTTTTTATTATCGGTAATATTTGGAAGTGGAATTGCAGAACATGCTCCTGAACATGAAGAACCTTAAAAAAATATTTGGAATTGCAACCCGAAAAAGACGATTTTGTTTACAATAGACTTTCCTCTTGTGGGGGAGTCTAAGATATACCATGCATGTTTTGACTTTTTAATCGATGTTCTTGAATATTCATTGAGAAAGTGGCCGTTTCTGTAAAACCTGAAAAGAGCATCTTAATAAGAGATTAGCCTGCAAATGCTGTCATTTATTCCTTTTTAGGATTGTAATATTTTGTAGGAATTAAGTCTAACAGGGAAAAAACTGGCAGACATTACATCATACTGCATCAACTTAGATGTTAGCAGCTTACAGTTTTGCCGACCTTGGCAGCTTCAGAGTTAAAATGCTAATTAACTTCCACGCAGTATAGGGACAGAGTGCCTGTAGGCGAAACTAAATTAATAACCTGCCCTAACTACTAAGGGAATAACACTTGAACACCCCTGTCAGGGGCTTCGTTTCTCAGTAGAAAGTTCTTGGTTAAAGACAAAACTCAGCCAGTCATTTAGGTGATCTTGAAAATGATTCCTCTCTGGATGCTAATATTTTACATTATTTAATTTGCCATCGGGTTCCCTGTTTTTTATTTTACTTAATTTGGTAAACACCTAGGAAGCTTTTATTTCTAGAATGGGCTATGATTCTAATATAATGATGATATTCCAGACAGATGAGCAAAACATAATGTACCCATATTTTATCACACATAAAAATGTTTACACAACATTGCACATTTTTTTTTCGGCTTGGAGTAAATCTCTATCAGAGAGTCGTCTTTCTTTCTTGATTAATGAAACCATGAGATTAGAATTTTTAAAATGTCTTCCTCCTCCTTCTCAAATCACTTTTATTTTTCTTTCAGTGGCATCTCCCTGCTGTCAGCCTCAGCCCTCTCCTACCAAAATCTCTTTCGAAATAAGTTCCAATAAATGCTAGTGGCCATGTTTGGAAATTTAGATTATTGCAGGATAACCAAGGGTAGCTTTCAGCAGTTTTCCTAAGCTGTCATGAAAAGTTTGCCGTAGCTCAGTGCTGTTCTGCCTGTGGGCTCAAGGGTGGGTTGTTTCTTCACACACAGGGCACGCACATGGGTTCATGCACTCACTGTGCATCATGATTCAGTTGTGCCTCAGTTAATCCTACACTTGGTGTGCCCTTCGAAAAAACAAGCTCCGGATTGCTTTGGTCAGATGCTGTACCGTGTTTCAGATTCAACTTTAATCTGCTTTTGTGAGAGGGCTTTGTGAATAAAACGTTGTTACTTAAATTAAAATCCTTGGGTCTTGTAATGGAAACTGCCGTTTGGCTTAAATAAACACATAAATGAGTTACTTATAGAAAGGCATGCTAGAGTAATTGACCAATCAACTGGCAAAATACAACAAAATAAGTCACTAGAGGTCACTCTTACTATTGAATAAACAGGGCTTCAAAAAGACCTTCCTGGAGAAAAATGAAATCTGAGATCCTGCCACCACCTTTCCTGTTTTTGTTGCATAGTTGTGATTACTTTTTATTCTCAGGATTAGTTGTATTGATAGTTATTTTGCTTGGAATCCAGTGGAAGGATTACAAAGCCCATAGAAATTAAGCTCTTCTCATTTACAGTGAACATTCTTTTTGGAGGAGGGGAGGGCAGGGACAGATATTCCAAACGGACTCAGCACCAGACGGGACTCTCGCGAGTTGCTGAGTGACACGTAAAATTTCAATACTACTACTGTGGGTGTTTTCAGTCTTCTTTCGTTGATGAAACTTAGTATCCTCATATCTAATAAATTTTACTAATTTTAAATTACCTTTTAGATCAAGTAATTCTTCCAGATAAAACTATGTAACTATAATAATTATACCACCTTCAATACCAAGAAGAAAGTCAATAAGGACATCTAAAAGTTTCCTTCTCATGAAGACACCATGAGTTGCTCACGTTATTCACAGCTGGTTTTCCAGAAGCACATTGGCCACCCACGAAGGCAGCCTGTTGATGATGGCATGAAATGGCTCTTCATGGGAAGAGCTCTCTAGGCCGGGCACAGTGGCTCGTGTCTGTAATCCCAGCACTTTGGGAGGCCGAGGTGGGTGGATCACCTGAGGTCAGGAGTTCGAGACCAGCTTGGCCACCATGGTGAAACCCTGTCTCTACTAAAAATACAAAAATTAGCCGGGCGTGGTGGCAGGCATCTGTAATTCCAGCTACTCGGGAGGCTGAGGCAGGAGAATCGCTTGAACCTGGGAGGTGGAGGTTGCAGTGAGCCGAGATCCCACCATAGCACTCCAGCCTGGGCAACAAGAGCAAAACGCAAAACTCCGTCTCAAAAAAAAAAAAGCTCTCTAAACATTTGGCATTTTGGGGATTATGTGCAGTTTATCTGAATGTTATTTGACCTGACAAATACATGGGAAAGCTTTGTTAGGAAGATTCTGCATGAAGGGAAATATTTTCGTAACTTCAGTGCCCATAGACTTGCACTGAGTGAAAGGTCACTTACTGCTCTCATTGAGTCCCTGAAAACAACAGGAAGCATCAAGAGAAAGATTGAACTCTGGGCACTGATCCCAGGGATACACAAACAAATGGCTGGGCAGATTTTGCAGAAATTCCTGTAATTGGTAAAATGCTGAGTAATAGCCTTTGATGTAACTTTTCAGTGGGTTAATTTATTCATTACTTAGCCTAAAACACTTTTAATTTTAATTGCCTCAATTTTTTCCCCTAAATGGTTATGTTTTGCAAGTTCGCCAGCCAGCCTGGGGAAAGAAGGGTAAGCCTACTATAGAGTGTGTGTGGGTTAGTTAGGAAACTCACTTAGATGTGAAATGTGTCAGGAAAGAGATCTCACAGAGTGTAGGAATAATTATTTTTACAGATGTTTCATTTTGGACCTTTTAGTAATACCATTTTAAGAGAGATTCTGCAGATGAGTAACAGACTCTTAATTTTAGTGTCAAATGGTACTCTATAAAAAATGGAGTTCAGGCTGGGCACGGTGGCTCACAGCTGTAATCTCAGCACTTTGGGAGGCTGAGGCGGGTGGATCACTTGAGGTCGGGAGTTCGAAACCAGCCTGGACAACACGGTGAAACCCTGCCTCTACTAAAAATATGAAAAAATTTCAGGGCATGGTGGCAGGTGCCTGTGAGGAGGCAGTGAGCTGAGATCGTGCCACTGCACTCCAGCCTGGGTGACGGAGTGAGACTCTGTCTCAAAAAAAAACAAAAAAAAAAAAACAAAAAATGTAGTTCACATGCCTTTATTCATTTTCACCAAACTCTATACAAACAGTACGGAGCTGAAGTAGCCCATGGAAATGATAATCAATTCCAAGACATTGGTTTGATCATGAAAAAAGAAAAATCAAATTACTTGGCATTCTTCTTCCTCTTCCTTTCCCCTTCTCTTTTTGAACAATTCAGTCCAAGGTCATTCAGTTCAGCTTAGGCATCCATGCTGGGTAGTGGGGAGGCCCAGGACCATGGCAGAGCATTCAGAAACCAGCAGGGTAAGGAAAGCATCCACAGTATAGCAAGGGTGGGGACCTGGAGAGACAGGAGACAGCACTGGTGGTGACCTATAGCAAGTTGTCAGAGGTTGAGTGGAGTGAGGAAGGAGGCATTCCAGATTGACAGAGGCTAAGAAAACAAGGCAACTAAATACTATTCTGCATTAAATGCTTATGTTATAAAGGACATGATTGGGAATTGGTGAAACTTGAACAAGATTGGGGATTAAATATTGGAACTTTATCCATGATGACTGTGATGATCATATTATGGTTATATAGGAGAACATCTTTGTTGTAGGAAATGTACATTGAAGTATTCAGGGGTGATACAGCATATTAGCATAGTTCTTCCATGTTTTCTGTAAATTGGTTTCAAAATCAAATGGTTACTTTAAAAAACCATTCAAAATTGTGTTTAAAGGAAACATGGACCAATAGAAAAACTCAGAATAAGTAAGTGTAGTTAAATTGATGCATTTTACCTAAGAGATGTAGATTAAAAATAAAGAGGCTGAAAAAAAAACAATTATGAGAAATAACAGTTCATTTATATATGTCTCTAAATCAAATTAGCCTGGATTTCTGAATGACAAAGATGTAATTGGCACTGGGATTGTTCTCCATTCTTTTTGGGAAGTTTATTGCCTAGGACATCTGTATCAGTCTTCGAAGTACTTTTTAAAGCTTGAATATCTGAATGAACCCGTCAGACTGACTGTTATCTGGTCTTCTGTAATGGGCTTCCGCACCTTTGACGAGACTCTTAGCTGAAAGGTTGCTTGTCCCTAGGCCCGGTTGCTCCACGTTGTAAGAGCATTTGCAAACGCTTGGTTGTACATGACTGTGCACATGTCAAGTCTGCTCTGTCACTGTAGAAAAAATATTCCTTTTCCACTTGACATATAAGGCATGGAATTGTTTGTTTTAAATGTATTTTGTCAAGGAATTCATATATCTGCTTGATGTGTTGTGGTACTGTATAAAAGACAAGTGTGAAATTCATTGCTTACTATGATAGCCTTAACAGGACTACAGTAAATCTAGTTTTCTAAAAAATGGAGTATATGCTTAGCTTGGTTAAAATTTTATAATGAAATGACTACTCTGGTAATAAAAATTAAAAAATATCATAAAGTGGGGGCTAAAAAATGATACTGCATGTGTTCCAGTTAATGAACATTTTTGTTGTAATAATACGAAGAGTGATTGAAATCTAAAAACATTTGAGATTTTAAAATAGTTTTAACCTTATAACTACAGGATTGTGATTTAAGTAGCATGCCTACTTAATTAGGCAGCAATTAAAATTATTGCTAAGAATTAAATTACCAAGAAGACGTGGTCTAGTATGTATTGCCTGGGCTGTGGTTTGAATTACTTTTGATTAAGTATAATCACATTTTTTGAGAGTATAAAAACAGAGGATATTACTTGCTTCTAATTCACAGATGTGTTTATGAACCATTGGCAATTAAAGCATTTGCAATTGAGGCCCTAAGAAAATTTTAGGTTAAAATAACATGTTGAGTTATGCCTTATAACTCAGTATATGCTTATACTTTATATGCTTTACGGAGTTTTGAATATATAATATATATGTATAATAGTATATTTTTCCAGGAAATATATAACTTGTAGTTCCTTAACTTATTTTGTAACTAAATCCCGTGGAAAAAAGTTTATTGAATGTCATTGCTTCTCAGGCAAATGTAGAGTTAGGAAAATGATATATATACATATTGGGAATCTTTTAGAAGGCTTGGACTTGGTAGCTCAAATCTTCTGCAACCTTGAGCTTCAACTTTCTGGCCGGTTCAAGAGATCTCTTCACTGTCCTTTTCATGTAAAGTCAATGTTTATGGAACACTAGACCAAAATGGAAGGATTCCTTTGGAAACTGAACAAACAGTTGAATTAGTCTTTGACTTGATGGAGTGATTTGATCTAAAATATTACCTATCAGTTTTAGATATCTGTTCAATCAGAGCTGCCTCCATATATGCAAATGATAATTTGTCTTGGATTTTTAGATATCTTAGCCCTCAGACAAGCTAATAGAGTTTAAATTGAACCTGGTGTTTTAGGGACAGTTGAATTGTTGGGTTGCCCAGGAAAACAGTCACATTTTTCTATAAGTATGTGTTTATTTGGCTGGAATGTGGGTGAGGAAGAAGTTATATGTGAATTAAAAGAAACATTGTCTCAATGTCACATGTTAAATTAAATTAAATTACAGGCAGAACTAAGCGAGTTTACGATTGCTGCCGCTGGGAGCAGAGATTATTTTCAGCTTACATTTATAACAGAAGGAGGGATTTAAAATATAGTATTATGCCTACCCTGATACAGCTAACCTCCTCCACCCGCCCCTCCACACACATACAGCTACATGCTTACCCTCGAACTATGAAAGAAGGGTGTCTCTCAGACATCCTATATTTAACCCAGCTTTGGACAGGTCCCTGGAGTCTAGTCTTTTTGAACACAGCAGTGAAGATAAGGAATGGGGAGGGGGCTTTGATTTCAAGACCACTAGATATAGTAGATTCCTAATTTAATTTCAAAGACAAATCAATTATTAACACAAATACAAAGAGAACAGTATTTTAAGCAAAGCTTCTGTTGTGGCAGATAACCTTTTAAGGTGTCTCCCAGTTGGGTTTCTATTTTAGATGACTTTTTGAAGAATATATCTCTGTAATAGAAATATGTTTGATGATTCTCATCTTTAAGAACTGCACATTTGCCATAATTAAGATATTTATGAATTTATTGTAAGAAGATTGGTAGAAAAAGTAATGCAACATCAAATGGGAAAATAAATATATAATATTATATAGCTGTTCAAATATAGGGTTTATGATTCTTGTGCTAATTTGAACTGCTGTACAACACCAGGATAAAAGTCCACAGCTGTGTTAAGAAAGCTCTCATAAGCTTATGAAATTTTATAGCACAGGCTGTCACAGAACCTACAATTTACAAACATTTGTAAAAGTTAGGAAAGTTTTGGGTTCCTCAATAGAAAATGATGTTGCTTAGCTTTAAGAAAGTAACTAATTTATCTCTTTTCATTCTTGTCCACTAACAAAGGAACCCAAATGGTCTTTTAAAATTATAATAAAACTAAGCTAGTAAAATATCACATAGATTTTGAGATACTGTGAATAACCATAGAAAATAACAATTTGTTATTCTTCATATATAAAAATAAGCTTAACACGCTTATCAATACATCTTGAACTATAAGAGATTTATTTCAGCAGTGTTGCCAAAGGGCAAGCAAAGCCTGCTGCCCATAGAAAACTTTGAATTCCCTAAGCTCAGGGCTCCTCACTTGTCATGTAA
Source organism: Homo sapiens (assembly GCF_000001405.40). Lineage (NCBI taxonomy): Eukaryota > Metazoa > Chordata > Mammalia > Primates > Hominidae > Homo > Homo sapiens. The sequence continues at coordinate 42,122,042 of NC_000009.12, read as the reverse complement.
CCCACTGCGTGTGCACACATCCATCTGTGCCCATCCATATTCCCCCAGAGGACTTGGAGGCAAGGAAATTGATGCAAATATGCTGATGCTCATACTGTTTGCTATGCTGTAAGTAATACAGTCCTTTGCTTTGACCCAGGAGTCTTCTGCCGCAACCATGAAACAAACTGGCAGACTCATTTGTTAGCTTGCAAGTAGGTTAAAATCTCTCCTCACGGTTCTTCACAGTGTACTTGTCTGTGCAATGGTCATCTTCTTCATGAATATAATTATAACATGATATAAGAAATAGTGAGCTCTTACCTATAGATAAGCAAACATTGCAATATAAAAATAGCATATGTCATTTCATAAATCACAGTTGACACATTCTAGAGAAGAGATTGGGCAGCTTTCCTTTTTTGGATGTCACAGTTGATTCTACTGTCCTCATTTCTTCTTTTTTCTGGGATATGAGGAAGAATTGCTGTGACAAAGCTCATCTCCTGGGTGGCCGGGGTTGATTGTCAATTTGTTTTGTTTTGGCAGGCTAGGCAGATGTCCTCTACCTCCTTCTTTATGCCATGTGACATTCATCCCTTTGATTTTCCTATTGCATTTTATTTAGTATTTTAGAATACTGCCCACATTCCATTCTGGAAAGTCCACTGTCCCAGCCAGAGTTTTCTTAGAAAGCTGAGCCTGTGATGGGCGTTTGTGCAGGTAGCCTCTTTTAGAAAGTGAGCTCATAAAAGAGGGAAGAATGGAATAGAGAAGAAAAATCCACCAAAAGGGGGTGTCATTGAGCTGGTCACTTCTGTGAGCAACTGGGGCGTGAACTCCCTGGGAAGCTCTCAGGAAGCCGGTAGAATGTGTTTCACAGCTGTGCCTCTGAGAGACAGCAGGGGGAATGCATTTATCCTGAGTCCTGTCCAGGGATTCAGCACTGCCCTTGGGGTGCTAACTCCTGGCTCTAAGGAGAGGAATATGAACGAATGGGTTGCGACTGGGTTTCTGCAGGCATCGCAGAGGCCAAGAGACAAAGAGAGAACTCGAACACTGAACTTTTTAATTTTTTATTATTTTATTATTATTATACTTTAAGTTACAGGGTACATGTGCACAACGTGCAGGTTTGTTGCATATGTATACATGTGCCATGTTGGTGTGCTGCACCCATTAACTTGTCATTTACATTAGGTATATCTCCTAATGCTATCCCTCCCCCCTCCCCCCACCCCGCGACAGTCCCCGTTGTGTAGTGTTCCCCTTCCTGTGTCCATGTGTTCTCGCTGTTCAGTTCCCACCTATGAGTGAGAACATGCGGTGTTTGGTTTTTTGTCCTTGCAATAGTTTGCTGAGAATGATGGTTTCCAGCTTCACCCATGTCCCTACAAAGGACATGAACTCATCATTTTTTATGGCTGCATAGTATTCCATGGTGTATATGTGCCACATTTTCTTAATCCAGTCTATCATTGATTGACATTTGGGTTGGTTCCAAGTCTTGCTATTGTGAATAGTCCCGCAATAAACATACGTGTGCATGTGTCTTTATAGCAGCATGATTTATAATCCTTTGGGTATATACCCAGTAATGGGATGGCTGGGTCAAATGGTATTTCTAGTTCTAGATCCCTGAGGAATTGCCACACTGACTTCCACAATGGTTGAACTAGTTTACAGTCCCACCAACAGTGTAAAAGTGTTCCTATTTCTCCACATCCTCTCCAGCACCTGTTGTTTCCTGACTTTTTAATGATCGTCATTCTAACTGGGGTGAGATGGTATCTCATTGTGGTTTTTGATTTGCATTTGATTGCCAGTGGTGATGAGCATTTTTTCGTGTGTTTTTTGGCTGCATAAATGTCTTCTTTAGAGAAGTGTCTGTTCATATCCTTTGCTCACTTTTTGATGGGATTGTTGTTTTTTCTCTTGTAAATTTGTTTGAGTTCATTGTAGATTCTGGATATTAGCCCTTTGTCAGATGAGTAGGTTGCAAAAATTTCCTTCCATTCTGTAGGTTGCCTGTTCACTCTGATGGTAGTTTCTTTTGCTCTGTAGAAGCTCTTTAGTTTAATTAGATCCCATTTGTCAATTTTGGCTTTTGTTGCCATTGCTTTTGGTGTTTTAGACATGAAGTCCTTGCCCATGACTGTGTCCTGAATGGTATTGCCTAGGTTTTCTTCTAGGGTTTTTATGGTTTTAGGTCTAACATTTAAGTCTTTAATCCATCTTGAATTAATTTTTGTATAAGGTGTAAGGAAGGGATCCAGTTTCAGCTTTCTACTTATGGCTAGCCAGTTTTCCCAGCACCATTTATTAAATAGGGAATCCTTTCCCCATTGCTTATTTTTGTCAGGTTTCTCAAAGATCAGATAGTTGTAGATATGTGGCATTATTTCTGAGGGCTCTGTTCTGTTTTTCTATATCTCTGTTTTGGTACCAGTGCCATGCTGTTTTGGTTACTGTAGCCTTGTAGTATAGTTTGAAGTCAGGTAGTGTGATGCCTCCAGCTTTGTTCTTTTGGCTTAGGATTGACTTGGCAATGCGGGCTCTTTTTTGGTTCCATATGAACTTTAAAGTAGTTTTTTCCAATTCTGTGAAGAAAGTCATTGGTAGCTTGATGGGGATGGCATTGAATCTATAAATTACCTTGGGCAGTATGGCCATTTTCATGATACTGATTCTTCCTACCCATGAGCATGGAATGTTCTTCCATTTGTTTGTATCCTCTTTTATTTCATTGAGCAGTGGTTTGTAGTTCTCCTTGAAGAGTTCCTTCACATCCCTTGTAAGTTGGATTCCTAGGTATTTTATCCTCTTTGAAGCAATTGTGAATGGGAGTTCACTCATGATTTGGCTCTCTGTTTGTCTGTTATTGGTGTATAAGAATGCTTGTGATTTTTGCACATTGATTTTGTATCAAATCAAGATACAAAATCTTGATTTTGTATCAAATCAAGATACAAAATCTTGATTTTGTATCAAATCAAGATACAAAATCTTGATTTTGTATCAAATCAAGATACAAAATCTTGATTTTGTATCAAATCAAGATACAAAATCTTGATTTTGTATCAAATCAAGATACAAAATCTTGATTTTGTATCAAATCAAGATACAAAATCTTGATTTTGTATCAAATCAAGATACAAAATCTTGATTTTGTATCAAATCAAGATACAAAATCTTGATTTTGTATCAAATCAAGATACAAAATCTTGATTTTGAGACTTTGCTGAAGTTGCTTATCAGCTTAAGGAGATTTTGGGCTGAGACGATGGGGTTTTCTAAATACACAATCATGTCATCTGCAAACAGGGACAATTTGACTTCCTCTTTTCCTAATTGAATGCCCTTTATTTCCTTCTCCTGCCTGATTGCCCTGACCAGAACTTCCAACACTATGTTGAATAGGAGTGGTGAGAGAGGGCATCCTGTCTTGTGCCAGTTTTCAAAGGGAATGCTTCCAGTTTTTGTCCATTCAGTATGATATTGGCTGTGGGTTTGTCATAGATAGCTCTTATTATTTTGAGATAGGTGCCATCAATACCTAATTTGTTGAGAGTTTTTAGCATGAAGCGTCTTTGAATTTTGTCAAAGGCCTTTTCTGCATCTATTGAGATAATCATGAGGTTTTTGTCATTGGTTCTGTTTATATGCTGGATTACATTTATTGATTTTCGTATGTTGAACCAGCCTTGCGTCCCAGGGCTGAAGCCCGCTTGATCATGGTGGATAAGCTTTTTGATGTGTTGCTGTATTCAGTTTGCCAGTATTTTATTGAGGATTTTTGCATCAATGTTCATCAAGGATATTGGTCTAAAATTCTCTTTTTTGTTTGTGTCTCTGCCAGGCTTTGGTATCAGGATGATGCTGGCCTCATAAAATGAGTTAGGAAGGATTCCCTCTTTTTCTGTTGATTGGAATAGTTTCAGAAGGAATGGTACCAGTTCCTCCTTGTACCTCTGGTAGAATTGGGCTGTGAATCCATCTGGTCCTGGACTTTTTTTGGTTGTTAAGCTATTACTTATTGCCTCAATTTCAGAGCCTGTTATTGGTCTATTCAGAGATTCAACTTTTTCCTGGTTTAGTCTTGGGAGGATGTATGTGTCGAGGAATTTATCCATTTCTTCTAGATTTTCTAGTTTATTTGTGTAGAGGTGTTATAGTATTCTCTGATGGTAGTTTGTATTTCTGTGGGATCGGTGGTGATATCCCCTTTGTCATTTTTTATTGTTTCTATTTGATTCTTCTCTCTTTTCTTCTTTATTAGTCTTGCTAGTGGTCTATCAATTTTGTTGATCTTTCCAAAAAACCAGCTCTTGGATTCATTGATTTTTTGAAGGGTTTTTTTGTGTCTCTATTTCCTTCAGTTCTGCTCTGATCTTAGTTATTTCTTGCCTTCTGCTAGCTTTTGAATGTGTTTGCTCTTGCTTCTCTGGTTCTTTTAATTGTGATGTTAGGGTGTCAATTTTAGATCTTTCCTGCTTTCTTTTGTGGGCATTTAGTGCTATAAATTTCCCTCTCCACACTGCTTTAAATGTGTCCCAGAGATTCTGGTATGTTGTGTGTTTGTTCTCATTGGTTTCAAAGAACATCTTTATTTCTGCCTTCATTTTGTTATGTACCCAGTAGTCATTCAGGAGCAGGTTGTTCAGTTTCCATGTAGTCGAGCAGTTTTGAGTGAGTTTCTTAATCCTGAGTTCTAGTTTGATTGCACTGTGGTCTGAGAGACAGTTTGTTATAATTTCTGTTCTTTTACGTTTGCCGAGGAGTGCTTTACTTCCAACTATGTGGTCAATTTTGGAGTAAGTGTGATGTGGTGCTGAGAAGAATATATATTCTATTGATTTGGGGTGGAGAGTTCTGTAGATGTCTATTAGGTCTGCTTGGTGCAGAGCTGAGTTCAATTCCTGGATATCCTTTTTAACTTTCTGTCTTGTTGATCTGTCTAATGTTGACAGTGGTGTGTTAAAATCTCCCATTATTATTGTGTGGAAGTCTAAGTCTGTTTGTACACCTCTAAGGACTTGCTTTATGAGTCTGGGTGCTCCTGTACTGGGTGCATATATATTTAGGATATTTAACTCTTCTTGTTGAATTGATCCCTTTACAATTATGTAATGGCCTTCTTTGTCTCTTTTGATCTTTGTTGGTTTAAAGTCTGTTTTATCAGAGACTAGGATTCCAACCCCTGCTTTTTTTTTGTTTTCCCTTTGCTTGGCAGACCTTCCTCCATACCTTTATTTTGAGCCTATGTGTGTCTCTGCACGTGAGCAGGGTCTGCTGAATACAGCACACTGATGGGTCTTGACTCTTTATCCAATTTGCCACTCTGTGTCTTTTAATTGGAGGATTTAGCCTATTTACATTTAAGGTTAATATTGTTATGTGTGAATTTGATCCTGTCATTATGATGTTAACTGGTTATTTTGCTCATTAGTTGATGCAGTTTCTTCCTAGCCTTGATGGTCTTTACAATTTGGCATGTTTTTGCAGTGGCTGGTACTGGTTGTTCCTTTCCATGTTTAGTGCTTCCTTCAGGAGCTCTTGTAAGGCAGGCCTGGTGGTGACAGAATCTCTCAGCATTTGCTTGTCTGTAAAGGATTTTATTTCTCCTTCAGTTATGAAGCTTAGTTTGGCTGGATATGAAATTCTGGGTTGAAAATTCTTTTCTTTAAGAATGTTGAATATTGGCCCCCACTCTCTTCTGGCTTGTAGAGTTTCTGCCGAGAGATCCGCTGTTAGTCTGATGGGCTTCCCTTTGTGAGTAACCCGACCTTTCTCTCTGGCTGCCCTTAATATTTTTTCCTTCATTTCAAGTTTGGTGAATCTTTTCACAGTCACATATTTCTTGGAGGCTTTGTTCATTTCTTTTTACTCTTTTTTCTCTAAACTTCTTTTCTCGCTTCATTTCATTCATTTGATCCTCAATCACTGATACCCTTTCTTCCAGTTGATCGGATTGGCTACTGAAGCTTGTGCATGCGTCATGTAGTTCTAGTGCCATGGTTTTCAGCTCCATCTGGTCATTTAAGGTCTTCTCTACGCTGTTTATTCTAGTTAGCCATTCGTCTAATCCTTTTTCAAGGTTTTTAGCTTCTTTGCGACGGGTTCGAACATCCTCCTTTAGCTCGGAGAAGTTTGTTATTACCGATCATCTGAAACCTTCTTCTCTCAACTCGTCAAAGTCATTCTCCATCCAGCTTTGTTCCGTTGCTGGCGAGGCGTTGTGTTCCTTTGGAGGAGAAGAGGTGCTCTGATTTTTAGAATTTTCAGCTTTTCTGCTCTGGTTTCTCCCCATCTTTGTGGTTTTATGTACCTTTGGTCTTTGATGGTGGTGACGTACAGATGGGGTTTTGTGTGGTTGTCCTTTCTGTTTGTTAGTTTTCCTTCTAAGAGTCAGGACCCTCAGCTGCAGGTCTGTTGGAGTTTGCTGGAGGTCCAGTCCAGACCCTGTTTGCCTGGGTATCACCAGCAGAGGCTGCAGAACAGCAAATATTGCAGAATGGCAAATGTTGCTGTCTGATCCTTCCTCTGGAAGCTTCGTCTCAGAGGGGCACCTGGCTGTATGCGGTGTCAGTCAGCCCCTACTGGGAGTTGTCTCCCAGTTAGGCTACGCAGGGGTCAGGGACCCACTTAAGGAGGCAGTCTTTCCATTCTCAGATCTCAAACTCCATGCTGGGAGAACCACTACTGTCACCAAAGCTCAGTCGGAAATTCAGAAATCACCTGTCTTCTGCGTCGTTCATGCTGGGAGCTGTAGACTGGAGCTGTTCCTATTCGACCATCTTGGATCCGGACCTGTCTATTTTCTTAGCCTTATGAGCTTTGTCAAAAGAGTGCAGCTTCTTCTGTTTTTTCTTATGAGTATACAAAAAATCTCTTTGATTGCATTTAGCAATGTTTGAAAGTCTTAATGTGTTCTGGGCTTTAACTCACTTTGCTTTATATTGCCTCCTTTTAATGTTCCTTTTCATTGTAAGTATTTCTTTTTTTTTTCCGATATGGAGTCTTGCTCTGTCACCTAGGCTGGAGAGCAGTGGCACAATCTTGGCTCACTGCAACCTCCACCTCCCGGGTTCCAGTGATTCTCCTGCCTCAGCCTCCCGAGTAGCTGGGATTGCAAGTTCCCGCTACCATGCCCAGCTAATTTTTGTATTTTTACTAAAGATGGAGTTTCACCATGTTGGCCAGGCTCGTCTCAAACTCCTGACCTTGTGATCCACCCATCTTGACCACTGCGCCCAGTCTCACTGTAAATATTCTTTCCTTGGTTACTTTGCCCATTTCTCTCTTCTTCAGTGGAACATGTTTTTTCTGGGTTTCATTTGGGTAGCTTTTCACATTTGATGAACGATGTTGTCCTCAATCATAACAACAGTGTCTCTTTGTATAGTGGTTGCTCGGAGGTCTACAAGGTAGTATTATGTAACATTTCCCATTGTGTTCTAAATACTCTTATCTTTTTAAGTTAAAAAATTGAAGTCAAAGCTGCCTCTAAAGTCACACACATAGCTTGAAATAATAGAGTTGAAATTTGGACATAAAACATATTGCCATGGGATAATGCCTGTTGTTTTCCTAAAGTTTTAAAATTATCTTTTTGACATCTCAAATAAACATTTGTCTATTGACAGGGCTCCTTCCTTGGGCACAATAAATTCTAAGATGTTCTGGTTATTATTTTCTCAAGGATTCTGACACTGCCATCTTACTAATCATATTAGAGCCAAGTACGGAGTAGTGAACAAGTTCTGATAATTTGCAGGTTTATTACTTTGGGCTGAAAAAAATCTAGCTGATGTCATTGGTCTTGTTGGGATCTGTCTTCAGAATGCAATTGGAGTGCATCTCTTAACCCTTACTTAAGTATCACTGAAGTTCTCTTTCTTCAGCTCCCAGATGCTCCATAGCCTGCTCTGGCCTGTGAGGTCATGAGGTCCCTTTAAGATGTTATAAGTTGAACACAGTCTTCTTTCCATCCCTCTGTAACATGTCTTGGGAAGAAGCCATATCCTTCTCATACCTTATATTCTCATTCAGACCCTAATTCTGTCAACTCTCAGAGGTGCATAGAAAGAATTATTATTATTTTTAATTTTTTTAGTTTTTAATTTTGTGGTTGCATAGTAGGTGTATATATCGATGGTCTACATGAGATGTTTTGATACAGGCATGCAATGTGAAATAAGTGCATCAAGAAAAATGGAGTATCCATCCCCTCAAGCAATTATCCTTCGAGTTGCAAACAATCCAATTACACTCTTTAAGTTATTTAAAAATGTACAATTAAGTAATTATTGACTATAGTCACCTCTTGTGTTATCAAATACTAGGTGTTATTCATTTTTTCTATTTTTTTGTACCCGTGGAAAGATCATTTATTGCCCTTTATTAACAGTTCATCTTTATCACTTATATTCCCACAGCTGTGGATACATTTGTAATAACAATTATTAGTGATGACATCGCCACATGATTTTCTTTTTAAATTATATGCACCTGTGTTGTTGTATTTTTTTCTGTGTCGTGTCTGATGTCTTTCTGCACGACTTAATTTTGTTATTTGGTTTCCTCTCTTTCTACTTAGCAGTAAGTCTCAAAAAAATAGGTTCGTCTTATTCTCGTATTATATACTTTAGCCAAAAATCTATAGTTTAAAAATAGGTATTGAATTTATCACAGAAGTATAATTTAACTACATAGCAAGAAATTTAGAAATAAAAGGAAAGAGAACAAGATCATCTATCCAGCTTCCTCAGGGAAAAGGAGCTGATCTATGTTGAATCCCTTCTGTGTTTCTAGAGCTGTGTTTGTTGGATTTAACACCCATTATCTCATCTCAATCCAGCAGATCTCTTTGTCCATTATCTTCTCATATGCAGATTTTCCCATCCCATCTCCTTCATCTCTCCACATGTTTAAATAGTTCTTATATTTATTGTTGTAATGACTGTAGAGTAGATCGTCAAACTAAGATGCTTAAATTTATGTAAACTTGACCGGGCATGGTGGCTCACGCCTGTAATCCCAGCACTTTGGGAGGTTGAGGCAGGTGGATCACGAGATCAGGAGATCGATACTATCTTGGCTAACATGGTGAAACCCCGTGTCTACTAAAAATACAAAAAAAATTTAGCCTGGGCGACAGGGCGAGGCTCCGTCTCAAAAAAAAAAAAAAAAAAACTCTGTAAACTTTCCTCTAGGTCTTCATTTGTGTTGTGTCTTTTGTAGTTCTCATAGAATAAAGTCCTTGGTCCTGGTATGTTAAAATTGGTATACTGTTGTTATAACTTTATATTTGTAGTGCTGTAAGTCATTTGAAAACACCAATGTCAGGAGGTATTCAATGTTCCTATGCTAGGTTTTCTTTAACAAGTCAAAATGTCATCTGGAAGGAGAGACAACGTGTAACCCCTATCTCCTACCCCCTGTAAATTCTAATTTATAGAATTTAAACCTGTTTCTATGTGTCTTCTTCCAAGCCTCATCTGTTCCCACAGGTAGACTCTAGGAATTGTCTGTCATGTCCCGGGAACCAGACACTCATCAGCTGGTCATGCCAGTCTCTCTTCCTCACCCCAGAATCATCAGTCAGCAGGCAAGGCTCCTTTCTCAGGAGTGAGGTTCTCCTGTTCCCTCTCATCCCCATCTGCCGCCGCACATGGCTGCTGTGTGGCTCCCTGTGAGTGAGGTGCTGCTCCTTCTCCAGAGGTGTAATTCATTTTCCATGAGACAGACCTCAGTATTTCAGAAGAGTAAGCCTTACTGGGGCCTTCACACATGTGAGAAGACTTCAGAGCAGAGACAAAACTTGAGTTGAGCCCTGAAGATAATAAGTGATGGGAACTCGCAGACAGCAGGGGCTGCAATGTCATCGGGTGAGCGGTCAAGGAGCATTGGTGCATGCATCCCACATTCAGGAAACAGTGAGAAGACCACTCCAATTAAAGGAGGAAGCGCATCTGAGAAATGTGTAGGGGATTCGGCTGTAGTGCAGAGAGTAACGGGGAACAGGTGATGGAAGGAATTGAATGCCAGGACCTGAAATTTGAATTTCAGGACAGGTGCAGTGGGGATCCATTGGAGCTCGTTGATATGGCTGTTTGTGTGACTTGCACTCAGCAATAGTTTAAAACCGTTTCTGCTCTGGTGATATGTAAGGTGTGTGTGTGGCTGGGGACAGTCAATAAGGAAACATTGGCTGTAAGGATTAGTTAGGTCGTTAACATGAGGACCTACAGTGAGATGATGATCATGATAATGGAAAAGCTGCCATATACACACAAAAAGTACATAATCCTTGGCAATTTATTGGCTGTAGAGGGAAGATAAGGGTGGGGGCTCAGGACAGTGTACTTATTGAGTATTTTTCAGTTTCAGGTGACCAAAATCTAAGATCAAATAGGCTTGAACAATAAAGGGAACCAAAGTGTCTTGATTGAAGCCAGGCTGAATTTAGGCAATCAGATTCTTTCATCAGCAGTCTGCCTCTTTCCTTCTTGCAGTTTTATTTTCATCTACAACTGGCCTCATTCTTGGGCAGCTCTGTCTATGCCTTAGCTTCAGGCATACCGTTTACCAGCTTAGGAGCGTGACTATTTTCCTTTATTTCTGTTCTTAGCAATGTTGAGTTCTACAGATACTATGCCTTTATTTGTTTATTCTACTCAGTAGGATAAGCTTCACAGGAGCAGAGACTTTTTCTGTTGTTTATGGTTATATCCCCAGAACATAGGGGCACACCTGGCACAGTATAGATTTTCAACAAATATTTGTTGAATGAATGAATGGGTATTTCTCCCAAGAGTTCAAGCCGAAAGTCCCAAGTTCTGCTGTTATTCATTCGAAAGTCCCAGGTTCTGTTCCCATTCATTCAGCGTGGGCTTCCTGACCATCCTGGAACCAGTCCTTTCCAGTAGGACAGGCATGACATTCAGTTGCCAGGCCTGAGGCTTGTCCCTGTGCTGGCCCCAGGTGGTAGGGTGAGCCCCCTTCAGACCCCATGGAGTGAGATGTAGGGAAGACAGTGACTGAAGATAATCGAATGGAGATCAAGACCATGTAAAACAGAAGTTTTTATATGGAAAACAGTAGATTTTTACATTGACCATCACTGCTTATGTTCACTGTGAGTAAAATGTACTTTTTCCGAAGCATTCCCTCTAGATAGCAATGCACAGATCAATTCAGATTCATAATAAGATGAACTTTTGGTACCTTCTAAATAAAAGCATTATTTAACCTCTCATTAAGATAATGTTAAGGTACATTAAGAACTGAAAAGACAGGTGATGAAATGGGAAGAATGGAATAGCGCCGTATCCAGATGAACATCCAGACGTGGCCTGAAGAAGGTATGGGCACCCCCTTCCCTGTTTGTGATTCGATTCCCGAGGCCGTGCTCCCTGCTGACTCAATATGTGGAACCAGAGAGAAGCCTGCTGTGGAGTTAGTGAATTTGACCTAATCGAGACAGTCTGAGAAAGGACAGGAATCTTTTTTTTTCTTTTTTTTTTTTTTAGAACAAAGAGGTTTTCTGTACATCTGTGATAACACAGTAACCATCTGTTGAACTCTTTAATAATAGGCTTTGTGTTTTTCTGATAATTCGAAGCTGGTTAAGGTGCCGTCCCCTCATATTAGCAGTTCGGTGGCCCCTTCCCCTCTCCTTCCATCCTTAGGTTCCGCCGACACAGTGCTTAGCTCCTTTCACAGTGAGGAGCAAGTGCAGCCGCAAGCATGGGGAGAGCCACAGCCTGGCAGAGTGGCTTAGCATCACGAAGCCCTTCTCAGAAGGAATTGAGTATCTGTGCGATTCAAAGGGATGTTAAACGTATTTTCAGTGGAACTCTCCTGCATTTGCCCTAAAATATCCAATATGTAATTCCATATAAAGTGTGTTCATTTCCTATGGCCCTTGTGAGAAATGACCATAAACTGGCAGACTTAAAGCAAAAGAATTTATTCTGTCATAGTCTGGAGACCAGAAGTTCCGCATCAGTATCCCTAGTCCAAAATCAAGATGGGCCACACTCCCTACGAAGGCTCTAGGGGGACATGCATTCTTCGTTTCTTCCGGCTTCCTGTGGTTGCCCGTGTGCCTCACCTTGTGGGTGCCTCACTCCATTTTCACACCCTCTTCTCTTTTGTATGGGGCTCTGTTCATCATCACCTTTATCTCTCTTACAAGGGCAGTTCTGATGGTATTTAAGACCCAGCCAGATAATTCAAGATAATTTCCTCGTCTCAGGGTCTTTGATCACATCTGGAGAACCTTACCTTCTGAAGTAACCTTCACAGGGTCCCGGGATTGGGGCATAGACATATCTTTGGGAGCCACTGTCAGCCTGTCCTAACACATGTAAGATTCATCTCTGATAAAGGCATTCAGCCACAAGTGCAGTGTGGTTTGGTCTTTTAATAAAATCCTTTAAGTAATACTGTAATGAATTCGGAGCTCCATCTGGAGATGCCAGGAGGTGTCCTCATTTGAATGTAAAGCTCCTCCCCAAAGGATCAGTTGTCGCCCCTCCTTTTGGCTTTTCCCATTTCCTCTGCAGATACGGACAAAATCTGTCCATGTATTATCCATGCATTCTTTTTTTTTTTCATTCTTATTATCAGATCCCAGAATAATGAATTGCTGTTTGAAAATGCATGGTTTATGTTTATCTTTTCCAGAAGCACTTTTATACGCATCTCTCCCTAGTAGTGTTTGCTCTTTCAGAGGCTGGTTTTGTTCCTAAGCAATTAAGATGCTTCCCTGTGTTTTGGAATAAATAGTAGTATCTAAATATTTTGCTCTTCTGTTTATTTCCTATAACAGATATTTACACATCTCCCTCCCATGTTAGATTCTGGACTTCTTGAACCTAGAACCATGTCTCTCTTTATGCCCCATAATGCTTTGAACATGGTAGGTGCTCAATACACTTTTATTAAATAAGTGCAAGAATTAACATACTCAAATGAAATGCTGTTTTGAAAAGTATATCATCTCTGTCTTAGGTAAGGGCAATTCCTCAAATTGATTTTTTAATCATTTCATATTCATGTGGTAAAAATTGTCATAAACTAGCACATCTGTGAATGCAATGTTGATTTGTATACAGGAAGCCCTTAGGCTAATTTTAATCTTCTGCTGTCTTTCATGAACATAATACTAAGAAATGGTTTCTGTCCCAAACCGTTCATAGGCACCATGCTGGGAATCACAAAGCATGCTGGGAATACTTGTCAAGGAGAAGTGGGAAGCTAAGAGTGATGCCAGGCAGGGGTCAGGGGACAAATCAAGACCATAGAGTGGGGAGAGAGGAACCTAGGCAGAGCTAATCACCGAGACTAAATCAACAAGCCTAAGGAAGTGCAGCAAGCCAAAAACCCTCTGGTCTAGCGTGCATCTTCAAAGTTGTCACTTGAGGTGGCTGCATGGAAGGTGGCAGGTGGGATCCTCTATGGGTTTATCTCTACTTCTCTCTCAACCGTTGTTGAGCCTTCAGCTAAGTCACCAACCCATACTGTGTTTATTCTCTGCATTTTCCAAATGCTTCTCTTCTTCAAACCTGCAAGTTTTAATATGAATCCAGCTGTTACCCAGTTCAGCACAGGTGATTTTTAAGGAAGTCCACCATTTTTGAACAGATATAAAACAACCCTGAATAAAACATTTTATATCATTTTCAACCATGATCTTCTAGGAGAACAATAATATAAAATATACCTATGTAGCAATGAATCTCTGCCTTTAGATGGTGAGAATAAATGTGAAATAATCAATACTTGTAACATTAAGACCCTAGAACCCTCTATATTGAGCCAAGCACATGGAAATATAGTGAATCTTAACCAGATTTCCAAATAAGCTGAGGAAGAGGGAGATCCAGCCCCTGTAACACTTGTGGGGTGCCCACTGTGTTTTCCCCTCTGACTCAGTAGTGTACAATTCTTTCTAGAAAGAAAGTGTTCACAGAATTCAAAATGATAGGGAAAAAACAATAAACTTAGGTACCAGATATGTTCTTATGTTCTTTTATTTTATAAAATTTAGTGCCTTTCTTTCTTTCTTTTTTTTTTTTTTAAGACGGAGTCTTTCTCTGTCGCCCAGCCTAGAGTGTACTGGCACCATCTGGGCTCACTGCAACCTCCTCCTCCCAGGTTCAAGCGATTCTCCTGCTTCAGCCTCCTGGGAAGCTGGGACTATGGGCACGTGCCACCATGCCCAGCTAATTTTTTGTATTTTTAGTAGAGACGGGGTTTCACCGTATTAGCCAGGATGGTCTCGATCTCCTGACCTTGTGATCCACCCGCCTTGGTCTCCCAAAGTGTTGGGATTACAGGTGTGAGCCACCGCGCCCGAATTTATTGCCTTTCTGAAGGGCAAGATTTATTCAAGCCTGTGCCAGAAATTTTCTTCATTACAAGGTGACTCTTTGGCAGACAGATGCTATTGACTCTTGAATTTTCCAAAGGCGAAATGGAAAATTTCAGCAATTTTGTTTCCAGCTGTCTTTACAGATTTATATTTGGACCTTAATCCTATTGGAAATCATCTGAAACTCGTGAAACACACAATTGGAAAGTTAATTAGGGAGAAACCAAGGGAAAGAATAACTATTATCTATTACACCTATTTAGAACCTTCTCTTGAGATCTGGTTATTATTTTTATTAGAGATGTGAATCTGATACCTGTAGGCCTCTTGTGTTTGAACTTTAATAAATTGTACTCTGCTAACTTAGGAAGACTAAGTTTAATTAAGTGTATTGGTTAATGATAATTCTCTTTTACGTATTTAGTAAATATTCAGTTGAAGTTTATTGAGCATGTGCTATCTTTCAGATTCTGCGCTAGGTATAGAGCACATGAAGTTGGGAAAGACTTTTATTGTGCCTTCAAGAGCTCATGATTCCACAGAGAGAGTTAGACATGTCAGCCAGGAATCCCAGGGACACGTGAAATGCCCAGTGCTGTTTCATGTATCGCATGATACTGCAGGAATCCAGGGACACGTGAAACGCCCAGTGCTGTTTTATGTGTTGCATGATACTGCAGGACAGAGGCATCATGAGAACAGCTATCATGCTTTTCTAATGTAGGAAGAGATTTTATCCAAAAAATGTCAATGCTACTTTAGATGTTCTTGGATTTGTTTTATTCTTTCCCAGAAAATAGAGAGAAAATAACATCAGGCAGACAGGCTTAGGAGGCACTATTCCCTGGATGATGTCCTTCCTTCTTGGATCCTGCTGTGACCACTCGTGGGCCATGTGGGACTTGTCTATAGATGGAGCAGAGCCTTAGTTGCCTTCTTGTACTTTAGCTTCTTCACAGTTTTAAAATGCCTTTTTAGAAAATGTAAGTAAAGTTCGTAGCCAGTTGGATTCGTATTTATCTATTTTTCTTAGCCCACTCTGTAGCATATTTGCTGACATCTGGGAATCCCGACTGCACAGTGTTATCCAGAGAGCATGTGTGCTGGGGAAATCAAGAAAGCCTCTCTTGTGGCATAAACATTGAGGGGGACATTTAAGGAAAGTGTAGAGAAAGCAAACCTTTCTTAACAGCTCTGCACATTTCAATGGCTTCTTGCTGTGTAAAAATATTGGGTGCTCTTCATGCTAAAGATGTTAAATGCAATTTCTTAGCTAGATTATGCTGCTCTTTGTATGTAAAAAAATCACAAATTCCAGTGTCTGACTCACCTGTATAAATGTGACATTGTCACTTATGGGGAATATATAGAAAAATGTTCCTATATCAAATACTCTGAATGTTTTACCAAGCAATGAGATACTGTTCTCCCTATTGTAGAATAGATGCTTCACAATGAGTTACTGAGTTTTTCTTTTGTCATGTCTTAAAGACATGTCACTGTCTTAATGGTAATGCATGCTTTTAGAAAAGCAGATATAATTCCAGTATTTCTTTATGAAATGATATTCACTCAGGCAAATTATGTGCACTGAATTTTCTTTCTGTTGTTGCAGTATCATGTACTCAACCAAACAAATCAGGAGAGACCCTGAATTACCTCTTATCTATCTCACTGAACATAGTTGACATTTTGCTAAGTCGTAGCAATCTAATTAATTCTGGTTGCCTTCTTTCTGTGACTTAACAAGTTGCTCACAAAGAAAAAAAGTGTATCCAAAATATGCAGTTCAGAATCATCTAATGATATATTCAAGGTATAACATTCCTCTTTCACAGACATATCTTAATGTGTGACAGAAAACTTATGTGTAACATTATTAGATCAATAACCATGCTGGAAGAGGTACCCTTTTTATGACAAAATATATGACATGCCTGAAAGTACAGTGATTACAGGATTGGACTGCGGGACTCAGAGGTAACCTCTGGGTTGCTTCTGTTACCCATGGCTACGCATAGGAAAAGAGCTACCCAAGGTGGGAATGGTCCCAGGGGCTCCTCAAGTTTGATGGTGGGGAACACCAGGGGCAAGAAGGCTCTGAGGGTCCTTATGGTCTTAGGACAAATAAGATGATCTGGGTCAAACACTACTTAACCCCCAGCAATTCTTTTAGACCAGAGCTGAAGCAATAGAGAGTCACCCTGAGGTGAGGATGACATGGTGACATGCAGGGGTCCTTGGGTTGGAAAGGCAGAGCAAGTTCCTGCAATGCTCAAGTTATCAGGCAAAAAGGAGGAGCCTCCATCTCCTGTAGGCAAGTAGCCCGCAGTAATTCCCTCTGGAGGGGTCTACAGAGTGGGCTTTTTCCAGTTCATCACTACAGGTGTTGCCTCTCATGGGTCCTGGCTTCACGCAGGTAACTCTGACCTGAACACCTGGTGCATTTCACTTTTCCCATCCCCCACAGGTTCTGTGCTGGGGCACTGTGAGAATTTCTAGCCGCTATTGAGGTTTGGGCACAGAATTCACACTACCTCTGTATGTGTGTACCTAAAGAACCTAAGCATCAAATTGAGTTTAAAGTAGTGTTGGATGGGTGATGTACCCAGACATCTTGCAGAATTGAGAAAATGTGGGACATTAGGGAACTTTGAGGGCTAATGGACCTGTTTTATGTCTTCATTATGGTGGAGGTTACAAGGCAGAATGCATTTGCCAAAATGAATAGAGCTGTACACTTTAAAAACATCAAATAAATTCTCTGGAATTTTACTCTCTGTAAATTATGCTGCAATGTAAATTTTAAAAATTGTAAAGAATTAAAAAAGGAGTGATGATTGCCATACATCCTAGAATATATTCATATATATTTTTGGACTATTATTTCTCCCAAGCTGCAATCTGAGTGTTAACCATATCACGGTATTTTTCCTGGCAGCTGACTGTGATTCCCCACTGGCCTCTGCCTTGCCTAGGTCATCCTTCAGCAGCTCCTCAGAGCTGTCCAGCAGCCACGGCCCGGGGTTTTCAAGGCTTAATCGAAGAGATGGTGAGTCTGCCTTTTTCCTTGTATTGCTCCTTGGTGACTCTCATTGGATTTTCTTTTAACAAAATAATTATAATTGATTAATACTTTGCAGAAGGAAGTAAAATTCAGAATAAGCATATTTGTTCACATTTGAAACTCCAAGAATGTATTTGACAGGAATAAGTTGATCACTTCGGCTTTCTTGTCCTGCTGGGTTTCCCTTGGTATGATCTTTGTGTGCCTTGAACAAGTCACACCTGACTTTGACAGTGTTTGAACTCTTTGTATACCCCTTGCAATATCTGAGTATTATTTATCAAAGACCTTAGATTCTGCCATGTCCTTTTTTTTTTTACCTTGGATTCTTTTGTTCTGCCACAGTATACATTTTGTTGTCCCAGATTATTTAATTATCCCTATTTGGATGAGAAAATTGGCAAAGTAAAGAAACGTTTAAGAAGATTTTTATTATGTTTTAACTACAACTCTTAGTTTATTTCTTATTATGGTGGACTTGATTCTCTCTTTAGCATCCACTGTAGAGAAATAACCATGTAATGGTTTATTCATGCTCCACTGTGACTATTCCATTTATATTTGTAAACATATCTCATGAGGAGTGTGTTTCTTTTACATATGCTTAAGCAGAAGTGTAGAAAATTGAATGTTGTCTTGCTGTGTAAATTAGAGGGAACTTTAAACACCAAATACATTGTGACAAGGAATCATCCTGGCATTTTCTGAGCACAAACTCAGATAGAACTTCTTTGAATAAATTCTCAGAGGAAATTAAATTTACACTATTAATAAAATGTATTTGTAGGCATATATTAAAAAGATTCAAAAGTGTCTACTGTATTTTATATAATTGTGCTTTCCTATTTTCTTATTGCCCTTGTTCTTTTTTTTTTTTTTGAGACGGAGTCTCGCTCTGTCACCCAGGCTGGAGTGCGGTGGTGCAATCTCAGCTCACTGCAAGCTCTGCCTCCTGGGTTCACACAATTCTCCTGCCTCAGCCTCCCAAGTGGCTAGGACTACAGGCACCCGCCACCAGGCCTGACTAATTTTTTGTATTTTTTTTTTTTTTTTTAGCAGGGACGGGGTTTCACCATGTTAGCCAAGGTGGTCTGGATCTCCTCACCTCCTGATCCACCCACCTCAGCCTCCTGAAGTGATAGGATTATAGGCGTGAGCCTGTAACCGCGCCCAGCCTTTTTTTTTTTTTTTTTTTAACTCCCTGTTGCATTTCTTGGTGTTTTCTGTATTTGAGCACATTTAATGCATTGCACATTGGACCAAATAAATATGTTCTGGCATTTGTTATAGGCAGTATGGCTATGAAACATGAACAATTTAACTTTTCATTTTTCTGTTTATTTTTCTTAAGTCTGTGATTTCATTTGTTGCAGAGATATGGGCTCTGTTTCGTTACTTTAGATTCTATTGCTGCAGAGCCTCAGTGGATGGTCATTATCACTGAAACAGTGACTAAGCCTGGGCACAGGGGGTAAAGGAAAACAAGAGCAATCTCAAGCCATAGCTCTTCTTGATGTCAAATCATATTTTGTACTAAAGTACATGATTATGAGGATTCTTTATCTTAGGGATCATTTTTATTCTTAGTTCATGTTCCTGTAACTCATCGTGCAAAAAAGCATGATATCAATCTTAATAAAATTTATTTTCATGTTAATGAAGTTAGAAAAACAGGCTTACTTTAGTTAGCTATCAACTAAGTTTATTACAAATTCATTGTTGTTGCTTTTTTAAATTGGTTTTGACTTTTTTCTTCTCCCTCGTGGTAGCCTGGAGTATTCATCAAAGGAGTTCCAAATTGGGAGTGATTTATTGAGGGCTATAGATTATCTCTAGTGTTTTCATATCCTTTATTAGATTCAGAATGGTCTATGGAAGAGTGACTGAACAAATGTTCTGATCATAAATAATTAAACTAACAAATAATGACCCCCTGTCTCAGACATTAAAGCCTTTCTCCAGTGGAGTGTAAAGATCTCAGAGCTAAAAATTAACAGGCAGAAAACAAGTAGTTTCCCTGTTGTGCAGCCCAGTGCCTTCTTCCCATGTGATGGGAAGACGCCATGGAAACAGCTGCAATAGTTACTCAAGCCTTAGCCTGAGGGGTGAGAGGGGAACAAGGTAGCTATGCATCCCGTCTGTCCCAGTGTAAAGAGTCAAAATGGACTTTTTGGAGGTGTCTTTCTTCATGCCTCTTGGATACCACAAGTAAACTAGTTCTTCCATGCCACTAAATGATGAACCCATGGGCCAAACAAGTTAATGCACTTTTATAAGCAACTTATTTAATTCCCTTTAATGGGGAAGACTCAATTTTTCCACCAAAGGTTTCATAAGTTATGAAGCATAATCCAGAATTACTTTCAACTTGTAAAAATGTATTATCATGAATATTGCACAGATTGGATTATAACTAATTAAATATGTTTTTGCTTTCTACATCTTCATAGTTAGAATTTCAGTATAACCTCTAACATGGTATTGGCTAATTTGAGGATAAAGTGACTTGTTGTAAATTTATTTATTTATTTATTTATTTATTTATTTATTTATTTATCGAGATGGAGTCTTGCTGTGTTGCCAGGCTGGAGTGCAGTGGTGCAATCTCGGCTCACTGCAAGCTCCGCCTCCTGAGCTCAAGTGATTCACCTTCCTCAGCCTCCCGAGTAGCTGGAACTGCAGGTGCCCGCCACCACACCAGGCTAATTTTTGTATTTTTAGTAGAGAAGGGGTTTCACCATGCTGGCCCGGATGGTCTCAATGTCCTGACCTCGTGGTATGCCCACCTCGGCCTCCCAAAGGTGTGAGCCACCACACCTGGCCGACCTGTTGTAAATTTAAGAGGCTAAGGGTCAGTGTGCATTTCTACACCTTTCACATTGCATCACTTGAAGCTAAGAAGAACTCTGTGGTATATTACATGTAAAAATAAGACTGAAATAAGCTGACAAAGACTTAGGGCAAAAAAATAAGGTTTTGAGTAGAATTGAAGAAAACATTTTGATAATAATATCAAAGAAATTCAGAGATGCCATTGAAACCATTTAATTATTTAAACATGTTTGTTATTCCTTTTTCTGTAACTTCTTCTGACACTAATTGAAAATTTCAGAAAATTAACCTATAGTTTAAAATGTTTAAAATATGAGAATTCAAATGATACACTGGCACATAGTAAATTCTTAACATTTCAAAATAAATAATGAATGATCTATATTAGGAAATGAAATCTTTATATGATACACACATACAGTTGTAAAACTTGGTTTTCTCCATAATCAATAATTGGCTTTCAGAGGCAATTTAATTATGCAATGGTTGTCCTTAGTTTTATTATACTTTATAATAAATGGATTGATGCTTTGTTTAGTTGACAAATACAGACATAGGTGAATTAATTTTACCTTTTTCCTTAGGCCTGTCTTCTCATGTGCTTATAGCTGTGTCTGTGTCAGATGAATTTGTGAAAATATATTCTCTTGTTTTAGACAATTTCAACAATTAATAAACACTGTGAAGTTGTTATTCCATGACTGTTTGAGATGGAAAACCAGCCGTTTTGGGTATCATTCACATACTGGCTAAAGACATACATTTATTTGTGCATTTGCTGCCCTGTGTCTCCTCTGCATTTATTATATTAGCAGTTTCAGTTTAAAGTTTATTTTTCTGTAATTCAGATTCCTTGCTTCTTATGCTGGTTGTCATATGAATATGCCTTTCTAAGATTAGGATAAAACACTCTTCTTGGTGTTTTCTTTCAGTCCTGTCTTGAGTTATTTTTAATCAAAATGCTAGGCTGAGGTCAACTGATTGTAATTTGTTTATAAGGAAAAAATGGAAGGTGACCTGAAGAATTTTCTCTCCTCCCTTTACCCAAAAGTATTTATTCTTATTTTGAAATGAGAAATTCCTTCAGAATTCCCCAAGATCAAAGAGGGCTATCTCACTGACAGCTAAGACACTGTTGTCTTCATCTGTAACTTGACTAGTCTTGTCCAAAAGAGGCCTCTTCTGGGTTGGAATTGCATTTAGTTTTAAATAAACAATTATGCAGAAAGTGCTTCTTCCATCTTATTAAAATTTCAGAGTTAGAAGAAAAGGCATCTGAAGTTTCCAAGTAGAACTATAACAGACCTAGTGTTTTTAGTATCCCCATAAGTAAGCATTCTAGCATAAGGGAGGGTTTGCTGGTTGCTCATTGAATGTTGTCTTGGCCACTCACAGACCAACACATGATGAGTGTAAGATAAACTCTTTGGTCTAAAGAGAGAAAACATAAGAGTCTGTAGCTGTAACATGTCTGCTGACCCAAGCTGGAATGTTTTAGTGTATTGTGTCACCTAGTGAGTTTTAGGATTTCCCTCCCCACTTGAGTTTTCCACCTCAGGTTAAAGGAATGTGGGATATTAAGGAGAATTATTAAGAGAGAAAGGGCAAGTATTTGGAAATGCAAAACCTAGACAAGGTGGAGATGATGTACTGGAGTCAGAGAGGAATTAATAGCATATTAATATCAACATCATTATGGCCCACACACATCTATCATGCTCTCTAGTATTGTGTCCAAGGTCCATAGATGGTCACTGTCTTATTATATCCCTGATCATACTAGCTTCACCAGACTTTCAGGTCACCCAGGGGCTACATCTCTTAGACAGCAGAATATTAAGATAATGGAAAACAATAATAAGTTATGACAGTGTGTGAAAAACATGAAAAAGATTTTATATTCTCTCATGATAGATGTGATTCAAGATGCTACTGCAATAAATTAAAAAATATATATGCTTTTTTGCAAGGATAACCCGTGTGTTTTCATGGTCTAACGAAGTTAGACAGCATTGTTATTTGTGGCTTGACACCTCTGCAATTGCTCCTTTTTAAAGTTGCAAAATGAATGTACAATAACTAACCATGCATTAGACCGAAGGAGAGTTTGAGAATTTTTTCAAGGGGCCTTCACTAATGAAGCAAGCTGTCTTATTTGGGGATCTGTAAGCAGCAAAGATAAACATTGCCTAAGACATTTCTGTTGAAATGGCGTAAAACACATGGATTACTTACTTCTTCAGGGATTTTAAATACTTGGAAACAATGCAGTGAACACAGATATTACTGTGAAGAACATTTCAGCAAATGAGTTTACAAAATGGATGAAACCGAAGAAGTGTCTTATGTTTATAGCTTCTCACCTGAAGAGATTAACTATATGGGTGGACCTCATCAACATTCGAAACTTTCTTTCCAAGAGGTTTTTCCTGTAGAATTTTAGGACTTTCTGGGAAGATGCATGACAGATGCATGCCATTGTTGATGATGTGGGTCACTGTGGAAACTGCCCTAATGAGGCCATTATGCTGCCTATTTGTGATATTTGGTTATGAGTTGATGACAATATTGTAAAGAAAATAAACACTCAAGCTGTTGAAAAATTTTACAGGTTGACATCAATTATCACTTAGAACTTTTTTCTCAATTTTCTGAGTGAATGAGCATTGTGTTTAAAAAGATACTTTCTGCCTCATTTCTTCTCCAGTTATTTTGAAAAAGCTCAGGTACTGATTTCTTAGGAAAAGAGTAAAGCAGGGAAACTAGAGGTGGGAATTTGTGCTGCACACAACCTAGCCACGACTCTGGGTGCACCAGCCCTTCGGATGTGGGCAGGTAAGCATTTGCCCAGGTATCAGGCTGCCTGTGTGGCTCCACAGAACAAAGATGGGGAAGCAGAGGCATCAGCTTCTCTTATAGCACAGCACACAGCCTTCCAGGAGTGGATACACACTTTCTTTCTATTATTAGCACAAATAATTATCTCAACTCAATAGAAAAAATAGCCATCTGTGCCTGATTGTCCTGAAAATGTTTCATTAATTTACTTGTATTCAGTGAATATGAAACCATAGTTGGTGGTTTTTCAGTAAGTACAGAAAACATATTTGGTGGGTTGTTTTCCATGCAGAGTTAAATATTGTAGGGCCAAAGTCTTAGTTATCTGTTTTTTTTTGCTGTTGGTTTTTTTTTTTTTTTTGAGACAGAGTCTCGCTCTGTCACCCAGGCTGGAGTGCAGTGGCATGATCTCTGCTCACTGCAAGCTCCACCTCCCAGGTTCATGCCATTCTCCTGCCTCAGCCTCCCAAGTAGCTGGGACTACAGGCACCCACCACCATGCCCGGCTAATTTTTTTTTTTTTTTTGTATTTTTAGTAGAGAAGGGGTTTCACCATGTTAGCCAGGATGGTCTCAATCTCCTGACCTAGTGATCCACCTTTCTCGGCCTCCCAGAGTGCTGGGATTACAGGCGTGAGCCACCACGCCCAGCCTAGTTATCTTTTTCATGGAATAAAACTACAGAGGATACATTCCAGTGTCAGTAAGACAAAGAGTTTCTGCTTCTCTGAGGAAGTAAGTTTGCTATGTAGACACACACACAGAGAAAATGGTCAAAAGTTGCTTTTATAAACTCCAATAATCAACTTTTTTACATTAGCACCTTACTCCATGAAGATCACAGTATATGAATACAAAATAATATGTATGAATGTTTATTTGTGGAAAAAAATCTTAGAGATATCACTCCCTCGTTTTTCCAAATTCTGTGTATTGTCTGTTGAAACAGTTCATGCTTATGATTCTAATACATCATTTCCATGGATCTCCCCCTCAGCTTAGTCTCTTCATGTCTCACTTGGATTATTTTGAAAGTCCCATGATTGGACTTCAACTTTTGAAGCTTTCCCTAATTAAATAAATGCTTAGCAAAGTCCTCAGTTAATGTTCTTTAAAGTGCTATTCTCTTCTTATTCCATGCTCAGTTGATGAATCTCAGACACTAACCCCATAGAGCAGTTCTCAAATTCACAAGCCACCTAATGCCCACTGCCATACGTAAGAAGGTGGTCTAGTAAATTTTGGAGTAAAGGCAATATATATTTCACAAAATCAAAATGTAAGATCAATTACAATTCAGCTAATATTTAATTAGGATATAAGGCATCTCAGTGAATGCATTTTTAGTTTTTGAAGTACGTAATTATTTTTTTAGATTTGTACTTAGCTATTCTTACTAAATTTTGGAAAGTTCCTGCTTTATGGAAATGAATCAGTGACTCTAAATGGTTCTTTGAGGTATAAAAACAAAGATAGTAACAAATACAAATTTCACAATCTGGACTAGAAAACATTACTAGTGACCACAACTCAAATACAAATATAAAAAGCATCTTTATTAACCTGGGGTAAAAGCTTCTCTGCGTGGGGCAGTTTTACCCAGGCAACTGAACAGGCGGTGCGGGAGGAATGTTTGAAAATTGGAACTAACTTGGACGCACTCATCCCCATTTTCCATGCCTGCTGTGCACTCCTGCCAGATGGGAACATGATGTCATATTTTCCGTCAGTTTTCAAACAAAACGGGGATAATCTAATATTTTCTGGAATAACCATAGAATAATGTTTTCCAATGTGAACTTGGTGAATTTTATGAGTGAAAGAGAAGCAGATATTGGATCCACACAGCCATCATTGAAGGTGGCACACCTAACATCAAAAACTTCTGTGCGGGACCGGGCACAGTGGTTCACGCCTGTAATCCCAGCACTTTGGGAGGCTGAGGCGGTTGGATCACCTTGAGCCCAGGAGTTGGAGACCAGCCTGGGCAACATCAAAACCCTGTCTCTATTAAAAAAAAAAAAAGTTTCATGCCACTGTTACGGACTAGGAATGTCTAAAATCCATCACAAAGTTAGTATTTTGCTTGGAGGGGCAAGTAGAATGAGCTTTTGGAAAGTTTCTTTAACAATTCTTTGATCTAGTAATTCCTGAAAACCTTTGAGGCTGGTGAAAATACTTTTTCATGTAGGGATGAATCATTCTGTGAGTCCTGGCGTAAGTCAGCCAGAAACTCATAATGGGAGCTTTTGATGGGGGGATATGAGGTTTAAAAATGGAAATAAAAACTTTCTTCACGACACTGATAATTCCTATAAAGGCCATTTCTGTGTGGGATGACATGTACAATTAACATAAATGACCCTGCTTCCAAGCTCACTGAAATTTTTCGCCAGTGCCCTCAGACCTCCGTCTTTGCTCCTAACTCAGATTGTCTTGAGTCCTCTGTGTAGAGAAAAGGGGATCATTGCAGAGACTGTGAACCAAGACATTAATCTTCACTTCTGAAGTCCAAAAGCATCTTTTGGTCTGAGGTAGAAAAAGTTTGAAAGGGAATTGAGCAGGCTAAAGGTGTTTTAATTTTTCTGCTATCTCGCAGACTAGGAACCCTCAGCAGGACTGCACGATAGTATGCATAGAGAGGTGGGGACTGCCCTGAAGCTCTGCTCTCAAGCAGAGCCTTGCCGGTGGTGGCTTAATGGAAGTCTTCACTGAAGCTCAGGGATCTGAGTGGGCACTCTCAAGTGTGTAGTGGAAAGGAGAACGCCAGTCTCCAAGAGCAGCCTGCACAGCATCCTCATTGTGCTGCGGCACATTCAGTGACAGGACTGGACGCCCTGCGGCAGCTCTGGTGGCCGGTGAGGACAGCCCCAGTTATCCAAGGACACCCTGAGGTACCAAAGGCAGGTGAGCAAGACCATGTTCCTGCCTGAGGTCTGGCAGAGGGAGGAGAAAGGGTCACCAAAACGTTGTGGAGAGCACTGTCCCAGCCTGGGATGGGAGGACTTGGCTCCGTCGGCAGCAGGTCGCCATCCCTGAGGACAGTGCAGTGCTGACCTCTACTTGGGGCTTGAACACACTCCCCTCCCCGCTTTACCAAGGCAATTAGCAAAGCCAGAAGAGACCAGAGTTAACTCTGGGGATGAAGGGGAAGTAAAAGAACCCCTGAAGGAATTTTCAAGGGTCTGCGACCAATACAGACACGAACTGACAGGCTTATCCCTTAACTGGACGGAGACACCTGTTGTGACTACTTCCAGTCTCTGTATCAGCCAGAATTCCAGCTCCTACTAGAAAGCTTTCTGGGTTATGGAGAAATGAAGTTACATTTTCCCTCATGAGTTTGTGATTTAAAAATTTATACCTGCAGAATGATTCTGACGGATTTGCTCAAGTGGCTTTTGTCAGGGTTATAGTCAGTATCTTCTCTAGCCTCAAATTAATGTGATGTTGTTGAGGATGACTTAAAATTTTCTTTGAAAGTCTGAAACATGATGCAGAATGCTTGCACCAAAAGAGTTTTACATTTTCCCCACGCTTGTACTTACTAGAGCCAAGTACATCAAAGGTGTGGGTTAAAACCCGTGATGCAGGGAACTCTGACACTTGTGATAACATGGATGAACCTGGAGGACATTATGTTAAGTGAAATAAACCAGGCACAGAGAGACAAATACCATATAGTCTCACTTACATGTGGAATTTAAAGACAGTGCTCACAGAAGTAGAGAGTAGAATGGTGGTTACCAGACGCTAGAGGAGAAGGTGGATAGGGAAGGGGGAGATGTTGGTCAGTAGGTACATAGTTTTGGGTAGATAGGAATAATAATTTCTGTTGTTCTTTTGCACAGCATAGTGAATAGAGTTAATAAGTGTTGTCTGTTTTGAAATATATGAGAGAATTTTAACTATTCTCACCGCTAAAAGAATGATACATATTTGAGGTGACTGATATGCTGATTAGCCTGATTCGATCATTTTACAGTGTATGCATGTATCCAAACATCACATTGCACCTCATAAAAATGTACAATTATTATTCATCAATTAAAAATAAAAGTTAAACATGGGAGTTAGCAAACTTCTGCTGTAAAGAGACAGATGGAAAATGATTTTGGTATTGTGGACCATGTAAGGTCTCTGTTACATTTCTTTTTTTTCTTTTTTCTTTCTCTGTCTTCCCTCCCTCCCTCCCTCCCTTCCTCCTCCTTCTCCTTCCTTCCTTCCTTGCTTTTTTCCTTCCCTCTTTTTTTCTTTTCCCCTCTTCTCTCTTTCTCTTTCTTTTTCTGAAACACAGTCTTGCTCTGTTGCCCAGGTTTGGAGTACAGTGGCAAGATCACAGCTTAGTGTAGCCTCAACCTCCGTGGGCTCAGGTGATCCTCCCACCTCAGCCTCCCGAGTAGCTGGGACCACAGTCACATGTCATAACACCCAGCGAACATTTATATTTTTTGTAAAGATGGGATCTCATTATGTTGCTCAGGCTGGTCTTGAATTCCTGGGCTCAAGCAGTCCAGCCACCTCAGCTTCCCAAAATGTTGGGATTACAGGCCTGAGCCACCATACCCAGCCCCCGCCCTCTTTGTTTTTTTTTTTTAAATGCAACGCTTTACAAATGTAAAACCATTCTTAGTTCTCTGGCTATATAAACAGGTCATAACCTAGATTTTGGCTGCCAGACCTAATCTAGATTTTTACTAAGCCTGCATGCTAAATATGTCTGGCACTTTCCCTTAAAAAGCTCTCAGCATTTATCATATGCCAGTGTGCTTACTAGGTGTTTGTATGCTTTTCTTACGCTTTGTGCAATTCTAACTTCCTTGAAGGAAGGGTGCTATCTTATCCTTAGTGATTAGGGATAAGCTTGGAATCATCCAGGCTCTACCCCTTACTAGCTGTGTGACTTTGGACAAATTCCTTTATCTCCCTGAGTTTTTGTTTCCTCAGTTATAAAATGGGATTAGTAAAGTACCTATCATGAAACAGTTAACTTGAGTAAAATAGGTTGTGAAGATTAAATGAATTAATACACATAAAATAATTAGGTTATGTTACATCAATGTTCAGAGCAGGTGTATCCACAAGAGCCAAAAGAGAAACAACCCAAATTTCCATTGATGGACAAACGGAGAAGCCTAGTGCAGTGTAGGAAGAAAATTCTGGCCCGTACTGTAACACAGTTGAACTTTCAAGACATTATGCTAAGGAAAATAAGCTAGACACAAAAGGACAACTACTACGTTATTCATTTATATGAGGTACCTAGAGTAGTGAAATTCATAGAGACAAGAAATAGAATAGTGGTTGCCAGGGGCTGGTAATGGAGGTTATTGTTAGTGGGTTCAGAGTTTTCATTTGGGAAGGTGAAACAGCTCTAGAGATGGATGGTAGTGATGGTTGCACAATGTGAATGTACTTAATGCTACTGAACTTTACATATAAAACAGTTCAAATGGTAAATTTCCTGTGATGTGTATTACCATAATTAAAAAATTAGTATATGATCTGATCCAAAGTAGCTAAAATCTACTGAGTGCTGCTGAAGCAAAAATTATAATTAGTAGTTTTTTTTTAATTTGTTTTGTTTTGGTTTGGTTTTTGAGATGGAGCCTCACCCTGTCACCCAGGCTGGAGTGCAGTGACGTGATCTCGGCTGACTGCAACCTCCGCTTCCTGGGTTCAAGCTATTCTCCTGCCTCAGCCTTCTGAGTAACTGGGATTACAGGGTCGCGCCACCACGCCTGGCTAATTTTTTGTATTTTTAGTAGAGACGGGGTTTCACCATGTTGGCCAGGCTCAACTCCTGACCTCGTGATCCGCCTCGGCCACCTTGGCCTCCCAAAGTGCTGGGATTACAGGTGTGAGCCACCGCGCCCGGCAATTAGTAGTATCAACAGTGGGAGTAAAAGTGGCAGTTAAGCACATTGTTTCACAACATCTAGCTCAGAGCCATGACAAAGCAAACATTAAATAATATGTATAGATGGAATTAAACTTAAGCTTCTGTAGTAGAATAATTCAGAATAAAACATGAAATAATGCCAGGTAATGTCAGTTGTTACCAAAGAAATGTCCAAACTCTGAAAGAGCTTGTTAAATTAGGTTATGGCAGCCCACGGTGCAGGGGAGGGGACCGTCAGGTGATGTTTAAGTAGTTTACATGGACTGAATGAATCCCCTATGGTTCCATTTAAATTGGCCACCACACTGCCAGGCATATGACATTGGCAACTTAAACTCGACAGAGAAACCTCTAAGAATAAGATTAATGCATTTCTCATTCTCTGTGTCACAATTATTCAATTTAAAAAAACAGGAAAATATCAAAAATCTTTTTATGAAATGGCTGTACCAGTTTTACCTTCTATAGTATAAATGCAATATGGCTTTTGGTGCATTTAAATTAATTTTATAAGGAGTCCCAATCAGCTGATGAGTAGTTTTAGAATTGTTCCTATAATTGTCAACCTGGAGAGCTCTTCACTATTTTATTCATACTTCACTGAAAATTAAAGTTCAGTTTTATGCCTAATTTTATACATAACGTGTTGTAAAACATCACCATTTGGGTGATGTGTGTATATGTGTATTTTCCTTCCAATAGGATATATATGTGTATTTTCTATTTATAACTAGCTGACACAGGACCATTCTCATAATCCCATTTGATTTTTGTATTTGTCAGTAGATATAACAATCTCCCTTTGGTTCAGATTGAAAAAACGGAAAATGATGATGATGATGATGATGATTGTTGACTGTGCTGATAATTCTTTGTATACCATTATTTTAGCTTTAAACTATTTTAAGTGTGGTCCAGTACAAAAGCTGCTTAAGTCAGATACCCCAGTCTCTATGATGTGATTATTATGTATTACATGCCTGTATCAAAATATCTCATGTACCCTATAAATACATACAACTACTACATACCCACAAAAATTAAAAATTAAAAAGGAAAATAAACCAGAAAAAAGTCAGATTTTTTAAAAATTTTACATTTCATTATATTTAGAAAACTTAGCTTTATGGGGTTTTAGAGAACATGGTTTTTCTTCCATGTATCTTCCTATTTATTTTTTATGATGCTCAAAGTTGCTAAGTTTCCACATATTTTAGTAAGAATTAGCAATGCCCTGAATTCCATAGCTTTCATAAAGGATTACCTGTGTACCATCTCATCGCCACCTCTTTCCTATTACAGGAAAGCAATAAGAAGATATTCTGTAGTTAATTTAGATTGCTTGCCAAAATAGTTTTAAACTGATTTGTAATTTTTCCTAAACCAGAATGAGGAATTGTATAGTTTAAAGTATTAATATATATGAAATTGTCACACTACGTTTCAGATGCTTAGGAAATGTAGAGAAATTATTGTAAAATACATTTTAGAAAAGATGTTGCAACAAGACGAGGACAGAAGTCTGTGAAGTGTTGTGAGGAGGGCCCAGGGAAGCAGGAGGAAGGTGGGGAGACCACAGGATGACCTGGAGCCAAAGAAGAAGGGCCCAGGTCCCAGGGTCTCTACAGCACTGCCGGCCTTCCAGCCACAGTTTTTCTCAATCTTCCTGTCATATCCCTCAAGGAAGTAAGTGGACATTGTAAAGAGCGAGTAATTATAGCACAACAAAAATCAAAAGTCATGATTCTGGAAAGCATTATCAATAAAAAATGGAGAAATAGTTGACATCTCTTCATGTTTCCTCTGGAAATTTCTGATTATGTATGTATACTCTTCCACTCTAATATCCAAACAACTCTCTTACTTCTTCATGCAAAGAAACATGAAAGAATGAAAAGGTTCATCACAAGTGTATGATTAATTTTGTATATATAATTTTGCAAATTAATAGATTTTAATGTGTTCAATAAATGTACATAAATACACATGTATGTATATATCTGTGTGTGTGTATGTACTATGTACTAAATATATACTATATGTGTGTGTGTGTGTGTGTGTGTGTGTGTATATATATATATTTAGAGAGAGTCAGTGTGTACTTAATAGTCAAATCCAAATTTCAAGAACTTTATATTTTATGTAATGGCACCAGTTTTCCTGAAGCTGAATGTATGTGTGTGTGTGTGTGTGTGTGTGTGTATTCAGTTGCAGGAATATATACATATATACGGTCAGTGTGAGTGTGTGTATATATATGTCAGTACATACATGGTCAGTGTGTGTGCATATAAACACACATATGTCAGTACATATACACATATACATATATGTTAGTGTATACTAACTGTATACTGACTATATATAGTCATAGTCATATATACTGACTATAGTCATAGTCATATACTGACTATATATGTCAGTATATACATACATATATATTTCAGTATATATATGTATGTATACTGACATATAGGTATAGTCAGATTGTGTATATTCAGCTGCAGGAAAATTGGTGCCATTATATAAAATATGAAATTCTTGAAATTTGGATTTGACTATTAAACCTGACTTTGTTGTCATTAAGTTTACATTGATATTTCCTGGAATTGCACATTGCTAAATTTTTCTGCAAAACCAAGATTTCTAAAATATGATGGGGCATTTGATACAAGAAAAGGCAAATAAAGAAAAAGTAGAGCTCCATTTGTCATTCTTCTTAAGTGTCTCCTTAAGAAA
Organism: Homo sapiens; assembly: GCF_000001405.40. NCBI lineage: Eukaryota > Metazoa > Chordata > Mammalia > Primates > Hominidae > Homo > Homo sapiens. The sequence continues at coordinate 42,090,303 of NC_000009.12, read as the reverse complement.
ACTATGTGATCCAAAGTTATTTAGACAAAAGCTTAAGAAATAAAACACTTAGTAACTCATGCTAGTACTTGATTATTCTTTTGCTTATCAAGTTTTCTTCTTTTTATGATTATTATACCTTTAATTGCGAACATTCATTGGATTGGCTCAGTAGCATTTTATGTGAGACAACTTTCCATTTTAATAAGTACATATTCTCCTTCGTTAATATGAAATAGAAGTGCAGGAGTAGGGATGAAATGGATAATTTTGCTAGAAGCAAATTGAAACTGGCTAGGCAAAAGCGTATATGTATTTTGCCCTCTTTTTCTGTTTTTAGAAAGTGCTTGCGTTAACTCTCATTCTCAGCCAGAAGCGTTAATGATTCAAACGGGCTTTATATATTGAAAACCATGAACTCTCACGTGCAGAGTACAATCAGGGAGCAAGCCCGTGGGTTTGAATGGAAATTAACGTTGGTGTATGGGAATGAATTTCATAGACAAGGATAATTTAGAAACCTGTGTGATAAACTGCAAACACAGAGCAAATGGAAACATATTGGATCTTTTCCCTCCACTCCTCATATTTCTCCACTATTCAGATGTCCTTCCATGTGATCATGCTTTCTTGGCACACTGACTAGGTTCAGTGATTAAGAGGCAGAGAAAATAATTACTGAATATTTTTAATACAAAATGAATAGCTCAGGATATTTGTAAGGGCTTTTCAATATCAAGATATTTATTTCCCACATTAGAAAGTATAACTCCTAATGAAAACTTGGCACCATAGTTTAAAATCATATTAATAAATAAAAGCAAAATTCTTACATTGGGGAAATGACCCACAAATGGTTTGTTATAGTATGCGATCTTTAACTACTTAGAATTTCCACTATTCTGCACAGTGCAATATCCCAAAACAGAATAGGATGTGAGATTTCATTGTTTTGTATGAGGAATCTAGAGGATAGAAATTGATAAAAATGTATGCAATAATTTAAAAATATAAAGAGTATCAATCTCTGATAGAATAATGTAAATGTAGCAAATATTTAAGATAACTAATCTAATAAGAATTAAATTCCCCTACATTTTTCTTCTCCCCTCCCCTCCCCTCCCTTTTCCCCTTCTTTCCCCTTCTTTCTCCTTTCCCCCTTTCACCCTTTTTCCCTTTCCCTTTCCCTGAACAGCTGGGATTACCCTTGTCCCAAGTAACTGAGATTACAAGCACCCACCACCAGGCCCGGCTGATTTTTATATCTTCTGGTACAAATGGGGTTTCACCATGTTTACCAGGCTGGTCTCCAACTCCTGGCCTCAGGGGATTCGCCCACCTTGGCCTTCCAAAGTGCTGGGATTACAGGTGTGAGCCACCACGCCTGGTCCTCATTTTTCATAAAATCAAAATTCTTGCATATTCCCCTCCTTAGTTTATAGGTCAGAAGCTACACTAAGCTTCCCAATGTGCCTAGGTGTTAGATGTGCCAATTTACATATGCAACAAAGGACCTGAAAAGTAGAACATTAATACAACAGAAAATATTTTGCCTGAGGATATTGTTTACTAAATTTTTTATCTGTGCCTTTTAATAGTTCTTAGAATTAGTAAGTCCAATGGCATTCTATTTTTATGCTTTTTTTTCCTCAGATTTGTAGCATATGACAATGTGAATATGTTACAAATGTTGAATGATTCAGCTGACTACAGGCCAAACAAAATAGCATCAAGTTATCTATAGCAAAATGTGTTTCGATTGAAGAAATATGTAGATTTTAAAGAAATTAATCTTACTTACTTACGCAAAGAGTATGCTTCAGCAGCATATGTAACTTTAAAATTCATCTAAAATAGGTTGTTAGTACTATGACAGGAAGTGGCATTCAAACAAACAAAATATTCATAAGGATGTTAATATAGATTAGACATGAGAACAAGAAATATTTGGCTGGTCTGATTCTCTTGGGTCACTTTAAAAATTATTTTTAAAATTTTTGAAATTGAGGCATAACTTAAAATACAATTAAATGCATAAAGTGTGCCATTTGGTTAATATTTACAGATGTATACGCCTGTATTACCAGAGCCCAGATCAAGTTACAGATCAGTTCATCACCCCCTTACCATTTGTTAATACTTTTTATTGATTATCTAGGCACCTCCCACCTATCACTGTTCTACTTTCTGTCATATTATTTAGGTTGGCTTGTGCTTTTGAACTTACAAAAAGTCATACAGTACCAGAATCATACAGAAGCTTTTGTATCCAGCTCCCTTTAGGGAGCATAAGGTTTCTGAGATCCATCCATGTTGTTGCGTGGATTTGTGGCACATTTCCTTCTATTGCTGAGTAGATTTCAATTGTGCTGTTTGTTTATCCATTCTTTTTAAAATGGACACTTGTGGCTTGTTTCCAGTATGGATCTATTATGAATAAATTTCTACAAACATTATTTTACATCGCTTTTGGGAGTGGAATTTCAGTATGTGAAACTCTAAAGAAACTGTCAAACTATTTTCAAAAGCCCTTGAACATGTTATACTCCCATTGCCAATGTGTGTCAATTCTAGTTGCTTCTTATCCTGGTCAACATTTGGTATTAAAATCATTAACCATTAGAGAAATATAAGTTAATATCATAGAGAGATAATATGTTCTCTAGGATGGCTAAAATTAAAGAATGGCAACACCTGTGAACTATATTACTCATGGCACCACAAACAACAACATGAGTTTCAGCATATTTGTATCTGTCTCCTTTGCCCCTGAGGCCCACAGGGGCAATGCAATAGGGCACGTATGAATATTACACTCATAGCAGACTTGTATTGCAGCTGAGAAATAATGAGCTTGGGGAACCTACTGCAGTTATAGCAAGTAGTAAGTGAGAAGGCTCTTTGTGTGGAAGAAAATGTAACCTCACCTCTCAAGGTTACCAGCTGCATAAACAACCATGAAAAAAGGGTCCATAAAAGAGCTTTTAGGCCTTTGTAGTCTTAGCAGACCCAACAAAACATGTAGGAGTGCAAGCTGCTTAAAGTGGACTGTCTCTCCATACATTATTGTGTATGGATAACATGTTCCTATATGGAGATCTTCTAAGAAATCTAGAAATCTAAAAGACACCAACTAATAAGTGAATTTTAACAAGTTAACAGGATACAAGGTTAATATACAAAAATCAATTCTTTTTTATGTAGTAGTAACAATCTGATTATCAAATTAAGAAAAGAATTTCATTCACAATAGCATTAAAAAATAAAATACTTAAATGTAGATCTTACGAAAGGTGTGCAGGACCTGTTCATGGAACACTATAAAACATAGCTATTAGAAAATAAAGAAGACTCAAATAAATTGAGAGACACACTATGTTTATAGATTGGAAGAAACTGGAATTGTCCTAATTGTAATAATCCTAATTGTCATACTTTGTTGGTGGGAATGTAAATAGTGCCACCACCTTGGAGAATAGTTTGGCAGTTTCTTAAAAAGTAAAAGCATGTACTTACCATATAACCTAGCAATTCCACTCCAAAAAATGTATGTCCACTCTAAGACTTAAATGTTCATAGAGGCTGGGCACAGTGGCTCACACCTGTAATGCCGCCAGTTTGAGAGGGCGAGGTGGGTGGATTACTTGAGGTCAGGAGTTTGAGACCAGCCTGGCCAACATGGCGAAACCCAGTGTCCACTAAAAATACAAAAATTAGCTGGACGTGGTGGTGCACACCAGGAATCCTAGCTACTCGGGTAGCTGAGGCAGGAGAATCGCTTGAACCTGGGAGGTGGAGGTTGCAGTGAGCTGAGATTGCATTGAATCTTGGCCTGGGCAACAGAGCGAGACTCCGCCTGTTGTAAAATGTAAAAAAAAATGTAAAAAAAAAAAGTAAATGCAAAAATGTAAAAAATGTAAAAAAAATTTATATATATATATATATTCATAGCAACATTATTCATAGTAGATGATATGGTTTGGCTGTGTCCCCACTCAGATCTCATCTTGAATTGTAGCTCTCATAATTCCTAGGTGTTGTGGGAGGGACCCAGTGGGAGATAACTGAATCATGGGGGCGGTTTCCCCCATACTGTTCTCGTAGTTGAGAATCAATCTCACAAGGTCTGATGGTTTTATAAGGGGGACCCCCTTTTGCTTGATAATCATTCTCTCTTGTTTGCTGCCACGTAAAATATGCTTTTCGCCTTCTGCCATGATTGTGAGGCCTCCTCAGCCACATGGAAATGTGAATCCATTAAACCTTTTTTCTTTATGAATTACCCAGTCTCAGATATGTCTTCATCAGCAGTGTGAAGATGGACTAATACAGTAGACAAAAACTGGAAACAACTCAAATGTCCATCAGCCACTGAATGGATAACCACAATGTGGCATATTCATTGAACTGGTTGCTATTTAGTAATAAAATTAAAGCTACTGATAGGCCATGATTTCTTTATGTACTTAATTGTTGCTTAATGTTACCAATTACTCTTAATGAAGAATGCCGTCCCACTCCTCTCTAGGATTTTCGCATCACTCTCTTACAGTTTGCGTTCTTCCTTCTAAAAATGTTGTCCTTTCACTTTTTTCCTGTTCAAAAAAATCCAGTGATACATGTGACAGCTCAACTGTCATGCAGTTCTTGGCAAGAAAGGTGAGGTTGAATAGGAAACTTCCTGTTTACCAGAGGCAACTGGAATCACTCAAGAATAAAGGGACACTGTATTCACCATCATATTGCCAGCTTCTGCTCCGGAGAGATGAAGTACATGTCTTTAATATATTCTTCCTGATAAGTACATTTTAAAAGGAACTTTATATATAAAATAAACATAAGAATGAAAAAATGTAGGGAAGACAGACCATCTAGGAACCTGAGGAATTGAGGAAATTATAGAGATAGAAAACAAATTAGTGGTTGCTATGTATAACTGTAAAGGGTACCAATGAGGAGGATTGTCGTGGTAGTGAAGTCATTCTCTTTCTTGATTGTGGTGGGGGTTACGGACCCTAAACGTGTCATACAACTGGATAGATACATCGTTTCCTGGTTTTGATATTGTACTGTAATTTTATAAGATGTAACCATTGGTAGAAACTAGGTGAAGAGTACACATCACTTCTCTGTACTGTCTTTGCCAATTCATGTGAAGCTGTATTTCAAAATAATTTTTTTCTTAAATAACATTTAAATTCTGACTGGCAGTTTAATTTGTGCTTCAAAACTGATTCAAAAGGACTATGACCAATGATGAAAATGGTAAATTACAACAATTGGTCCTATAACCAACTCTCCTACATTAGTTATTAAAGTCAGTGTTAAGGGAGGCATTCCAGAACTTCTATAGGACATGGTGCAGATTCACCTATTTTCTTTCACATTAATTTTTGCCAACTGGATTTTTTTAGGTTGTCATATTTTTTCCAAAGAATTCAGTGGGACAAACGTTAGCAGAATTCTGATGCCCCACATTGTCCCTGTTGTGTGCTTGCCTCTAAAAAAATTCCTCTGTTAATAGCAACTTAAAATAAACATTATTGTAATGTTTAGAGGACATTCCTTTTGCATCATATTTTGATAGTGTCCTGTTACATGCAATAATAAATGCATGTCTCTCTTCATATGAGGCTTTAACAGCAATTTCATAAACTATAATTAGTTTAACTACATAATATCCTTAGGAAAAATGTAAATATTACCATCTCTTTTTTTTTAGGGGGTGGACTAGGGGATTTTGGTTGACTGAGCAATCAATCACATACAGATGGATAATTTGATATTCACTAAAATATTCACTTCTCAGCATTTCACTCTCGTGTTTCCTTGCATGACATCAATTGTCATTTAATAAGAAAGACAAATACACGTGTTTAATCACTCCCTGAAGAAAGTAAACACACTATCTGTGGGAAATGGAACACAATGAGAGGCGTGCCATCAGCCTCAGGGTGCCCTGACTCCATTCCAGCCCTCTCCGCATATGCCCCATTTGCACATCACCCATCACTTTTGCCTAATTGTTTCTACTCACCAAGTGAAGATAATGGCTTCTTTGCCTGCTCAAGTGATAATTTGAGATTATATGTCTCATCAGATACTTTATTGGATGAATGAAAAAATGCACAATGATGGTTTTATTAAATTATGCAGTTAGTTACCAAGATGAATGGAACTACACCTATGCAAAAATCAAGATGTGGAGATAAGGGAGGTTATAGGCTGAGTCATTTAACCTTTAGGGCTCTTTCTGATATTTTCTGTGAGGGCCAAATAGAGTTCTCAGTGGACTGCATGTGAGTTTCTGCCAATGGCCTGTGGAGCAAGTGCCTGCAAGAGGGAACACTCCCCCAACTTCTGGGGTGATAAAGGATTTCTCACTGTCCCACCAGCCTGCACAGTAGGTTTCACCATTTTGTTAACTATTCCAGCTGAACTTTTCTTACTGACCTCTGGTTTCATCTATCTAAGGTGAGCTCCTGCTCACATCTCTCCCTGCGAGGTTCATATCTCTTTAGATTTTAGGCCAGGTGGTGGTTCTGCAAGCTCAACTCTCCAATGCATTTGTAAAAGATCATGAACTTGAAGTTTGTTGTAAGGGTGGAAATGAGGCTCCTTATAGCTTTCTACTTCCTGGGGCAGAAGCCAGAAGTTCCAGCCCATAGATTTTGATAAGTTGTATTTTCATTTTCATTCAGCTTGAAATACTTGCTAATTTCCCTTTTAGTTTCTTCTTTGATTCATTGAGTATGAAGTATGTGTTATTAGTTTCCTAATATTCCTGGATTTTTCAGAGAAGTTGCTATTGCTGATTTCTTATTTTAATCTATTGTATATCACAAAGATATACTTTACATGACTTAAATGATTTTAACTTTGTTGAAACTTGTTTAATGACTCGTTTAATGGTCTATTTTGGTAAAAGTTCCAAATGAACTCGAAAAAGAATACATGTTCTTCTGTTAGGTGAAACATTCCATAAATATCAATGAATCATATAGGTTGATAGTGATAATTAATACTTCTGAATCCCTATTTTCTGTCTTCTTGTGCAATCAGTTACTGAGACGGGGTGCTAGAATCTCCTACTGTCATTGTGGATTTATCTATTTCATTCAGTTTTACTAGATTTCATTTCGTGTATTTTGAAGCTCTGTTATTAAGTGTTTGCATGTTTAGGATTATGTTCTCTGATGAAAGAACATCTTAATCATTACAAAATAATTTTCTTTACCTTTTATAATAATTTTTGCACTGAAATCTACTTTGTTTAATATAGCCAATCCAGCTTTTTTAAAAACTATTATTAGCATAATATATATTTTTCCATGTGTTTACACTTAGGCTATTTGAGCCTTTTTTATTTAAAGTGTGTTTCTTGTAGGCAACATATAGTTGGATCTTGCTTTCTCATCTAATCTGACCATCATTGCCATTTAATAGGAGTGTTTGCACTACTTACCTTTAATATGATTGTTTATATGATTAATTTTAAGTCTAACATCTACTATTTGTTTTTTGTTTATTCTTTGTCCATTTTCAAAGCTGCTAGGGAGTGTAGATGCATTTTGTAAGAGAATACATTTTATAAATTGTTATATACACTCTGAGATTTTAACCATAATTGCAGTTCTTTTTTTATGAACACATTTTTAGTAGGCTGAATATTCTTTCTGCTTCAACCTGCTAAGATTGAAGGAAATACTGCTGAAATAGAACATGTACACAAAGACAGATTCTGAGGGAGGGTTTCTGTATTTTTTTACTTTAAAGCAGCCTAGTTGAAAAAGACTGTGGTACCTGATTCTATATCTGTGTAGTTAGCCCTTTTTTTTCTAAATGAAATTAGATCTCAGGTAAATGTTTAAATTCCCCTCAGCAAAAAGGCAGATCTACTGACAAAAAGCATGGCTGTTTAAAGCCTATAAATCTCAGAAGTGGAATGAGGGAGTTTATTTAAAGCCAGCTTCACTCCTCTTCCCTATAAATTACATATAATCACACTGGAGTGTAGGAGCTGTGACAGTCCCTACCTCACGTCTCACTTCCCACCTCCTGCTCACCCCAGGTAATACCTGAAATTTTTAATGTGAATTAAAATGCAATTAGATGAGGAAAGAAACAAACAAATATATCTGGATAAAATCACATTTGAAACAATTTGTTATCTTAGTGGGAAGTGTCTCATGGGGACAAGGTTGACTTAACTGTGTGTTTGCTTGATATATAGAAGCCCCTAATAGTGGCTGGCTTTGAACATTTACTTTGTTTACTTATATTTTGTGCCCTCAATATCAAATTTAGTTAAGGAAGGTATAAGATTATGGTGATATGATGATAATCGTAATGATGATGATGATGATTTACCTGTGCATTATTTCCCCTGTAAACAAAGTCAATACATACTCTGTAACAGTGCTGCCACTTAATGACTAGATGCTATAGTCATGGGAAGTTTTATTGTTGTTAGTCAGAAACAATTCAGGCTCCAGCTGTAGGGTTTCTACTTTTCTTTTGCAGAGCCCCCTGCCCCAGATAGTGAAATGTAACTTTGACCTGATGTAAATGCAGAATTATAACACAGATATAACTGTACAAAATAGAGACATAATCCTGCCAGATTATTTATAACCAAAAAGTACTAAGTGATTGACAAATCATGTGAATATATTCATGGACAAGGATAAAAATGAAACATAGCTGATTTTAAAAATAATATCTTTCCATGTGTTTTAATTAGTGATTTTATTTTCTCATCTGTAAGGTAGATACGATAAAGACAACCCACTGAATGCTTTTAGAAATAAAAAATGATAATATGCTTGAAAATATCTGGTCGAATTCTCAGCATACAATATATGCTTCACAGTTTCTCACTTCCCTCTTTTCCCTTGTTTTCCATTACAAAATAAGTGGCAAAACTTTAATAATTTCCTCAGAACTTGAAAACTTAAAAGTGGATAAAACGGTACATAAGATAAATCCTATGTTGTGTGAACATTTAGGGACAAAACAGCGCAGCTCAGCATCTTCACTGTGGTACCAATATCAGCCTTTATAAAAACGAATTACCCTTTAAAAAATAACATCTGCTGTTCCTCAAGCCATATAAAGTGTAAGAGAAAGTTTCAGTTGCTCAGCATATTTTAATCTCATTCCAGTAATGGAACATGTGTGTCAGAACATATATTATGAATGGAGGGGATGAGTTTTCGTGATTCATAGGATCTGTGGGGTAGAATTGTGACACTTTATTTAACTCAGGTGCAATGTCTTGTCAGAGGCAGGGGGAGGAGGGTGAAGTGGAGAAGAAACATTTGTTATGGGGGAGAGGCTGAGCTTAGAGGACCTAACTGCTTCCCCTGTTTTGTGTACAAAGTTTTGTTGACCATAGACTAGAAGGGACTATGAAAAGACACTTCCAGGTTGAAAATTAGTCAGCACATGTATAATCTTGACTTAACAAATAGAAGACTTTCATTTGTTTTAATTTAAAGACAACAAAAATTGAGTATAACATCACATTTGAATAATAATTTAGTTACAAAGTGCTGTAGTTTCAGTTATCCCATTGTCTTCCTTACAGTCTTGTGAGGTGATTTATATGACTGTTAATCCCCTCACTCCCAACTTTATGCTTTTCTTTTTTAAACAAAGACAACATTTTTGTCTCAGAGAGGCTGAGTGACTGGACAATTACCACACTCTAGTTGGGGGTGGAGTCAGCCAATCTCCTTTCTCTTTCTGTTACCCATAGTGGCCTTCTATACCAACCATCAAAGCTGCCTTTAACAAAGGCACACAGATTAGTGCTATCCAGCAGTGCACAGGTCAGTCACGCTGTGTTTCCCACCATTTCCACTCAGCGTTTAATTAAATTGTGTGCACAGCAGCTTACCCTTAAAATGCATCTGGGATTGCAGATTGTAACCATGAGTCTACAACATCCTGATGAAATTCTTTGGTAATGCCAGAATTTCATTACTTTATCAGTAATGGCTGAAAATATAGCTTATTTGCATTTAAGTACTACTTCATCAAAGGTAAAATGAAGTCACTGAAATGTGTCATCTGTTAGCAGGAGTGCAACCATGAACACCAACAAACTAACAAACTGTGAGGGATGCCGAGAAGAGGGATGGCTAGTGGCTCCCTCTTCATCTAATGAAAACACACCATCCCAGGGTAGCACACCAGAACCGTGTCAACTCATTTTCCTCCTTGTGCTTCTCCACATGTGTTCTCATAGTAATTACTTTTCTAAACCTGGAATGAGAGGGAGTGAAAACACCAAAGAAAGGTTATGAAATACAAGCTGAAGAGGATGCCCTTCATGCTGACTAACCAAGATGAGGGGAAGAACCAAAAATATTGAATAGTTCCTCAGAAGTTTCAGCTCTGTGTATAAAATTCCCAATGTACAACATCCAGCCTAAGATGATGGGTTGGCTGTTAGCATCTCCTTCACCTTCTCCCAACTCTTTTAAAACAACCATAAAATAGGCTGGGCCCAGTGCCTCATGCCTGTAATCCCAGCACTTTGGGAGGCTGAGGTGGGCAAATCACTAGGTCAGGAGACCAAGACCATCCTGGCCAACGTGGTGAAACCCCGTCTCTACTAAAAATACAAAAATTAGCTGGGCGTGGTGGCATGTACCTGTAATCCCGGCTACTTGGGTGGCTGAGGCAGGAGAATTGCTTGAACCAGGGAGTTGGAGGTTGCAGTGAGCAGAGATCTCGCCACTGCACTCCAGGCTGGTGACAGAGTGAGACTCCATCTCAAAACAAAAACAAAAACAAAACAAAACAAAACAAAACCCCTTAAAATAGTAATAAGAAAAACAGAAAAGGATACACAGTTTCAGTAGTGTTGTACCTAGGACCATTGGTTGCTAGTTAGACCAACCCCAAAAGGATCTCCCACCAATTAAAGTTTACATAGGCTTAGGAGAGAAGAGTAGATCTGGTGGAGTCAACAGGAAGGGCCAGTAGAGAAAACCCCATTGGCACTGCACCCTCAGCTTTCCGAAACCCAGACCTTGCCTGACCAGGAGTAGGAGAGGTTGCCCTGCTGCATGGGGGCTGCTCCCTTAGGTAGCCAGACCTGCTCACTCCCAAATGTCTTTACATCTTTGTTACATTTATTTGAGAAACACCACATCCCATGATTATCATCAAAATAATATAATAAAAATATTTAATTGCACAGGTTCTGGATCCAAAGCTTGTGGGCCCCTTGCTAGATGCGTAAACATAGGTGAGCTGCCCACCATCCATATGGAGGGTAGTAATGAGGCCTTGTCTTTTAAAGGTATGTTAGGAATTAAATGCAAAATTTACTTAAAGGGAACTCTTTGCCTGACCTAGAGTTCTCAAATGCTCGATAAGTGTTCATTGTTAAATTGAGTGATTATGGAAGTGGGTACGTGGAATTCTGTTACATCCTGAAAAGTTAAGTTGGAAGGAGGAATGAGCAGAGAGAAGAAACTGTGGAAGTAGTTCCTACTGAGGGCTAAAGAAATCTGTGCACTGTCTCTGGCAGGGGCTCACATAAATATTGCTGTAAATCATCCAAGAATAAATCTTGCCCGATCTAGGAAACCATGTTGCATGAGTGGAGGATGCCCCTGATCTATAGCAGAACATTTAACTTTGAACAAGAGCTGTGTCCACCTCCTAGCTGTCTGGATTAAGAAAATATATGGAGTATTTTAGTGTCAATCAGATGCACAGTGTTGGTTATCAGTAATTTTCCATCTTGTCTACTAGATCAAATTCCTGACTCTTCAATTCAGAACATAGAACAATAAAAAGCAAAACAAACAAAAATTATATTTATATATATGTCTGTGTACATACTATATATATAATATAAACTTTAGAGGTGCTTATCGTACATTCAGAGGAAAAAATATTTTTGAACAAAGATTCACTACAAAAATATCTTAGAATCTGACTTCTAAGAATCTGTAAACTTGGGAATCATAAGGAAACAGTAGTTAAGTGTGGTCATCAATTCAAATAGGTGCCTAATATTTATATTTCTTAACACTTCCCCATAATAACTTATATTAAAGTATAATGTCCTCACTTATTCGTTTTTACACCTAGCTATATTCTAATAATATCAAACTTTTTTGGACATGTAGTGAAGTACTAAAGACTTTACAAATGAGGACATAATGATAAACTCCTAATAATAAAATACACAGTATAAGTCAATGAATAATAATGAACTGTCTAGAACTTCAGAATTTCTGTCAGAGCCTTCAGGTAAGTGGCAGCACCAGGGAATAATAAAAGTGTTCTGACTCCTCAGCTTGGGAATAGTTTATAGAGCACTCTCTTTTTCTAGACATTGATTATTAAAGAAGCTGTGGTTTTCGAGTGTCCCCTAATTCTATTAGACTAGAAAAATAATAAACATCAATAAAACATCAGCGGACATGCCTATGTTTTTGTTTCAGATGTGGCATTGGTCAGAGCAAAAAGAGCAAATTTTCTGCTCTGCATGCATCTTCTTCAATACCCAACAGTCTCCTTTTCCTTGTCCAAGGTGGATGAGCGCTGTGTGAGGCTTGCCCCAGTTTCCCTGCAGTACTGCCAGAGAGAGCAGAGTGCACCAGAACCTGCTTAGGACTCACCTTGACCATTTGCTACTCCATACCTTTTTGTATTTTTTAACCAATATCTCCTCCACACCCCAGTTCCTCGTAACCATCACTCTCCTCTGTACTTTTGTGAAATCAACTTTTTAGAATTCCACATGTAAGTGGGATTGCCTCACAAAGCACTCTATGTTTTAACTCTTCTTTTACATCCATTTCTCCTATGAGACTGTAAGCACTTTGAGTGCAAGGTCAATATATTAACTGTCTTTCTTTTATCAGTGCTTAATACTGTACTTCCTACTACTGGAATTTAGTCTCTTATGTTGGCAAAGGGCAAATCTTGCACAAGGGCTATGAAATAACACTAGTTCCAAAAGTTGACAGGAATGCTCTAGTGGCCACCTGCATTAAACAAACATTTTCTGCAGTCAGTGGGACACCTGCCTTCTAGAATATCAGGGGTCATCTAGCTAAATGTGAACACAATTTAGGGTTCATCCAGTCACATGTAATTATTCTATTTTTTCTATTGTAAATCGATGATTTTCTTAATATATATTCATAATTTTATAGTTTTCTAATCTAGTAACAGCTATGTTAAATAACTTCCTCCTCTACCATTTTTATACTTTTTCTGTTTCAAAAAAGGAGCTGGTGGCTGGACCCCACTTGTGTCAAATAAATACCAATGGCTGCAAATTGACCTTGGAGAGAGAATGGAGGTCACTGCTGTCGCCACCCAAGGAGGATATGGGAGCTCTGACTGGGTGACCAGCTACCTCCTGATGTTCAGTGATGGTGGGAGAAACTGGAAGCAGTATCGCCGAGAAGAAAGCATCTGGGTATGTTTCTAATAACAATAATTGCTACCTATTGCTGCAAACCTATTAGAAAAACAGAATTTTAAGAATTACTTTGAAAAAAATGTTCTAAGTGAAAGTAAGATACCTATTTCATTGAAAGCATTGAAAGAGAATCTTATACCATTAAATAGTGTGGAAGTTAAAAAATAATACAAATCATATATAATTTATTTTTTCTTGGTTTGCTTAATAAAGTAATTTAACATTGCCTCTGCAGTATTTTAGAGTGGTAGATTGAATTCATTTATTTTCTCTGATTTGATCTGATATTTTTGAAAGACACTGAAATTTCAAAATGTAATAAATGAGCAGTTTCTGTGTGTATGACAAGTACAGGAACACAGACTTTGAACTTGAAGAATTGTGTGTCCTTTATTAAGCAGCCAGATTTAGTTTTTCTTGTTTTTTTTTTTTTTTTTTAGAGACAGAGTTTCGCTGTTATCACCCAGACTAGAGTGCAGTGGCACAATCTTGGCTCACTGCAGCCTCTGCCTCCCAGGTTCAAACAATTCTTCTGCATCAGCCTCCTTAGTAGCTGGGACTACAGGCATGTGCCACCACACTTGGCTAATTTTTTTTTTTTTTTTGTATTTTTAGTAGAGACAGGGTTTCGCCATTTTGGCCAGGCTGGTCTCGAACTCCTCACCTCAGGTCATCCACCCATCTTGACCTCCCAAAGTGCTGGGATTACAGGAGTGAGCCACCGCACCTGGCCAGATTTAGTTTTTCATAGACTACAGATCTCTGTGACATTCTCTGAATCTGTAAATATCCTCATAACAGTGACATTATTTCTGTTTCTGATTATATGTCAGTGCCTCTTTGCCGGGGTAATCACTTTTTGTTTGACTTTTGCAGCTACTTGGGAGGCTGAGGTAGGAGAATCACTTGAACCCGGGAGGCAGAGATTGCAGTGAGCAGAGATCGCACCATTGCACTCCAGCCTGGGCAAAAAAGAGAGAAACTCTGTCTCAATAATAATAATAATAATAATAATAATAATAATAATAAGTATTTATTACATAGTGTTTGAAAGTAACCTGTATCTGTTTAAAATCTTGCTCTGCATTGATTAATAATGTTTAAAATGTTGTGGACAGTTTCCCTATAAAAGAGATGCTGTAAGAGAAGACTCATATAGAGTCTGCATCGTATTTGTAATTTGGCTCTTTCTTCCTCCTAAAAAAAAATACGTCAATGACAGAGGTACCGTCAGCATTTTTGTTACCAAGTTAAGCAGTTCAGAGGGAAACCATAGCCAAGGCAATGTCATTTGCCAATTTTGCTTACTCTGAAAGGTTACTAGCCTGCGGGGAAAGAGCGTAAAGGTTAAGGTTCTTACTAATCCAGAACACTTAAAATGACAGATGTCAACTCTCATGATCTTACCTCGTGTAGGAGCGTGTTGAGCTTCACTGGAACAAGTGATTTACTTTCCTGGTGCCCGCTCACAGTGTGAGCTTCCTTTCAAAGTCACTGTGCCTGCCTTTCATCCCTGCATCTCTATCCTGGATTGACTTGTGGTTTCCCAAAGACATATGTTGGAATCCTAACTCCCAGTACCTCAGAATGTGACCTTAATTGGATATAAGGTTTTTACAGAGGTAATCAAGTTAAAATGTAGTCAGGAGGGTTGACCCTAATCTAATATGACTGGTGTCCTCATCAAGAAGGACCTTTGGACCCAGAGACAGATGTACACACAGGGAACACAGTGCAAGGACACATAGGGAAGCAGCCCTGTGAGGAGGGAGGATTGGAATAATGCATGGACAAGCCACAGAACACCGGAGGCACCAGCAGCTAGGAGATGGGCATAGAACAGATCCCTCCCTAGAGCCTCCGGAGGCAGCACGGCCGGCAGACACCTTGATCTTGGACGTATGGCCTCCATCACTTTAGCTACCTAGTTTGTGGCACTTTGTTACAGCAGTTCTGGAAAACTAACTCAGCCTCTAAAGCCTAACTGTGCCTAACAGGACTAGGACATCAGGAAATGTTTCCTGAATGAATGAGGGAAATTCATCCTCTCCCAGGATGCCTTTTTTGAACAACCACACTGAAAATGATCCTTCCTGGCTCTGCACATCTCTTGGACTTGTTTTGGACTAAAGCAATGAAATGTAGTGCTATGAGGGTTCAGGACTCAGCCTTCCATCGTTTTGAGCTAAAAGGTTTTTGGGGATAGGGCTTTATCTTTGCATCTCCTTCATCCTCCATCACTGTGACTGGCAAATTATAACCATTTAATAGCTTCATTTCCTACTCTATGACCAACTATACAGAATTTGCATGGTGAAAAAAATGTTAATGCTACTGAAGAGAGAACCCACAAAACAAACCAGAGATGGTTCTTGTGAGTGTTCAGTTATAAGACACAGACCCGAAGACACTTGAGAATGACAGGCCTTGGAGAAAGCGTTACCTCATGAGTTGTTGGAAAATAATTCAGGAGGATATTTCAGAAAGCAAAAGTAATGCAAACAAAAACATGGATAATGGATGAGATACACAAAAAACAGTGAGCTGTAAGATGTGAAATGGCTGTTCAGACTGAGATGGAGAGAATATGGGGAATTTGCTGAAAGTTGTAAAATTGCAAAGAGAGAGGCTGTCAAGTTTGGATTATAAAATACCTATGTAGATATTTGAGTTTCTTTTTTTAAAAAAAACTTTTACTTTTTGTGGGTGCATAGCAGGTGTACACATTTATGGGATTCATGAGATACTTTGATACAGGCATGCAGTGCATAATAATCACATCATATAAAATGGGATATCCATCCCAAGTATTTATCCTTTGTGTTACAGACAATCCAATTATACACTTTTAGTTATTTTAAAGTGTACAATTAAATTATTATTGACTATAGTCACCTTGTTGTGCTATCAAATCCTAGGTCTTATTCATTCTTACTATTTTTTTGTGCCCATAACTATCCCCACCTCCTCCCCAGCCCCCCACGCCCCTTCCCTGCCACTGATAACCATCTTGATTCGCGTTTCTTGAACTGCTACATCAACATCTCAGGGACATATTCTCCATTTGTTTATTCATTAATCCATTCTTTTAGTAAATAAGCAAATAATTATGGTAGAGGTTAGTAATATACTCTTGGGAAATGTGAGCTGAGTCATAGTTATCATATTCTTCACTAGGCATGTCCCTTGTGTCTAGTATTTTTCCTATCAAAGCTACTTCTGTAGAAATAAAGTTCACTGACTGTATCCTATTTATTATTTTCTTAAAAAGATGGGCTGATATTGGCTGTCCTCCAGTCTTATCATTGCTGCCTTAACAATAAATTACATCTCTTATTAGAGTTTCTGCCCTTTACCAAGGCATTAATTTTAGATATGAATGGATGATATTAAAATAACTTAAGATTTATTTTTGATACCTAAAATATTAACACTCTTGATTAATGAAAATTATGTTTTTATAGGCTTACTATCTTTCCCAGCACATTATTATCTTTATTATTATTATCTTTTCCTGACCACAGCTACATCCCCTGCCCTCAGGGTCATCGTATTAACCTTCCTGTACCAGGAGAACAGAATGCATTTCCAGCTCTCTCCTAGGGATCCTGCTGCCTCTACTTTTATGTTAAGGACACATTAAAAATGCATTCTCCAGTCTTATATATTTCTTGTATGCTCTCCCTCTGTCGTTTTATGGCTTTGTTTTTTTTGGTCTGGTTTTACCCATTACCTATGCTAATGTTTTCTATTATTAAAGATCCACAGTTGCTTATCTGCAATTTTTAATTCTAAAAGCAAAATTATTAAAATGGTGAACCCTAAGCAGACCCAAATTTATTTAGCAGCAAAATCTGAATGTACTGACTTTGGGGCTATTTGCATTTTTTAGTTACTCTGCTTAATGTGAATATTCATATGTTTTATTGCAAAAATAGTAACATATGTGATTACCACCTAGTCACTCATATTTGGTGTATACACAGTATGACCTTTCTAATATATGAAATGAATCTGAATCTAAAGCAAATCTGATACCAAGGCTTTAGATAAGAGATTGTATAGCTGTCATATCAATCACTGACATTTGATTATCTGAATGGATTAATATATCAATCCACATTCTTACTAATTACATGCTTCACATTGACGCTTCAAGGGCTAGACTGAGTTTGTGTTGAGAAATACCCAAGAAAACTAGATGTAACTCCCAGATTTATGGAATCTTCAGAGTAGTAAAAGCTCTGTTCAAAAGAGAGAATCCCTGTTACTTACAACAGGAATACATGAATATTTTCTGAGTAACAGAACAAGCTTCATTATGTATTATACTTTCAGTTAACAAAATGTGTTTCAGGACACAGACTCACTTGAGGTGAATAATCTCCTCATCTGCTACATCATTTTAAAAGGTGTCATTACTCAAACAAGGTCAAAAGAATAAACAACAGAAGAGGGAAGATAAAAGATAATTTTCTGGGAGAACCATATGTGTGTGTGTGTATGTATATATATATATAGTAGTAGTAGTAATAGGAATGGCCTTAAAAAACCACCTGGCCTAATAAGAACAAATGTTCTGAATCAGAAAGAGAGAAAAGATATTTAGAAATCCACCTAACCATGTCCTGGAATCATGCTGAGAGATTATACCATAACATTCTATTAACCATAGTCCCAGATTAGCAATCACTGACAAGCCATTTTCCCTCATGTCTATTTTTCACTTATTTCTGAAAGAATAAAGAATTAAATCTGCTAGGAAATATAGAACTTTTTAATTCATTGTGAAATTTTCTTCTGGTTGGGATTAGATATATTCAGGTTATTATCCATCCCTGACATATGTTTCAAGTTCCCCTCTGAGCACCAGACTCCATTTCCTTTCGGATGTCAAATAGTCACATCCAAAACTAAGTTTATTATCTCCATATCCTTCCCATCACCAAACCTATTACCCCTGGGCTTCCACCTCTCAGTAAATATCACAGCATTTACCAATTGTTGGCTTGAGCCAATATGCGTGGAGTTACCAATGACTTCCATTCCTTCACACTCCACGATCAATCCATAGGCATATCCTGTCAACTCAGTTGTTAGACAGATCATGTCAGTCACAGCTTCAGAGTATATGTGGAGTCTGACAACTTTCCCTCACCTCTGTTATTACCATGACAGCCCAGTTGCCCACCATCTCTTACCTGGACCATTGCCACAGCTTCACATCCCATCTTGCTTCTGCCTTTGCAACTGGCTTCCAATTTAAATCTATAGAATTTTATTTTCTTTAATTCTTGCTGTAAATTGCCACATATTTTATGCACCATATGAATGTAGTCATTTTCAATAAAGAACTGACCTTATTTAGATAAAAAGAAATAAGCAACTTTGACCGTATTCTCTGCTTATCTGTGGCTTCAAATATTTTGTGCTATGTTGTTCTTCTAGCTGCTCTTTAAAAATGTCAAGCAAGATCCATCCTTTGTACTAGCTATTCAGTATTTCTGAAATTTTCCCCTATAGCATAGATAGCTTCCTCAATTCATTTCTTGGGTAAATTATCTCTTCCTGATAGAATTCTTCTAGATAACCTAACCCCTAATGTGCATAGAACACACACACGCAGACACGCACGTACACAGCTCCCACTGCCCTCCCCACCCCACCCGCCTCCAGCCTGTGTCTTCCCTGGTTTTGTGTTTCCTTATGGAAGTCATTATTTCTTGTTCCCATGTATGGAATTTTGTTTTTTTCCTGTCTGTCTCTTCTCACTAGGAAGATTTTATGCAAAGAAAGAAAATGTTCTCTGAATAATATTATTGGACTTTGTTTTTTAAAACTTTCTGACAAAGAGCATACAATTTGCTATAACTGAATTCTTGTTTCACTGGTCTTTATCAGTGTTGAGAATTTTTGAGATCCAAAATGTAGAACCGTTCTAACTGGGAAATCTAAAAAAGTGTCCACTAGCTGTCATGGGACGTTTTTGGGGCAGTGGACAAAGTGCATTAGTAGATCTCCCATGGCCTGTGTGTATTTGTTCCTAATTGTTATCTTTATTTTCCGGGCCTGACTGGAGCAAATGTGAGTGGAACTAACGGAGGGGGCAGAAGGAAGGTCAGAGGTTGGAGATCTGCCGATCAGCACTGAGCCCAGAGGCAGCAGCTGTCTGGACTGACTCGGTACCTGCTATGAGAGAGCAGGAAAGGATGGCAGACACTGCAGTTAGCACAGAGACAGAAACATTCTCAGTCTGAGTGTGTGTTACATGCCAGACACACAGTTGGTTGACAGTAGGGAAAAGAGAGGCTGAGGGTGTGGCTGGGTAGCTACCAAGCTGTGAGCCAGTGATGGGCAGCGACACAGTGAGTCAGAGGAAGAGCAGGTCTGCAGGACACGTCAGCCCTGCTGCCAGGTGTGGTGTCAGCCCAAACAGCTGCACCTGTGGGTCCAGAGGTGGTCAGCGGATATCTAGTTTCGGTCGGCCTTCATTCAGCCTCTGGCTGTCATGGCCACTGGGTTACTGAAATCATGGCTTGTTTCCTTCTGTATCTCTCCATCTTCGTGTACAGCTTCCCTTTATCCAACACGAAGTCAGGCAGATTGTCCTTGTAAGGCAAACTAAACATTAGCAGAGGCAAGTACACACACACAACACTCAGGAAGTTAGAGAACATTCTTTAGTCGCTTGAAGCAAAAGGGCTTTTCCTGGCTAGGAAGCAAAAAGAAAACATTGTTTCTAAACTTGAAGCTAATGCCATCTACCATTTATGAAGAGCTCTTTGTGCATAAGGCTGTGTGCTCTGGGTTTCCAGCACTCCCACATTTAATTCTTGCACAATTCCTGTAAGGGTTACAGTTTCCAAGAAGGTAAAGAAACAGTCTCTGGCTGTGAAAGGGCTCTTTTTCACCTTGTTTCCTAACTCCATTTCTACAATAGCAAAGGAGTGAGAGACTTAGTGGTGTATTTGTCCTTATGAAACATTCTCACTTAATTCTAATTTTTTATATATATATATTTATATACACACACACATACACATACACACACATAAATGATCCTCCTGCAAAGCAAAATATATGTATATATGTATACACATAATATAGATAAAGATGTATAGATATAAAATCCATCTGAAACGCAAAGTGTAGAGAAAAAAGAAGAACACAAAATCCTGCTAGGATGTGGTGCCAATTGAATAGGAGACATTTCTTCATGTGGATTTAGAGTTGAGCAGAGTAGCCCAAGCTTTAGAAGTTTGTTTGAGATGGATCTGTGCTAGCAAGGAATGTCACATCAAGTGACACCTCTACAAATGGATCTTTCTAATACTTGTGGGCCTTCTTCACAAATTAAGGGTCAGCATGGTGTGTTGCCAACTTCACAAATTATTCAGAAGATTTGAGTTTCAGCTGTAGGATGAAATGAGTTCAGGGGCTGGATGCAGGTGGTGGTTGAACAACAATGTGAATATATTTAATGCCACTGAACTGTACACTTAAAATGGTTAAAATGGTAGATTTTATGGGATATATATTTTACCACAATAAAAATTATTTTAAAAGGCATCCTATGAGTTAAATAGTCAATGGGCTATATTAGTAGTGCATGAGTTACACAGCCTTGTGTTACTTTTTTTCTCTCTGATTTTAATTGGGTCTGATTATTGGTAATATTGGTAATATTTGGTAATATTTGAGCAACTTGCTTTTAACTGTAGGCTTTTGAAAAAAACCATTTTTTTGTGGATTCTTAAATATTGTAGTAAATGGAAATGCCCTTTTTATGGGAGCCTGTGCTGGGGCTTCACAGTCACACAGAGTTGCCTTTGAGAACAAGAATCAGTTATAAACTATGTAAAGTTGGGTAATCTAACTTCTCAAAGTTCTAGCTTTCTCATTTGTAAAATTTTAATTGGGTCTGAGTTTTAATAATAAAACCTTTATTCTGAAGGTTTTATTATATTTTTCAGAATAATAAGACTCCTAAGGTTAATGTTTTTAGTCTGATGTTATTGATTCAGTCCCATTAGTGTGAGGGAGAAGCCTTCTGTGGTATGATGCCACTAGGAACACAGAGGTACCACCTGTCAAGAAGGATTTAAGCCATTGTTGCGGTGACTGAGTGAGATGCCAGTACTCTAAGTTCCATGGGCAAACACGTGACCTTGAGAAATAGCAGAAAAGATTTTAACACATATTTATGTTAGATTAAATGGGTAACTGCCTGGGAATTTTATAGAGTATCCAAAATAGCAACTGTGGGTGAGTGTTATCAAATGATTAAGCATGGAAGTGAAGTACAATAACCATACTCTTTAAGGAGAAGCCCTTCCAGCTCTCTTCCCCACTTTGTGCCCTAATCTGGTGACAACATCTTAGAAAGCACTTGTGATGATATGAAG
Source organism: Homo sapiens (assembly GCF_000001405.40). Taxonomy (NCBI): domain Eukaryota; kingdom Metazoa; phylum Chordata; class Mammalia; order Primates; family Hominidae; genus Homo; species Homo sapiens. The sequence goes on along the minus strand of NC_000009.12, from coordinate 42,068,460 downwards.
AATAATGGGGCTGATCCAGAATCTAACTGATTTATTCCACAGTAATGGTTCTGTTTTGTCAGGGATTCTGTTGTTTTGTCAAATTTAAAATCAATATAGCACTTCAGTATCATTTTGTTGTTGTAATAGTGAAAATCCTCAGTGATTTCTTTAAGCTGCTCTGTCTTTTAAGAGAACCTCTACCACAGCCCCAAAGGGGACCCTGTCAGTGAAAGTCTGGTTTACCAGCCAAATCCTCAGATATCTCTCTAGTTCCCCATTGGCTGTGAGTTATTTGACCTTCTGAAACAGCTGCCCTAGAATTGTACAGATATCTTAAAAGGTATTAACTTTCATTTTTAAATCAGTGACATTGACAAATCAGAGAAGTGTGCTGGTCTAAGCAGTTTTGTTTCAAGCAGTATCCTCTGTTTTACTGCTATCCCAGATACTGATGAGCAGGGGTGTTTTTCTACACTGAAACTTTGGCTATAGTGATAAATTATCTCAATAGGAAGTATAATCCTCTATATAATTAGTGAAAGTTTTACTTAAACAAAAGTGAATATTCTAGTTTCTGATGAACATTCACTAGATAATGGTTTTCTTGTTTAGAGAGTGTATCTTTGTGTGCCTCTGTAGAAAATTCCTGTGAGCTGCTTTTTTTTCCTCTTTCATTGCGATCAATTTTTTAAACTGATTATTCTATTTTAGGTAATATTTGAGCAACTTTCTTTCAACTGTAGGCTTTTGAAAAATCAGTTTTTGTGGATTTTTAAATATTACAGTAAATGGAAATGCCTTTTTTATGGGAGCCTGTGCTGGGGCTTCACAGTCACACAGAGTTGCCTTTGAGAACAAGAATCAGTTATAAACTATGTATAAAGTTGGGTGATTTAACTCCTCAAAGTTCTAGCTTTCTCATTTATAAAATGAGCATAATTGTGTGAGGAAAAATAAGATTATCCACTTAATGAGCTTAACTCTGCGCTTGGCAGATAATAAGCTCCCATAAGACCTTTGTTGTTATATTTTTTCTTCTTATCTCTGTTGCAGCACTTTTCTATTATTTAAAACTTTTTCTATCAAGCAGTATTGTCTGTTATTCTTTCATATAGTTTTGTTCACTTATAGCATACTACGTCAATTTTCATAAACAAGATTGTATCTATATGGATACATGTAATAGAACATGAATATGTATCAAACACTATAAAATTTAAATTTATATATAAGGATGCTTATAAAATGACTCATATTGACTATATTCAAATTGATGAGTTTCTAGAAGGAAAAATAAAAATAGTAGGGAAAGCAAATAGAAAATTTTGTTTGGCTCCATCTTAGGAGTTCAAGGAGAGAGGCCTGACTAAAGTTTCTATTCAGAGATACAAAAATGTTTTAATACTTATACATCACAGTATATTATCAATGCAAAACCGCATAATCTCCTTTCCTCTTTCCCTCTTAATGGTGCTATGATATTCTCAAATTCTATGTATGACTTTTTTTTATAATTTGGTCTCAGAGAGGCTGAGTTTGGAGTTTCCTTTATTTTGTGGCAATAAAGATTTATTTATTCCTTCATTCCTGTAACCCTGAAAAAGAATTTTAGGCCCTTCTCACTAGGGTCTATCCTTATTTTCCTATGATACAAAGAGTATTTCAATTAGAGAAGAGACTAAACAAGAGGCATAAAAAATAGGAACCAAGTAAAAATTATTATTATTTGATCCTTGAAAACACACATAAGAAAATCACCTGGGCCAGCGTGGTGGCTCATGCCTGTAATCCCAGCACTTTGGGAGGTTGATCACCTGATGTCAGGAGTTTGAGACCAGCCTGGCCAACATGCTGAAACCCCATCTCTACTAAAAATACAAAAAAATTAGCCAGATGTGGTGGCAGGCGCCTGTAATCCCAGCTACTCGGAAGGCTGAGTCAGGAGAATCACTTGAACCCGGGAGGCAGAGGTTGTGGTGAGCCGAGATCATGCCACTGCTCTCTAACCTGGGCAACAAGAGTGAAACTCTGTCTCAAAAAAAAAAAAAAAAAAAAGATTCAACAGCTCACATTTTTTAATACTTTTTTTTGGAAATTAATTTAATAATCAGAAATACCTCCCTTTGTATAAGTTATCAGTTAAAATGAAAAGAAGCAAATACTGTTTATAATAGATTTAGAAGGCATAAAATACCACTGGCAGGCAGGAGAGGGGTAAGAAATGTACAAGCTACATGGGAAAAGAAAGGTTAAAACATTACTATGAGGTATATAAGGAGATCTGTGTAAATTCTCATTTATGGATATGAAGACTCAGTAATGTAAAGATGTTAATCCTCTCTAATTTAACCCATAATAAAATGATGTAATTCAAAATTTTACTTTGAAGAATGTTCATTCAAGAATAAACAAGGCAAGTGTACAGATGCCAGCAAGATGGTGAAATAGGACATTCGTCTGCAGAATCATCTATTTGAACCACTGTTGACATCTGAAAATACCACCGAAAGAGCTAAGTGAACTTAAAAGAAAATAGAAAAATAATTCAAAATAGCCAAAGCAATCCAAAGCAAAAAGAACAAAGCCAGAGGTATCACATTACCCAACTTCAAACTAAAAGGTTACAGTAACCTCAACAGTCTGGTACTGGTATTAAAACAGACACATAGAACAATGGAACAGAATAGAGAACCCAGGAATAAAGCTGCATACCTACAGCCATCTAATCTTTGACAAAGTCAACAAACATAAGCAATGGGGAAAGGACTATCTATTCAATAAATAGTGTTAAGATCACTGGTGAGCCATATGCAGAAGAATGAAGCTAGAACCCTACATTTTACCATATATGAAACTGAACTCAAGGTGGATCAAATATTTAAATGTAAGACCTCAAACTGTAAGAATCCTAGAAGAAAACCTATGGAACACCGTTCTGGACATTGGCCTTGGGAAAGGATTTATAAGTCCTAAAAGCAATTGCAGCAAAAACAAAAATTGACAAGTGGGATCCGGCTAGACTAAAGAGCTTCTGCACAGCAAAAGAAACTATCAACAAAGTAAACAGACAACGTACAGAAAGGGAGAAAATATTTGCAAACTATGCATCCAACAAAGGTTTAATATTCAAAATTTATGAGGAACTTAAGCAATTAGGCAAGCAAAAAGCAAACAACCCCACTTAAAAATGTACAAAATATATGAACAAACATTTCTCAAAAGAAGGCGTAAACATGGCCAATAAACATATGAGAAAGTGTTCCACATCACTTATCATCAGATCAGTGCAAATTAAACCCACAATAAGATACCATCTCATACCAGTCAGAATGGCTATTACTAAAAAGTCAAAAAACAACAAATGCTGGTGAGGCTGTGGAGAAAAGGGAACACTTACATACTGTTGGTGGGAATGTAAATTAGTTCAGCAACTGTGGAAAAAAATTTGGAGATTTCTCAAAGAACTTAAAAGAGAACTACCATTCAACCTAGCAATCCCATTACTGGGTAGATATCCAAAAGAAATCTAATCATTCTACCAAAAAGACACATGCACTTGTGTGTTCATCATGGCAGTATTCACAATAGCAAAGACATGGAATCAACCTTGGTGCTTATCAGTAGTGGATTGAATAAAGAAAATATGGTGTATATATATACACCATGGAATACTATGCAGCCATAAAAAATAATGAAATCATGTCCTTTGTAGCACCATGATGCAGTTGGGGGCCATTATCCCAAGTGAATTAACATAGGAACAGAAAATCAAATACTGCATGTTTGCACTTGTAAGTAGAAGCCAAACATTGATAACTCATGGATATAAGGATGGCAACAATAGACACTAGAGACTACTGGAAGGGAAAAGGAGGGAGTGGGACAGTGGTTGAAAAAGTAACTGTTTAGTTAGTATCTGGGTGAAGGGATCATTCATACCCCAACCTCAGCATTACACAATATACCAAGGTAACAAACCTGCATATGTACCTCCTGAATCTAAAATAAATGTTGGAAAAAACTAGAGATCCGGAACTGGGACTGCTCTGGTTTGAATGTGTCCCTCAAAATTTATGTTATGAGGGAGTAGGTTTCTTATAAAAGGACCCTACTTTTGTCTCTCTCTCACCCATGTGATGCCTTCTGCCTTGTTATGACACAGCAAGAAGGCCTTCACAGATGCCACCACCTTGATCTTGAGCATCCCAGTCTCCAGAACTGTTACAAATAAATTTCTGTTTATCTAAAAAAGGAAAAATTCAAAAATTAGTAAGTCATTAAATGAATAAAATGAGAAAATTAAAGATTGAAATTATACAAAAAACTAACAAATTCTGGAGCTGAGAAATGCATGAATTAAATGAAAATTGCAATAGAGAATGTCAACAGCAGAATCAATGAAGCAGAAGAAAGGCTCTGAACTCAAAGACAGTTTAGTGAAATTATACAATTGGAGAAAAAAGAATATAAAGTAATGAAGAATGCTTATGGAACTTACAGGAAAGCATCAAAAGAACAAAACTTAAAAGTATGGACACTGAAAAAGGAGAATAGAGGGACAAAGGTCTAGAAAGTTTAGTAAAGAAACAATAGGCTGGGTGTCATGGCTCATACCTATAATGTCAGCGCTTTGGGAGGCCGAGGTGGGAGAGTCGCTTGAGCCCAGGAGTTTGAGGTTGCAGTGAGCCATGATCATGCTATTGCACTCCAGCCTGGCTAATAGATCCAGTTTTTATTGTAAAGAAAGAGATATAGAGAGAGAGGAAACAGTAGCAGAAACAAGGAAGGAGGGAGGGAGCAAAGAAGAAAGGAAGACAGGAAGGAAGGAAAAAAGGCAGGCAGGAAGGCAGGCAGAAAAAGTTTTATCAATCTGGGGGAAAATTTACATTTTCATACACAGGAAGGTCAAAGGTCTCTAATCAGATTCAATCCAAGCAAGACTACACCAAGACATATTATTATCAAACTTTGAAAATTCAAGGACAAAAAGAGTATTCTGCAGCAAAAGAGCATCAAGACAAAAGAAGCATGTCACATATAAGGGAATTCCATTAATACTAGAAGCAGACATCACAGCAGAAACCTTACAGGCCAGGGAAGAGCAGGATGATATATTCAAGTGCTGAAAGGAAAAAAACAAAACATAACAAAAACTGTCAACCAAGAATACACAGCAAAGCTCTTCTACAGAAGGAAAAGAGAAAAGGACTTTTGCAGAGACACACACACACAAAGTCAAGAGTTCATTACTCTCAGAAGTGTCTTACAAGAAATGCTAAAGGAAGTTCTTCGGGCTGAAAGAAAAGGATGTTAATTAGTAACACAGAAACATAAGAAAGTTTGAAACTCACTAGTAAAAGTAAGTACAAAAAGTTTAAGTCAAAAGTAAGTACAAAAGTAAGTCAAATTTTAAAACTGTGGTGGTAGTTTTTAAGTAACATTTATTACAGTGGTTAAAACAAACTATTAAAAATAGTTAAAGCTGCAATAATTCATTAAGGGTTACACAATATAAAAAGCATCAAAAACATAAAGTGTGGGTGGGTAAAAATGTTGAATTTTTGTGTGTGATCACGGTTAAGTTGTATTCAAGTTAAAAAAAACTTGCTGCAACTATAAGATATTTTATGTCAGCCTCCTGGTAACCACAAAGCAAAAACCTGTACTAGATATACAGAAGATACAAAGTAAGGAATCAAACCATGCCACTATAGAAAATTGCCTAATCACAAAGGAAGATGGAAAGAGAAGGAAGGAACAAAGGAAAACAAAGCTAGAAAGAATGAACTAAATGGCTGTAGTCAGGAAACAAAGCCAGAAAAGAATGAACTAAATGACTGTAGTCAGTTCTTACCTGGCAACAATTACCTTAAATGTAAATAAATTAAACTATTCAATCAGAAGACATAGTGTGACTTAATGGATTATAAAAACCAGACCCAGCTCTGTGCTACACACAGGGAGCTCGCTTCACTTATAAGGACACACATAGACTGAAAGCAAAGGGATGGAAAAAAGATACTCTATGCAAAGGAAACCAATAAAAAGCAGAAGTAGCTGTACTTATACCAGATAAAATAGATTTTAAGTCCAGAACTGCCACAAGGGACAAAGTCAGTATGTAATGCTAAAGGGGGCTGGGCGCAGTGGCTCACACCTGTAATCCCAGCACTTTGAGAGGCCGAGGTGGGTGGATCATGAGGTCAGGAGTTCAAGACCAGCCTGACCAACATGGTGAAACCCCATCTCTACTAAAAAAATACAAAAAAATTAGTTGGGCATGGTGGCACGCCCCTGTAATCCCAGCTACTCAGGAGGCTGAGTCAAGAGAATCACTTGAACCCAGGAGGTGGAGGTTGCAGTGAGCTGAGATTGCACCACTGCACTCCAGCCTGGGCCACAGAGCAAGACTCCGTCTCAAAAAAAAAAGAAGGATAAAGGGGTCAGTTAACCAAGAGAATGTAACAGTTGTAAATATGTGTGCACCAAATGATGGAATATCTGAATATATAAGGCAAATACTAACAGATCTGAAGGGAGGGGAGGACTTAATAGGAGGGAAATTCTATATCCTATTTTCAGCAATAGACAGCTCATCCAGACAGAAAATCAGTAAGGAAAAATTAGACTTAAACTATATGTTAGACCAAATGGACCTACCAGACATAAACTGAACATTGCATCCAACAGCAGCAGAAGACACCTTTTTCAAAAACACACAGAGAACATTCTCCAGGATAGATGATATGTTAGGCCACAAAACAAGTCTTAATAAATTTAAGGAGATTGAAATCGTATCAGTTATACTTTCTGACCACAATGGTATGATTCTAGAAATCAGTAACTGAAGGAATTTTCAGAAAATTTGGCTGGGTGTGGTGGCTCACGCCTGTAATCCCAGCACTTTGGGAGGCCAAGGTGGGCAGATCACAAGATCAGGAGATCGAGACCATTCTGGACAACATGATGAAACCCCATCTCTTCTAAAATACAAAAATTAGCTGGGCATGGTGCTCGCCTGCTGTCCCAGCTACTCGGGAGGCTGAGGTAGGGGAATTGCTTGAGCCCAGGAGGTAGAGATTGCAGTGAGCCAAGCTCGTGCCACTGCACTGCAGCCTGGTGACAGAGCGAGACTGTCTCAAAAAAAAAAAAAAAAAAAAAGAAAAAGAAAATTCAGAAATACATGGAAATGAAACAACATGCTCCTGAACAACCAGTGGGTCAAAGAAGAAATTTAAAGGGAAATTTTAAAATGTCTTTAGACAAACAAAAATTGACCCATGCCATATCAAGACACATGGGATACAGCAAAAGCAATTCTAGGTTTATAGCAATAATGGCCTACATCAGCAAGGAAGAATGATATCAAATAAACAACCAAACATTACACCCCAAGGAACTAGAATAACAAGAACAAACTAAGCTCAAAGTTAAAGAAGGAAAGAAATAATAAAGATCAGAGCAGAAACAAATAAAATACAGACTAGAAAAACAATAAAAAAAATCCATAAAAGTCAGGTTTTAAAAAATATATAAATATATATAAAAATATAACATATAAACAAAATAGACAAATCTTTAAGAAAAAAGTCTCAAAATCAGAAATGAAAGAGGCAACATTACAACCAATATTACAGAAATACAAAGGATCTTAACAGACTACTATGAATAAGTATACCTCAACAAATTGGACAACCTAGAAGTGGATAAATTTCTGGACATATACAACCTGCCAAAACTGAACCATAAAAAAAGAAAATCTGAGCAAACCAATAATGAGCAATAAAATTGAATCAGTAGTAAAAAGCTCTAATTAAATAAAGACCTAGGCCCTGATGGCTTCACTGCTGAATTTTACCAGGCATTTAAAGAACTAATACTAATTATTCTCAAACACTGCCAAAAAATGGAAGAGAAGGGAATACTTTCAAACTCATTTTATAAAACCAGCATTACCCTGATACCAAACTCAGAAAGTACACTACAAAAAAAGACAATTATAGGCCAATATCCTCATGAGCATAAATGCAAAAACTCTATGAAATTTTAGCAAACCAAATTCAACAGCATATTAGAAAGATCATTCATGATAATCAAGTGAGATTTATCTGTGGGATGAATTGATGGTCCAATATAGGCAAATCTATAAATGTAACGTATCATGTTAATAGAACAAAGGACAAAAAACATATGATTATCTCAATGGACACAGCAGAAGCATTTGACAAAATGTCTAACAACCTTTTATTCTAAAATCTCTCAACATATTGGTTGTAAAGAGGACAATATAGCTCGACAAAATAAGGGTCACATATGACAAACCCTCAGCTAACATCCTATTCAGTGGTGAAAAGTTGAAAACTCTTCCTCTGAGATCCAAACAAGACAAGGATGCCCACTATCACCACTTCTTTCAACACAGTACTGAAAGTTCTATCCAGAACAATTAGACAAGAAAAAGAAGAAAAAAAATCCAAATTTGAAGAAAACAGAATTTAAATTGTCCCTCTTTGCAGATGACATGATCTTATATATAGAAAGCCCTAAAGACTTCAACAAAAAATTATTAGAACTAATGCATAAATTTCAGGCCAGGCATGATGGCTTATGCTTGTAATCTCAGCACTTTGGGAGGCCAAAGTAGGAAGATCACTTGACTCCAGTGGTTTGAGACCTGGGCAACATGGCAAGACCCCCATTTCTACAAAAAAATAAACAATGAGCTGGGCATGGTGGCATGTGCCTGTGGTCCCAGATACTCAGGAGGCTGAGGTGGGAGGATCACTTGAGCCTAGGAGGTTCAGGCGGCAGTGAGCTGTGATAGTGCCACTGCACTCCAGCCTGGATGACAGAACAAGACTCTCAAAAGAAAATAACCCCAAATAACTAATAAATAAATTCAATAAAGTTACAGTACAACATCAACAGAAAAATCAGTTATGTGGTCTATATACTAATAATGAAGTGTCTGAAAAAGAAATCAAGAAAATAATCCAATAAGATACTTACGAATAAATTTAACCAAGGTAGTGAAAGAGTTGTACACTGAGGTTTACAGAATTTTATAGTAGACTATAAAATATTGATGAAAGAACTTAAAGATGACAGGAATCGAAAGATATCCCCATGTTCATGGATTGGAAGAATTAATATTAAAATATTCATAATACCTAAGGTGATCTACAGATTCAGTGCATTACCTATGAAAATTCTAATGACATTTTCCACATAAATAGAGAAAATGATCCTAAAATTTGTGTGTAACCACAAAGGACCTCCAATAACCAAAGCAATCTTGAGCGTAAAGAACAAAGCTGGAGGTATCACACTATCTGACATCAAAATGTACTACAAAGCTGTAGCAATCAAAATAGCATGGTACTGACATAAAAAACAGACACATACATAGACCAATGGAACACAATAGAGAGCCCAGAACTAAATCCAGGCATTTATTGTCTGTTGATTTTTGACAGAGGTGCTAAGAATACACAATGAAGAAAGTTTAGTTTCTTCAGTAAATGGTATTGGGTAAGTGGGATATACATGCACAACAGAATGAAATTAGACCCTTATCTCACACTATATGCAAAAATCAACACAAAATGGATTAAAGAGTTAAACTTATGACCCATAACTGTGAAACTACTAAGAGAAAACACAGGGGAAAAGCTCCATGATATTGGTCTAGGAAATCATTTTCTGGATACAACCCCAAAAGCATTGGCAATAAAAGCAAAATTAGACAGATGAGGTTATTTCAAACTAATTTTCTGCACCACATAGGAAACAATCAGCAGAGTAAAAAGACAACCTATGGGATCGGAGGAAATATTTTCAAACAATACATCTGATAAAGGGTTAATATTTAAAATACATAGGCAACTCAAACATCTCAATAGCAAGAAAACAAATAACTGTGCTTTTTAAAAATGGGCAAAAGACCTGAAAAGACATTTCTCAAGAAAGATATATGCCTGGCCAACAGGTATATGAAAAAATGCTCAATATCACAAATCATCGGGGAAATGCAAGTTAGAACCACAATGAGATATCACCTCGTACTTGTTAGAATGGTTATTATCAAAAAGACAAAAGATAACAAGTGTCGATGAAGATGTGAAGAAAAGAGGATCCCTGTATACTGTTGGTGGCAATGTAAATTTGTATATCCATTATGGAAAGCAGTGGGGAGTTTCCTCAAAAAATCAAAAATAGAATTACCAAATGATTCAGCAATCCCACTATTGTGTATGTATCCAAAGGAAATTAAATCAGTATGTCTTTTAGATATCTGTACAACCATGTTCATTGCAGTATTATTCATAATAGCCAAGATTTGGAATCAACTGAAGTGTCCATCTGTGGATGAATGGATAAAGAAAATGTGGTGTACATACACAATGGAATGCTATTTGGCCATAAAATAAAAGAAATCCTATTTATTTGTGAGAACATAGATGAACCTGGAGGACATTATGTTCGGTGTAATAAGTCAGGCACAGAAAGACCAATACTACAGGATCCAGCTTATATGTGGAGTCTAAAAATGTTGAGCCCATAGAAGCAGAAGGTGGAATAGTTGTTACCAGGGACTAGCGAGTTTGGGAGTTGGGGAGATGTTGGTCAAAGGATACAAAATTTCAGTTATGTAGGAAGAATAAGTTCAAGAAATCTATCGCACAAAATGGTGACTATAGTTAATAACAAAGTACTGTGTTCTTGAAAATTGCTGAGAATAGATTTTTAGTTTTCTCACCACAAAAATAAGTATGTGAGGTAATGCATATTTAATTAGCTTGATGTACTCATTCAATTATGTATGCATGTTTCAAAACATCAAGTTGTACATAGTGCATACATATTTTATTCATCAAATTTAAAAAAATTAATTTTCATAAAAGGATAAGCAGTACAACTGGCAACAAGAAATTGAAAAAGGAGTTAGTCTTACCAATTAGAAAAATACCTAGAGGCTGGATGCGGTGGCTCAGGCCTGTAATTCCAGCACTTTGAGAGGCTGAGTTGGGCAGATCACCTGAGGTCAGGAGTTTGAGAGCAGACTAGCTAACGTGGTGAAACCCTGTCTCTACTAAAAATACAGAAATTAGCTGGGTGTGGTGGCGTGCTCCTGTAATTCCAGCTACTTGGTACGCTGAGGCAGGAGAATCTCTTGAACCCTGGAGGTGGAGGTTGCAGTGAGACAAGATTGCGCCACTGCACTCCAGCCTGAGTGACAGAGTGAGTGAGAGTCTGTCTCAAAAAAAAAAAAAAGTACATAATAAAGGTTGATTCTAGATTTTAGTATGCTTGATATTAATAGCAGTGGAAAAAATAGTATTCACTAACAAATTCAAATATATATGCTGATAAAAGATGTGGCATTTTAAATTAGTAAGAAAAAAATTAATAAATGGTACTGGGGAAGCTAGGTATCCCTCAGGAAAAAATTAATAAAACTGGACCATTACCCTATTCCTTGCGTCAAAGTAGATTGTAGATGAATTAAAGATTTTAAAGTAGCCACAGAAACAGTTCTAGAAGATTCTGGGAGAGGTTTGCATATATAATGTGGGAGCGGGCATGTATTTCTATGCAAGATGTAAAACCAAGACCACATTAAAGAGACTAATAAATGAAATTATTTGAAACTTACCAGAAGATATCAATTTATAAATGGGAAATAATATTTTAATATACATGACACAGTTTTTTTGTAAAGTGCTCTTACACATCAATGGATAAAGATTAAGAAAAGCAATGTAAAATTGAGAAGGATTGATAAGCATTCCACATGAAGAAAAAATAGTATATAAATTTATGAGATAATGCTTGGCGCGGTGGCTCACACCCGTAATCCCAGCACTTTGGAAGGCCGAGGTGGGCAGATCACGAGGTCAGGAGATCAAGACCATCCTGGCTAACCCGGTGAAACCCCACCTCTACTAAAAATACAAAAAATTAGCCAGGTGTGGTGGCGGGCGCCTGTAGTCCCAGCTACTCAGGAGGCTGAGGAAGGAGAATGCTGTGAACCCGGGAGGTGGAGCTTGCAGTGAGCCAAGATTGCGCCACTGCACTCCAGCCTGGGCGACAGAGCAAGACTCCGTCTCAAATAATAATAATAATAATAATAATAATAATAATAATAATAAAATTCATGAGATAATATTCAACCTTGTTTATAAGTTAAAGAAATGCAAATTAAAACAGCAGTGAGGTACTACTCAGTTTATTAGAACAACTAAAACATTTACTGAGGCTGTGTTGCTTAGGACATTACTTTCAACTATACTTTCATAGTTAATGCATTAAATTTAAAGTCTCTTAAAATTAAATAGTATGGAAACATGCAATATTATGGATATTATTGCTCAGCATAATGCTCAGGTTAAAAATAATCAGTTTTAAGAACAAATTTAAGTATGAAGACATTATGTATCTTGAGTGCTTACTGTGCACCAAACATGATTCTTTGTGCTTTGTATATATTAAAATCCTCGCAGAACTCTATGAGCTAGATACTAATATTCTTCCCAGATGAAAACAAGGAAAGCAAAAAGACAGGCTTTATTTATTTGCCCCAATTATAGAGCTAGTTAGTGGTAGCACAATAATTTGAACCCAAGTGGCCTGGCTGCAGAATCTTTACTCACAACCCCTCACCACATCTGGGAATGTTTTAGGTCTGTTTCAAGTGTGCACATGAAAAGGTAAAACTCAGATGATTCAATTTCAGGAACTGGTGCCTTTTTATGAATATGATTTCTTGAAGAACCATTTGGCACTATCTATAAAATTAAAGTTCCAAAAAATGATCAACTTTCAGTGTAGTGAATGGAGGTAATGCAAAAAGAGTGATGCTTTCAGTTTCTCTCAATGTATAGTTTACGTTAAGCAGCAATGCTACTTCTAGGAATTTATCCCACAGTCATAGTGTAATATATGCATATGTGCATGAAGAGATTAACTAACATTTTATGAATATAATGGTAAATATGTTAGTACAGTTCTCTTTCAGTGGTCATGGTACATTTATACTCTGGAATAGCATGCAGCCTTGAGAAATAATGAGGTAAACATACTTGCTGTGAATGAACTTCAAGATATTTTTCTAAAATCAAAGAATAAGGTAAGATATTCTCCCATTTGAAATTCCCACAATGAATATATGTATATATATATATATACTCATGTAAATATGAAATATTTCTAGAAGGACATATAAGAAAAATCATAGCATTTTTTCCCTCTGGGTAATGGGAATGGGATAAAAATATAAAATGGATGTAGATATGGTTTGAACTATGTGAATCGTATGGCTTTTCAATTAAAAACAAACTGAAATAAATGTAAAAAATAATAATAAGTAGTGATTTTAATGCAGTTCTTTTTCCCATTGAAATTTCTCCAGGATGAAAGCCAATCGCTAAAGCTCAGTATACTGATATAAAACCTGAAAGTGAACATCAAGACCTTATCTTGATGTGAGAGTGAAGGGCAGTGGCTGGGATGTGTGGGCATCAGTGTACTGGTAAGAAGAAAGACTTTCATGGGCTTTCAAATGCGAAGGAACAGCCTGGATGTCAGGAGGAGTCCCAGCTAGGGAGGTCATTTGGTATAGCACAGAAGGAGCTTATTAGATTAAAAAACAACAACAGCGGCTACAAAACTGTATCTCAAGTTAAATGTCATCCTAACTTTGTAACATTTATTAGTGGATGTAACCCGACAGAAATAAATAGCCTTCAAATTCTAGTTGTAATATTTATTTTAGTGGTGTTTTTTAAATTAATGAGTCTTTTTTTCCCATGTTTAATGTTGAATGAATGATACTTATTCATGTCCTGGGTCATCAGTCCTTGACCATCACGTGATGTGGTGCAGACAGCACCTGGCTAAGAGTAACTAACTGAGTGCTGTTTCTAAAATAGCCCCTAACAAACACCTGGCCAAGTACAAGGTGCTCAACACCTGTGAGCTTCCTCACCTTCGATTACAAAATGCAGGGTGGATGTGGAATCCAGTCACGCACTATAAGGCTGAACCTCGTGAATGTGCTGATATCTAAGTATCTTGACCTACAAAAACAGCAATTTCATATGATCAAGCTAATAAATATACTTTGACTTTCAGGTTTAAAATCACCCATTTCTGCAGCAAAACTAAAGGGAGGGCAACACCAGTTTTCCACAGGGGCAGCTGCAGTTCAGGCTAACAAGTTCCTATCTAAGTTCTCCTCATTTTTAAATTCACATGGTGTAACTATTTCTCATGCTAAGATTTTATGAGTGTGTGCAAACACACACACACACGCACAGAAGTGCTGCAACAAGCTACAATGAAGAAATCCCAAAGTAGACTGAACAATGGGTAATCTACAATAAGGAAGCAGAATGATGTAAAGCTTAATATTTTATTGTGCTCTAAAGTAGTATTGAAGTTCAAAGTAAGTTAGCTTTGCTCAGTCCTCCACTTTCTCATCAAACCTTTGTGTTGATATACTCCCAGAGTTCTCACAGGGGATCCATTTGGAAGGGGAAAATGCATCAATACAAGTCTGCCATGGTTTGGGTGGGTGTGCTGGGTAAACCTTGTGAAGAAAGGCAGCGCATCGCTGTCTCAAAATATATGGCTTTGCTGTTGGAGCAGCCTGCTCTGTCTGCGACTTTAATCCGGCTTTCTTCTAGGATGGCTTCCTTTTTGCATTTCAGCTGCTGACTCGGTTTCTAAGTTGCTGCTACTAGTCAGTCACTAGAGTTTTGCATCTTTACTCTCATGACCATTTCTCCAGTTCTTGCTTTCCTTTGGTGTCAGGTATCACCCCCAAACGTTTGTCATCTCATCACCTCTGAATTAGGTCCTTTGACCAAGAGTAAAGCCATGTGTTTGCCAACTGGTCTCCACCTCAGAAATATTTACTAATTTCTCTTCTGTCATGTGAATGACTTCTGAGATGGCTCCATATCCAGATGCCTTTCTGAATTACCATGAGATACAATGGCTTGTCTACTCTTTGCCTGCCAGTATTTGAAACTCAGTTATTTTCCATTCTATCTTACAATTATTCTATGCTGGCCTTTCCCCCAAATTATACATATGACATCAATTCATGACAAATCTAATTTTATATGCCACTGGCTAAAACATGTCATTTAGGCTATCTTTACATTCAGAATATTATTGCTCATTTCAGATTGTGAATTCCTACTATATGAGTCCCTTTATCAGAAGCATTTGAACCATCTTGCGTAGGGGCTGGGAACACTGAGGCTGAGACCTGTTGGGCTCCATTCCTAGGAGGTTAAGGTATTCTTAGTCACAGGATGAGACAGGAGGTCGGCGCAAGATACAGGTCACAAATACCTTGCTGATAAAACAGGATACGGTAAAGAAGCTGGCCAAATCCCACCAAAACCAAGAAGGCTATGAGAGTGACCTCTGGTCATCCTTATTGCTCAGTATAAGTTAATTATAATTCATTAGCATGCTAAAAGACACTTCCACCAGCGCCATGACAGTTTACAAATGCCATGGCAACGTCCAGAAGTTACGCTATGTGGTCTAAAGTGGGGAGGAACCCTCAGTTCTGGGAATTGCCTGCCCCTTTCTTGGAACACTCATGAATAATCCACCCCTTGTTTAGCATATAATAAAGAAATAACTATATTTATCTGAGCAGCCCATGCTGCTGCTCTGCCTCTGGAGTAGCCATTCTTTCATTCCTTTACTTTCTTAATAAACTTGCTTTCACTTTCTGGACTTGTCCCAATTTGTTTCTTGCACAAGGTCCAAGAACCCTTTTTTGGGGTCTGGATCGGGACCCCTTTCGGGTAACACTTTGTTTTATTTCCTCATATGGATAGATTCTTAAATCATCTCCACAATGAATATTTTCCTAATACTTTAAAATATAATATGGATAAGAATAAATATTAATAATGCTATATTCTTAATGACTCTCTTTTTGATTAAAACGTAATATCATATCTCGTTCCATCACTGCTGGATTACCTTACAGAGGTTTCTGCTTATAAAGAGACATGCATTTCTCAAGGAAAACTCTCCCTCATAAATAGCAGGACCTGAACAACATGGCTTCTCTCTCATCCGCGTTTCCATTTCCTGTCTAAATAGGCTTTGCATAAAATCCTTTGTTTATTGCGTTAGAAATATATTCTTCCTTTCGCAGATGTCCTTGTGGAATAACCTTTGGTGCTGTGGAAAAGATTCACGTGTCAAGACACTAGTTCTGAAGTAGCCGATTGGTGTCAAGCATGAGAATAAAAGATGGGCATTAAAAACATTAGCACTTAACCTCAGTCAGGATTTTGTCTGTGAAACAGGAAAAATAGAAGAGAAGTCAGATTTGATCTGCATTCTGAAAATGAGAATTTTTTTATATTTAAACTCCTCTTATTTTGTATTCCTTAATGTTCTTATTAATCATTCATATCAAATGGCTTGTCTTTCTTTCAGAGCCTTGAACATTTTAAAGACACCATGTCATTCTTTTTACAAGAGAGAGAAAAAATTACGCAGTTGAAAGAGTTCCCAAGGGAGCTATTGTGCTACACTCTGGCAAAAGTTTTATTAGCTAAACTTCTGACTGAAAGGAAAAATAAATTCAGGTTTAGGAACGGCTTCTATTTATTGTAAGGAAGTTTGCAAAAATTACTGAAAAATATCCCAAGAACACAATGTAAATTTACTCTGGTGGTATTTTTTCCATCCTTGCTTCTCCAAAATAATAAAAAAAGTTAAACGGCCAATAAATTTACATTAACAGTCAATTGTCTACCCTTGAATCAGAATGAATTCATTACTTCAGTAATTAATTAAGCAAGCTCAAATGAAAACTAGGTTCTCCTGAAGAGCTTGCATGTCAGTATTGTCAAGTCACAGTTAAAACATCTCTAAACAGAGAAATTAGCCCTATCACATCTCATTAATTTGTACTATGGGTTTCTTTTATTGTTCTATTTAGAATCTTAATACTAAGATTTTTTTTCTTCATCTGAGCTAAATTCCTTAAGCTATGACACAAAATCTTTTGCAAAAATTATTTCTGAAAGGAAACTGCATTTGTGTGCTGTGACTGGGCAGAGTAAGCTGTAGCTACCTCTGAGTTCAGGTTCAGGAATATGCATTTCTTATCCTTCCCAAATCTTTTTTCATGTTACCTGCTTTGGGCATTGTTTGGAGCTTCTGGTTGCCAGAGGTCCTGTAGGATCACATCTTAGATCAAGGCAGGCCTACCTTCCAGAGCTGCAGAACACTGGGTACTGAGCTGGTCATCCTCACCCTTTCTCTCTTCTCTTCTCTTCTCTTCTTTCCTCTCCTTCCTCTCATCTCCTCTATCCCTTCCCCTCTGTGGATCCTTACCCTCCAGCTCCTTGGGTTGTGGCACCAAAAACGTGGCTGGATCTGGTACCCAAGCTAATGTGGTAGAGGAAAATAATTAGTGAAAACCATCAGCACACTCCCTCTGTTCTGGCTTCTTTGTGCATTTTAACAGTGGAGTCTGGAAATAATAGTCCCACTTCAGCTATTTAACCCAAGACTGACTGGAATGCTAGGAATGTCAAATCAGGTAGGGCAGAATTTTGTCATCAGAGCAAGCAAATGTCAGGTGAACTGGAAGACAAAGCAGGACGTAGGTAAGAATGCAGATTCTGAGTCAAATCAGTTGGGTTCAAATACTGGCTTCATTTGCTAGCTGTATGAACTTGGACTAGCTGATTAACCACTTTGTACCTTGTTTCTTCATCTATATAGTAGGTGTTATTATAGAACATACATTATAGGATTATTGTGAAAATGAAAACAAAATAATCTATAAATTAGTGATAGATCGGAGGTCATCAGTAAATTGATGAATGGATAAGAGTAGATGCCTGATTGCAGAGGACTGAGGAGAGGAAATGAGTTAATGAAAAGGAGAGAGCAAATGATGAATACTTTCTGTAGAAGTCGGGATGCTTAGAAAAAGAGAGTGGGACAGCAGTAGCAAGAGGGACATCGGGCAGGAGACAGTGTGAAGTGGAAGCTAGAGCGACTAGAGCCTGGTCACTGCCAGGGATGCTGGTGGAACTCCCATGCCCATCAACAGCTTGGAGACAGAAGAAACTCACAGAGTAGCTGAGGGGCAACGTCCCAGAGGGATGGCAGGGAAAAGGATCCAGAACACAGAAGACACTGAAAAACAGTGATGTTTTCTGAAACAGGAGGAAAATAGCTAATTATATACGCTTTATTTTAAATTTCTGAAAGGGAGTTTATAGCTGTTTCTTATCTACTTGATGTTCAGAAGATTCAAGCTCTGTGATATGAGTGATGAAGGATCAGGTGCTGTGGTTCATACCTGTAATCCCAACACTTTGGTAGGCTGAGGCAGGCAGATCCCTTGAGTGCAGGAGTCTGAGACCAGCCTGGGCAACACAGTGAGACCCCTGTCTCTACAAAAAAATACAAAAATTACCTAGTTGTAGTGGTGTGTGCCTGTAGTCCCAACTACTCGGAAAACTAAGGAAGATTGCTTGAGTCTGGAAGATCGAGGCTGCAATGAGCTGTGATCGAGCCAGTGCACTCCAGCCTGGGTGACAAAGCAAGAGCCTGTCTCAAAAACAAACAAACAAACAAAAAAGTGATAAGGGAAAAGTGGAATTAAGGTAGGAAATGTTTATGTGTGTGTAGTAGAGGATGTGGAATGGAAAAAGATTTTGACAGGGAACAACAAGAGTCCCTAGTAATAGTACATTTCTACACTGGAAACACCTGCCCAGACCACTTAAATCCGAACCTCAAGAGAGTAGGAACTAAGCAGTATGTTAAAGAATCCACCTGATGATTCCCATATTCATTCAAGGCTAAGGACCATTGTCCTCGTAGCATACAGACCCCAGGATGGAGACCATGAATAGGGACCCCACCCGCACAGCTGGGGGGTTTTCCCCAGCAATAGTCAGCTGTTTGCAGAACCTGTGAAGGCAACTGAGAAGACTGACCTAGAATTAGCATCTGCAGGTATGCCGACATTGAGGATTTGGCTACATAAATGCTAACAAATTGGCAAAAGAGTCTGGAAAAAAAGGTACCATGCTGTTTGGGCAATGTGGAGAGGACAGTTAGATCAAGAGAGGCTGATAATGAAAATCAGAAAGAGTCAGCATGTCAAAGAAGCTATAGTGTGGGAGTGAGAGATCTGGGAATATCTAGAGGTGTACAGTCAACACAGAGTTTAAATAAGATTTCAAAGATGGTGCCCCCATCCCAGGTGGTGATGAGGTTGGCCATGGGAATGAGGCTGAAGTGAAGCAGCTGGAGCTCATTTGCATCAGGGAACTTGAAGTCAAAGGATCTTATTGGTATTCCTCAAGGATGTTCATATTGTGGCTTTGGGATAGAGGAGATGGTGATAAGTGTAAGGGAATGACTCGGAGTTTAGAAAATGAATTACAATGGCCAGGAAGGGTAGAGGGAGCTATAGTCAAATGATATTTAAGAGAAGAGATAACTTTCTCATTGTGTTAGTTCAGTTACTTTTGTGAGGAGGTGCAATGTTATGAAATCAAAGGAGATTGGTGAAAATGTATCCAGACCCCACCACAAATAAGATGAGGGGAAATGAGGAAACTGCATTCCTGAGTGTTACAAGGGCAGGGGTGTCCAAAAGGAAGACCTGAGTTTTAATCAAGGTGTAGATCAGTGTCTGACACCCAATATAACTGAGTATTTATTGTGTACCAGGTGAGATTTTTAGAATTTTAGCTGCATTCTATTATTTACTTTTTCATCATTAACTTGGGATGAAGAAATACAACTTTAGAGAGGCTCAGTAATGAGCTCATGTCACACAAGCAGAGCCTGTACCAGAAACCTTGGGCTGCCCACCTGGGGAGCCAGTCTCAATTTCTAGGCTACACCAGAATATTCTCAGATAAGATTAAAGTAGTCTTTTTTCTTCCTTCTTTCCTCCCCTCAACCTCATCCCCCTTCCCTCTCTCCTTTCTTTTTCCTTTCCCTCCCTTCCCTTCCCCTCCCCTCCTTTTCCCTTCCCTTCTTTATGAGGGTCAAAGAGTGCACAGAAAAAAAACTGTGGGGAAGGAAGAAGAGTAGTGGGGAGTGCATGGGCGGATGGGAGTGTAGAGAGCCCAGAAAAGGACAGATTGATCTGAGGATCAACGGCATACGATTTGAAGACATGTCCGGGGATGATAGGGATGAGAGGCCTGGGGGAATGGCTGCTCTCGGGTCTCTGATTGGAATTCTGGAGTGATGTGGTTTTGCTGCCATCCCAGCCCAGAACGTGTCTCTCTTCAGGGTTCCACACAGAAACATTAATCCCTAACTGTTTGGCACGCTGTGGATTCTATGGATTCTGTCTCCCTGGTGGGAGTGAGGGCGATGATCAGGCACAGCTGTTCCCCCTCAGGTTTGGAATTTATCAGTGAGGACGAATTTAGTGCTGGGCAAAATGCATTTCCTGCCTTTTAAAGGAATATGGATTTGCTCAGCTGAGGACTCCAGGGCACTTTCATGCAGAAGGGGCAGGAGACTTAGTTCCAGGCCCAAGTTCTTTTCCCTCTGAGTCATAGGAACCCCCTCCTCCTTTCTAGTCCCTCTGGCATTTTGTCCTCTAAAGAAATCTGAACCCAAGTGGTTGGTCCTAAAACACTATCACAAACAGAGAACCAACCAAGAGAGGGAGAAAGGATGAAAAGGAGATGCAGGTGAGAGGGGCGAGGGGCAGGGTGCTGGTGCAGTTCACACCAGAAGGAAGGAAGGAAGGAAGGAAGGAAGGGAGGAAGGGGCAGAAGGGGGGAGGGGGGAAGGGGGAGGGTGAAGGGAGGAGTGGGAGAGGGTAGTGGGGGAGGGAGGGAGGGAGGGAGGGAAGGAAGGGAAGGAAGGAAGTCTGAATGTTTTCATCTCACCCCACCCTTCTCCAGGCTGGAGGCTGCAGAACTCGACTAGACTCATTTCTTTCTATTTATAATTTGCTATGTCATTTTAAAATTTAATTTTTAATTTATCTTCCCATTTAAACTTAATTTGGGATTGAATTTGCTTTGGTTTTGCTTTCTGCTTTTTTCCTCCTGATTTTAGCTTTAGTAACCACTTACTTCTTATTATTGACATTTTACTTTGTATGCTGAAGGCTAATTTTCTACCTTCATTCAAAGTCTGAACCCTGCAGCGATGCCAAATAATACGGAGAAGTCTGATTGTCCTTTATAAAAACAGCAAAACTTTTTAAGTTAAATCACATTCACCTTGAAAGAAATCATGTGCTCAATAAACCCTGAGAACTGCGGCCCCAGGGACTCACCGTGCCCACATTTTAGTTGTATTTTCACATGCAGATTAATGAATGTGACTAACATCTCATAACTCGTATTTTAAAATGTAATACAGTATTTAATATACATTGCATAGGAAGACTGAACCGTGGCTTACGTTGATGAGTACTGTGAGAAACAAATTCTACATTGGGG
Organism: Homo sapiens; assembly: GCF_000001405.40. Lineage (NCBI taxonomy): Eukaryota > Metazoa > Chordata > Mammalia > Primates > Hominidae > Homo > Homo sapiens. The sequence goes on along the minus strand of NC_000009.12, from coordinate 42,046,987 downwards.
TGAAAATGAATAAAATTAGAAGTTGGGACTGAGAAGGACTGCAAGCTGCTGTGAGCAAGTGAACAGGAAACTGACCCTCTGCAGACTTGAGTAGGACCAGACACAACTCTTCTAGAAAGACAGAGTAGGAAAACATCTTCCTTTTTCAAAGTGTACGTAGTTAGAGCCCCCCACCCAATGCATTTTCTTCCATTATTACCTATTTTTTAATATTCTATTTTTCAATCTAATTTCCCTTTTCCAGAGTGGAAAAACAACATTTAACTCTGGGAGAATTTTAGTGTAATTTTGAAATCTGTTAAGCTTGCTGAAAGTTAAAAAGAAGGGAACATATTTTAAAATTTACATTTTGCTGCGTGGTTTCTGTGGTATGTGTAGGCCTGTTGGCTATGAAACACCCAGCTGCTATCACCTTTCAAACTCCTTTGTGAATTTATTAGAGCAAGACCCAAGAAACAAAAACAAAACCTTGTCTTCCTTATTTTCTTTCAACCTTGCTTCATCCCAAAGTGTACTTGAAATGGAAATCATTTGAATTTTCCACAGTGCATTATGTTTACTGATATCTATACATCTTCCCTCAGATAAGATCCTAGGAGTAATCACCATTACCTCCATTTTGCAAATGAAGATGGGAAATTCAAGGGGGATGAGTGATTTACATCATACTTGGAATTGTGACAGGTCTTGAACTCTGGTTTATTTAGATCTTCAAGTTAAAAACCCTTCCCCCCAACCCTGCCTCACCACAGAATCCAGCACTGCCTCCCTCAGTTTATAAGTAGGTGACATGTGGACAGAAAGATTCTGGAAACTCCTGGTTTCTCAGGGTGGCAGGATTTTCTACTGGAAGTTTCTCACAGGCCGGTCCTTGTGTGGTTTGCAAAGTGAGCCCACAGCACTGACTGTGGGGAGGAAGACGGGGACAACAGCTCTGTGGGAAATGAAAGAAGCAGAGAATTCTGACTGTCCTCCATCTACCCCATGGCTGTCCTGCAGCTGCAGGACTCTGTTGGACAGTTCCAGTGGCCCCTGTTGTTCTCCCAGTTGCTCCAACTTGGAAGACGGAATCCCAGAGGACAGGTTGCTATTGGGCCTCTAAGCTCCTCACAGCACTGAGGACCTACAGAAAGTTCAGTGACAGGAAAGTCTGAGCCCCACCGAGATGATATTAAAGATGCAGATTGCTATTCTGTGTTTAACTGAATCTTCAAGGTGTGAATGTCAAGCTGAAAATGACATGCCAATATTAAGACATTAGACCAACTCAGTTTGTGATTTTAAAAATTATACCATATTTTGTTTATCCATTCCACTCATCAGTGGACATTTGGGTTATTTCCACATCTTGGCTATTGTGGATAATGCTGCAGTGAACATAGGAGGGCCAATATTTCTTTAACATCTTCATTTTATATTGGGGGGGTGTATATACCCGAAAGTAAGATTGCTGGATCATATGATAGTTCTATTTTTAATCTTTTGAGTATTTGCCATAATGTTTTCCATTGCAGCTGCACCATTTACATTCCCATCAATGGTGCAAAAGGGGTTCCTTTTTTTCACATCCTTGCCAACACTTGCTATCTCTTTCGAAATAAATTTCAGTTAAACAAGTTCTAGCGATCTGCTGTACAAAACTGTGCCTATAGTTAATGATACTGTATTGTTTAAGATGATAGATTTCATGTTGAGTTTCTTACAATAAAAATAATTATGCCATAAAATATGCATAAGACTTTTTCAATGAATGTAATACTCAAAATCTGCAATGGAAATGCTTCTTAGCAACAAGGGACCAATAGGAGGATTATATCCTTTCATTCTTCAGCTATACTTAAAGTGGGTATTTAGAGTTGAAAAATAATCAGTGTATTTTCACTGTTTTTATTTGGAGTCACTACACAAACAGCTATAAAATTTTGAAGAAAAATAGGCTTATGCAGAAGTATAGAGAGGAAAGATTACATACATCCACAGACCTGACTCCTAGCAAGCGCAACTTGTAAAGTATGAAACAGCTTATATGTTACGAGTGTAATTATAAATTGGCAAAATGTCCTTTTTATCACAGTCCAGTACATTTTTATTGCTTTCAGCTTGCTCAAGGTTTTATATTGCTCAGGATTTTTCTCTGAAATGTACTTGGAGGAGAGAGCTATACATTGTAAAGCCATACACTATCTTAGAAACCCTTACCTCCTGAACCACTTCTTCTGGCACAGGCTTTATCCTTTTCCTTTTCTTGTTAAGTCCACAGAACCATCTCAGGGCAAAATGGTGAAGTGGGCCAACGTAGTCTTTTCTAGTTCTCTGTGTGGTTCACCCATTCACCGATCTGAATTTCTTCGGACCCCGTCTGAGTCGGTTGTCCTCAGGAGTCGTGTAAACTCTCTGGGCCCCAGCCTGTGCGCTCCTTGTTTCCTAGCCCAGGGAGTGCCGGTGTTCTGGTTTAATAAACATCCTGGACAAATGAATGAAAAAGGCACTAACTGATAAGAATCCCCATAAAAGGCTATTTAAACTTTAATAATGAACTTTAAAAGGCTTGTAGGCCCAAAACAATGAGTATTTTGATGGTGACAACTCAGATGTGAGAAATGGAGGTGATACCTTGAGAGAAAGTGACTGCAGTAGTCCCCAAATCCCTGGTGGATGCCAGAAACTGCAAACAGTGCTGAACCCTATATGTACTATGTTTTTTTCTTATACATACACACCTGTGATGAAGTTGCTTTTATAAATGAGGCACAGAGATTAACAACAAGAACCACTAATAAAATAGAAAATTGTAGCAATATGCCAGCATCACTACTTGTGCACTTTGGAGCCGTTGTTGATTGAAATAAGAGTGATTTGAACACAAGCACTGTGATACCATGACAACCCACCTGATAACCCAGAGGGCTACTTAAGTGACTGATAGGTGGGTTGCTTATAGGGCATGGATATGCTGGACAAAGGGATGATTCACGTCCCATGCAGGACAGAGCAGGGTGACACGTGTTTTCATCACATTACTCAGGATAGTGAGCAATTTAAAACTTATGAATTGCTTATTTCTGAAATTTTCTATTTAATATTTTCAGGCTGTGATTAACCACAGGTAATTGAAACTATGGAAAGCGAGCGAAACTGCAGATAAGGGGAGACGACTGTATTTCTGATGTACTTCGAATTATACTTTAAAATTTGTCTATAGAAAATTGTTTGTGTTTATTCTTACAGACCTGTGGAACCAATTTTTAAATCTCCTAGGCAGGCTAAAATAATTGCTTTTGCTATCTCATTTTTTATAAACATTTATTTGTGAGATAAATCTTTACTTTTATCTTACAAATAAAAAAGATAAAGAGATAAAGAATATAATAAAATATATTTGCACTTCTAAAATTTGTATTATTAAGCTTTAAATAAAATACAGGAAAATAGTTCTACTATACTAAACTAAGGAATTTTCTTCTAAGCCTCAAATCTAAAAATCTATAAACTAATCTGAAAGAAAAGTAATGAAAATCAGGGCCAGGTACAGTGGCTCATGCCTGTAATCGCAGCACTTTGGGAGGCCAAGGCAGGTGGATCATCTGAACTTAGTAGTTCCAGACCAGCCTGGCCAACATGGTGAAACCCAGTCTCTACTAAAAATACAAAAATTAGCTGGGCTTGGTGGCAGGCATCTATAATCCCAGCTACTCGGGAGGCTAAGGCAGGAGAATCTCTTGAACCCAGGAGGCGGAGGTTGCAGTGAGCTGAGATCCCACCACTGCACTCCAACCTGGGCAAAGAGTGAGACTGTCTCAAAAAAAAAAAAAAAAGAATAAAAGAAAATATCAATATTTCTATATAAACTTGGGAATCATGCATTTCAGACAAATTTGGGTGAAGTTGATTATGGTTGTCATGACAATGAAATACTGACCATCTCTGAGCAAAGGGCTTAAGGAAGTATGTGGGAAGTGCTCAAAAACATAAGCTATGATGATGATGATGATGATGATGATTTGAATTTGAGAATATAATCCCATTTTCTTTGGGCTATTCAAAAACTAGCAAAAAGTCAATTAGTTAAAAAAATTTCATTTCAGAAATTAGTTTCTGTGGCCTAGAGGAAAAATACACTGTGTATTCTCATCAATCACTGATTTGAATGGACACTTAAAATACACCTCCATGTGCAGGTAAAAAGAAGTTACTCAATGGTGAGCAACCTTGTGGACTAGAAATACAGTCATCCCTGGATATCTGCGGGAGATTCATTCCAGGAGCCCCCCACCCCCAAATATACCAACGTTCATGGATGCCCAAGTCCCTTATATAAAATGGTGTAGTTTTGTATGTAACCTTTGTACAGCCTCCTGTATACTTAAATCATCTCCAGATTACTAATAATACGATGCAAATGCTGTAAAAATAGTCGTTATACTATATTGTTTAAAGAATAATGGCAAGAAAAAAATGGTTGTGCATGTTCAACAAAGTCACAGCCATCCATTTTTTCCCCACTATTCTTAATCACAGTTGGATTCATGAGTGCAGAACCCATGGATATGGAGGGCTGCTGAGTGTACTATATCCCTAGAAAGTTATTCTGAAATAGAGATAAGTAAGCGTAAATCTTACTCATATTTACAGGGTTGCAGCATTGTTTATAAGAGCGAAAATTGACAACTCTCTAATATCTAGAGGTTTATCTATCTAGAACAGGAAGATCATTTTAAATATATACCATCCAAAACTATGCAGATCTTTTTTTTATATATACTTCAAGTTCTAGGGTACATGTGTACAACGTAGCAGGTTTGTTACATATGTATACATGTGCCATGTTGGTGTGCTGCACCCATTAACTCCTCATTTACATCAGGTATATCTCCTAATGCTATCCCTCCTCCCACCACCCCACGACAGGCCCCAGTGTGTGATGTTCCCCATCCTGTGTCCAAGTGTTCTCATTGTTCAATTCCCACCTATGAGTGAGAACATGTGGTGTTTGCTTTTCTGTCCTTGCTATAGTTTGCTCAGAATGATGGTTTCCAGCTTCATCCATGTCCCTACAAAGGACATGAACTCATCATTTTTTATGGCTGCATTGTATTCCATGGTGTATATGTGCCACATTTTCTTAATCCATTCTGTCATTGATGGACATTTGGGTTGGTTCCAAGTCTTTGCTATTGCAGATAGTGTCGCAATAAACACACGTGCATGTGTCTTTATAGCAGCATGATTTATAATCCTCTGGGTATATACCCAGTAATGGGATGACTGGGTCAAATGGTATTTCTGGTTCTAGATCCTTGAGGAATTGCCACACTGTCTTCCACAATGGTTGAACTAGTTTACAGTCCCACCAACAGTGCAAAAGTGGTCCTATTTCTCCACATCCTCTCCAGCACCTGTTGTTTCCTGACTTTTTAATGATCACCATTCTAACTGGCGTGAGATGGTATCTCATTGTGGTTTTGATTTGCATTTCTCTGATGGCCAGTGATGATGGGCATTTTTTCATGTGTCTGTTGGCTGCATAAATGTCTTCTTTTGAGAAGTGTCTGTTCATATCCTTTGCCCACTTTCTGATGGGGTTGTTTGATTCTTTCTTGTAAATTTGTTTAAATTCTTTGTAGATTCTGGATATTAGCCCTTTGTCAGATGGGTAGATTGCAAAAATTTTCTCCCATGTTGTAGGTTGCCTGTTCACTCTGATGGTAGTTTCTTTTACTATGCAGAAGCTCTTTAGTTTAATTAGATCCCATTTGTCAATTTTGGCTTTAGTTGCCATTGCTTTTGGTGTTTTAGACATGAAGTCCTTGCCCACGCGTATGTCCTGAGTGGTATTGCCTAGGTTTTCTTCTAAGGTTTTTATGGTTTTAGGTCTAACATTTAAGTCTTTAATCCATCTTGCATTAATTTTTATATAAGATGTAAGGAAGGGATCCAGTTTCAGCTTTCTACATATGGCTAGCCAGTTTTCCCAGCACCATTTATTAAATAGGGAATCCTTTCCCCATTTCTTGTTTTTGTCAGGTATGTCAAAGATCAGATGGTTGTAGATATGCGGCATTATTCCTGAGGGCTCTGTTCTGTTCCATTGGTCTATATCTCTGTTTTGGTACCAGTACCATGCTGTTTTGGTTACTGTAGCCTTGTAGTATAGTTTGAAGTCAGGTAGCGTGATGCCTCCAGCTTTGTTCTTTTGGCTTAGTATTGTCTTATCAATGAGGGCTCTTCTTTGGTTCCAGATGAACTTTAAAGTAGTTTTTTCCAATTCTGTGAAGAAAGTCATTGGTAGCTTGATGGGGATGGCATTGAATCTATAAATTACCTTGGGCAGTATGGCCATTTTCACAATATTGATTCTTCTTATCCATGAGCATGGAATGTTCTTCCATTTGTTTGTGTCCTCTTTTATTTGGTTGAGCAGTGGTTTGTAGTTCTCCTTGAAGAGGTCCTTCACATCCCTTGTAAGTTGGATTCCTAGGTATTTTATTCTCTTTGAAGCAATTGTGAATGGGAGTTCACTCATGATTTGGCTCTCTGTTTGTCTGTTATTGGTGTATAAGAATGCTTGTGATTTTTGTACATTGATTTTGTATCCTGAGACTTTGCTGAAGTTGTTTATCAGCTTAAGGAGATTTTGGGCTGAGACAATGGGGTTTTCTAAATATACAATCATGTCATCTGCAAACAGGGACAATTTGACTTCCTCTTTTCCTAACTGAATACTCTTTATTTCTTTCTCCTGCCTGATTGCCCTGGCCAGAACTTCCAACACTATGTTGAATAGGAGTGGTGAGAGAGGGCATCCCTGTCTTATGCCAGTTTTCAAAGGGAATGCTTCCAGTTTTTGCCCATCCAGTATGATATTGGCTGTGTGTTTGTCATAAATAGCTCTTATTATTTTGAGATAGGTCCCATCAATACGTAATTTATTGAGCGTTTTAGCATGAAGGTTGTTGAATTTTGTCAAAGGCCTTTTCTGCATCTATTGAGAGAATCATGAGGTTTTTGTCATTGGTTCTGTTTATATGCTGGATTATGTTTATTGATTTGTGTATGTTGAATCAGCCTTGCATCCCAGGGATGAGGCCCACTTGATCATGATGTATAAGCTTTTTGATGTGTTGCTGGATTTGGTTTGCCAGTATTTTATTGAGGATATTTGCAGCGATGTTCATCACGGTTATTGGTCTAAAATTCTCTTTTTTTGTTGTGTCTCTGCCAGGCATTGGTATCAGAATGATGCTGGCCTCATGAAATGAGTTAGGGAGGATTCCCTCTTTTTCTGTTGATTGGAATAGTTTCAGAAGGAATGGTATCAGCTCCTCCTTATACCTCTGGAAGAATTTGGCTGTGAATCTGTCTGGTCCTGGACTTGTTTTGGTTGGTAGGCTATTAATTATTGCCTCAATTTTAGAGCCTGTTATTAGTCTATTCAGGGATTCAACTTCTTCCTGGTTTAGTCTTGGGAGGATGTATGTGTTGAGGAATTTATCCATTTCTTCTAGATTTTCTAGTTTATTGGCATAGAGGTGTTTATAGTATTCTCTGATGGTAGTTTGTATCTCTGTGGGATTGGCGGTGATACCCCCTTTATCATTTTTATTGCATCTATTTGATTCTTCTCTCTTTTCTTCTTTATTAGTTTTGCTACCGGTCTGTCAATTTTGTTGATCTTTTCCAAAAACCAGTTCTTGGATTCATTGATTTTTTGAAGGATTTTTTTGTGTCTCCATCTCCTTCAGTTCTGCTCTGATCTTAGTTATTTCTTGCCTTCTGCTAGCTTTTGAATGTGTTTGCTCTTGCTTCTCTGGTTGTTTCAATTGTGATGTTAGGGTGTCAATTTTAGATCTTTCCTGCTTTCTTTTGTGGGCATTTAGTGCTATAAATTTCCCTCTACACACTGCTTTAAATGTGTCCCAGAGATTCTGGTATTTTGTGTCTTTGTTCTCATTGGTGTCAAAGAACATCTTTATTCCTTCATTTCTCAATGTACCCAGTAGTCATTCAGGAGCAGATTGTTCAGTTTCCATGCAGTTGAGCGGTTTTCAGTGAGTTTCTTAATCCTGAGTTCTAGTTTGATTGCACTTTTACATTTGCTGAGGAGTACTTTACTTCAAACTATCTGGTCAGTTTTGGAATAAGTGCGATGTGGTGCTGAGAACAATATATTCTATTGATTTGGGGTGGAGAGTTCTGTAGATGTCTATTAGGTCTGCTTGGTGCAGAGCTGAGTTCAATTCCTGGATATCCTTTTTAACTTTCTGTCTTGTTGATCTGTCTAATGTTGACAGTGGTGTGTTAAAGTCTCCCATTATTATTGTGTGGGAGTCTAAGTCTCTGTAAGTCTCTAAGGACTTGCTTTATGAATCTGGGTGCTCCTGTATTGGGTGCATATATGTTTAGGATAGTTAGCTGTTCTTGTTGAATTGGTCCCTTTACCGTTATGTAATGGCCTTCTTTGTCTCTTTTGATCTTTGTTGGTTTAAAGTCTGTTTTATCTGAGACTAGGATTGCAACCCCTGCTTTTTTTTTATTTTCCATTGCTTGGCAGATCTTCCTCCATCCCTTTATTTTGAGCCTATGTGTGTCTCTGCAGGTGAGATGGGTTTCCTGAATACAGCACACTGATGAGTCTTGACTCTTTATCCAATTTGCCAGTCTGTGTCTTTTAATTGGAGCATTTAGCCCATTTACATTTATGGTTAATATTGTTATGTGTGAATTTGATCCTATCATTATGATGTTAGCTGGTTATTTTGCTCGTTAGTTGATGCAGTTTCTTCCTGGCATCAATGGTCTTAAAAATTTGGCATATTTTTGCAGTGGCTGGTACCAGTTGTTCCTTTCCATGTTTAGTGCTTCCTTCAGGAGCTCTTGTAAGGCAGGTCTGGTGGTGACAAAATCTCTCAGCATTTGCTTGTCTGTAAAGGATTTTATTTCTCCCTCACTTATGAAGCTTAGTTTGGCTGGTTATGAAATTCTGGGTTGAAAATTCTTTTCTTTCAGAATGTTGAATATTGGCCCCCACCTCTTCTGGCTTGTAGAGTTTCTGCCAAGAGATCCGCTGTTAGTCTGATGGGCTTCCCTTTGTGGGTAACCCGACCTTTCTCTCTGACTGCCCTTAATATTTTTTCCTTCATTTCAAATTTGGTGAATCTGACAATTATGTGTCTTGGATTTGGTCTTCTCGAGGAGTATCTTTGTGGCATTCTCTGTATTTCTTGAATTTGAATGTTGGTCTGCCTTGCTAGGTTGGGGAAGTTCTCCTGGATAATATCCTGCAGAGTGTTTTCCACCTTGGTTCCTTTCTCCCTGTCACTTTCAGGTACACCAATCAGACGTAGATTTGGTCTTTTCACATAGTCCCATATTTCTTGGAGGCTTTGTTCATTTCTTTTTACTCTTTTTTCTCTAAACTTCTCTTCTTGCTTCATTTCATTCATTTGGTCTTCAGTCACTGATACCCTTTCTTCCAGTTGATCAAATCAGCTACTGAAGCTCGTACATGCGTCATGTGGTTCTTTTGCCATGGTTTCTGCTCCATCAGGTCATTTAAGGACTTCTCTACACTGTTTATTCTAGTTAGCCATTCGTGTAATCTTTTTTGAAGGTTTTTAGCTTCTTTGCAGTGGGTTCGAACATCCTCCTTTAGCTCAGAGAAGTTTGTTATTATCGATCATCTGAAGCCTTCTTTTTTCTTTTTTCTTTTTTTTTTTAATTATACTTTAAGTTTTAGGGTACATGTGCACAGATCATCTGAAACCTTCTTCTCTCAACTCATCAAAGTCATTCTCCGTCCCGCTTTGTTCCATTGCTGATGAGGAGCTGCATTCCTTTGAAGGAGAAGAGGTGCTCTGATTTTTAGAATTTTCAGCTTTTCTGTTCTGGTTTCTCCCCTTCTTTGTGGTTTTATCTACCTTTGGCCTTTGATGATGGTGACGTACAGATGGGGTTTTGGTGTGGATGTCCTTTCTGTTTGTTAGTTTTTCTTCTAACAGTCAGGACCCTCAGCTGCAGGTCTGTTGGAGTTTGCTGGAGGTCCAGTCCAGACCCTGTTTGCCTGGGTATCACCAGCAGAGGCTGCACAACCGCAAATATTGCAGAACAGCAAATGTTGCTGCCTGGTCGTTCCTATGGAAGCTTCGTCTCAGAGGGACACCCTGCCGTATGAGGTGTCAGTCTGCCCCTACTTGGAGGTGCCTCCCAGTTAGGCTACTCGGGGGTCAGGGACCCACTTGTGGAGGCAGTCTGTACATTCTCAGATCTCAAATTCCGTGCTGGGAGAACCACTACTCTCTTCAAAGCTGTCAGACAGGGACGTTTAAGTCTGTAGAAGTTTCTGCTGCCTTTTATTCAGCTATGCCCTGCCCCCAGAGGTGGAGTCTACAGAGGCAGGCAGGCCTCCTTGAGCTGTGGTGGGCTCTACCCAGTTTGAGCTTCCTGGCTGCTTTGTTTACCTACTCAAGCCTCAGCAATGGCGGGCGCTCCTCCCCTAGTCTCGCTGCTGCCTTGCAGTTCGATCTTAAAAAGTATTAGTGAGACCCAAATTCATAGAAAGATTTCCATGACATATATCATTTAAGTGAAAAAAGAAGTTGGAGAAAACGTGCACTGTGCAAAAATAAAATACGTGTGAATATAATGTTAAAGAACTCAAAGTGCATTCACTGATCTGGTTATTCTAGGGAGGAGAACAGATTGGCAAAAGATGACTTACTCATTTTATTCCATATATTTAGATATTTGAATTTTTACAAGGACACATTCATGTACATAAATACATAGGCTGTTAGGATTGCTCATGCCTGTAGTCCCATGCTTTTAGAAACCAAAATGGGAAGAGTGCTTGAGGTCAGGAGTTTTCATTTGTTTTGTTTTTTGAGACGGAGTCTCCCTGTGATGCCCAGGCTGGAGTGCAGTGGTGCGATCTTGGCTCACCGCAACCTCTGCCTCCCAGGTTCAAGCGATTCTCCTGCCTCAGCCTCCCGAGTAGCTGGGACTACAGGCATGCGCCACCATGCCCAGCTAATTTTTATATTTTTAGTAGAGATGTGGTTTCACCATATTGGCCAGGCTGGGCTCGAACTCCGAGGTCAGGAGTTTTAGACCAACCAGGGCAACATAGCAAGACCTCATCTCAAGAACAACAACAAAAAATTAAAATTAGCTGGGCATAGTGGCACACACCTGTAGTCCCAGCTGCTCAGGAGGCTAATGCGGGAGGATAGCTTAAGCCCAGGAGTTCAAAGCTGCACTGAGGTATGATTGTGTTGCTGCATTCCAGCCTGGGTGATAGAATGAAACCCTGTCTCTAAAACAATAAAAAATATGTAAGTAATTAAAAATAATGATAATGAACACTTTGTGTGTACTATGTGTCAGGCACTGTTCCTCACACCATCACTCTGAAATATATACTATTTTCATAATTTTATGGATGAGGAAACTGAGGCACTGAAGGATTTTTGTCCAAAGTCCCACCTTTAGTGAGTGGTTCCAGAGTCTTTATTATTAACCCCCAAGATCTTCTGAGTGATTTTATCTTAAAATAGTTAGGAACCTGAGGTTAGGCAGATCTGGGTGAGAATCCAGCTCTGTCATTGACAGGCTGCTCAACTCTGAGCAGGCCATATTGAAAGGTGGCATCTGATCTGAAAATTGAATCATAGGAGAAGTCAGCCTCGTGGAACCTTGGTGAGCTCACTTGCTAATCTGTAAAATGGTAAAGAATAACTGCCTTATGGGATTACTGTGGTGGGAGGAGCTAGCCCGGAGGAGCCTTGGGTAAAGAGGTCCCAAGTACGCTTTGATTCCAAAATCCCAGAATTCCGATTTTTACATCTATTTAGAAACTCAAAAATGTACTCCAGAGTTATAAATAGGACCATGTAAGCATTCTGAGGTATAGGGGAGAAATGTTTAGAAGAGTAAGTTCTGAATCATCCACACACCATCTAGAATTCCAGTTAGATATTCACTGGGTTTACTAAGTAAGCACATCTGGGAGACGAAGGTGGAAGGTAGCAGCTACAATTTTACGAACCTTAGTTTAATCATATCTTATAACCCACAAGGTACCAGGCATTGTGCTAGGCACTGGGGGTTCAGAGCATACCGTGAGAGAAGATAATGTTGAGAGATGGTCCATAAACAACTATTCAACAATTGCAACAGCAGTTATAAAAGGAGTCATGATGTAGAGTGAATGGATGGGGGCTTGAAGGGACAGTAATCCTAGGGGGACGGAACAGAGAAGGTCAAAGTGAAGAAGTGATACTCAGTCTGAAAATTGAGTGGTAGAAGGAGCCAAACAGAGAAGATCTGGGGGAGGAACATTATGACACAAGAGACAGGAAGAGGAAAGCCTTGGAAACAGGGACCAGCTTGAGAGATTTAGGGGAATAAAAAGGTTCATTGTGACTGGAAATCAGCAAACACGTGGGAAGGGTGTGGGAGATGGAACCAGAGAGGGAGTGCTCGGAGTTTTGGGGGTCTTGTAAACCAAGGGCAGTGGAGACTGAGAACTGAGGAAAAGGGGTCAGGCTTGTTGGAGTGATATTGGTGATCACTGCAACATCAGTATCAGAATTGTGAGGAAAAAAGTCAAATCGTAAAAGGTTTAAAGTTAGTGAGTGTGGGAAAAGCAGAAGCAGTGGCTTTATATTTCTCTTTCCTGGAGAGAGGTGCCGAAGGCATTCAGGAGTAGAGGAAAGAAGGGTTGGAAGTTCCACATGGTTCACTCTAAGAAGGAGAGTTATTATGTATAGATGAGAAATAGATAGATAGATAGATAGATAGATACATATATACATACATACATATAGATAAATAGGTAGATTATGTACACATAGAAAGATAGACGATATATAGAAATAGAAGAAAAAATGCAGGCCAGCTGTTTATGGTTACGTTTCTAACAAATAATAAGATCAGTAGAAATAATCAACCTGCACCCTTTTCTGACATGTGTTGTTAGAAAGTCGATATGTGGTGTCACATAACTGAGACCGGCACTGTAGCCAGTTCTTTGGCATTTCATTAAAAACATTATCTCTACCAGGTATCATTGTATATTGGTATTTTTCCATGTATCTATAATTTTTTAAACTACCCCAAAGTAGAGCCAGCATCATTTTAGAAGTAAATTTAAAACCTCTTTGCTAGGCATGCTGCTTGGAAAATCGAACATGGTAGGTTAGTCAGCCATGCCGTGGCTGTGATTCAGGCAGCCTGATCATATTTGCAGTGCTGCTCAAACAAGCAGCGCTCTCATCCTTCATTTCATGGTGATTCAGACTAAAATTACTCACAACTTATGAGGATCATTGTTAAATGGCTATTGAAGATTTTGATATTTGAAAATAATATCAACTAAAAGATAATATTTCTCAGAACAATTTGGAATTCTTGGTGTAGACTTGAGGATTTAGTAGGTTTTTTCCTAATTTTGATGAGAAGTACATCATAGTGTATACAAATATAAAACACAATTAGCCCCTGTGAAAGTCATGATTGGAGTGAAAATACAGAGTCATGATAGACATGTAATACATATATGTATTTTTCTGACACATACGTACCAGTAAAATACGTAGGTACCACTTTGATCAGCAAGAGACAGTTTATATTACTTTTCAATTTGTATAAGCTAAATTAGCTTTTCACTTATATTTATTTGCTTCTAGTTTATTGCTCAAAGATGGATGAGATTTTATCTCAAAATTGCCTTCAGTAAGTCAAATTGGGTAAGATTAGTTTTCAAGAATATTAACCAACAATAGTGACCATTATTAATGGGAAAGTGATTCTTTTGTAAAGCCTAACTTTAGAAAGTTTGCACTGAGAAACAGATTTTGATATTTGTTTTTATAGACACAGTACTTAGTTTTTGTCTTTTTTGATATTTTTCTCAGAAAAGCCATTCACATGGAGTGCTGTATGGACAGAATTCTGTTCCTCCAAAATGTATATGTTGAAGCCTTAACCCTGAATGTGACTATATCTGAAGACAGGGCCTTTCAGGAGGTAATTAAGGTTAAATAAGGTCATAAGAGTAGGGCACTAATCCTGTAGGACGGTGGTCTTATAGGAAGAGAGGGGGAGAGAGAGAGAGAGAGCACTGCCATGTGAGGACACAGTGAGAAGGTGGTCGTCCACAAGCCAGGAAGAAAGCCCTCATCTGGCACCCTGGTCTTGGCCTTCCCAGCCTCCAGAGCTGTGCGAGAATAAGTGTCTATTATTTAAACCTCCCAGTCTGCAGTATTTTGTTATGACAGCCTCAACAGACTAAGGCAGGGTGCCTGACACCTAGCCAGACAAGTCCACTGTTTTCCACATTCTTTTGTGCTGTATTAATGATTAATAAGCCTCAACACATAACTTCAAAATAAATATTTGCAGAAAATAGATTCCTTTTGAAATTAATCCGCATATGTACCCGTAAATTATTCTCTGAACAAAATTTGCTACGTTATCTGTATAAACGATTCACCCAAATGCTTCTCTTTGTCTACCATTATCCCCTCCATGTGAGGCCATTTGTTTCTAAACAGTAATATTTCATGTACCTCAGCCATTATCATGGGGAGCTACATTCTCTCTGTGGATTTTAAGTGAAGATGGAACAGAATGCAATCATTAGCTTTTAGAAGGAGCCAGTGTAGGCTGTGGGTTTCAGTCTTAGACCTGCGAGTTCAAAGCTTAAGATACTGAAATAACATATATTTTGGATAAGTGATACAAATAATTATTTTAAAGCTATAGTGTTAAATGGCAGAAAGGTAACTGTGAAGGCCATAAAATCCCTTTGGAAAGGTATGTAAGGGGGAATAAATCTACTAAGAGATTTGTAACCAGAAAAAAAGGCGTCATGCAGGCGGGGCTCCTGGGAGATACTAATAAAGGCGGAGCATTTGGGCAGGCCCCGTTCGCACAAACTCACCATCCATCCGACACGACCTCCTCCGCCTGCTCTCAGACAAGCTTCAGATCCACCTGCAGCTTCAAGACATGATTCTATTGCTTTACCTAAAATGGCAAAGGAAAATTTTTCTTCAAATTGTATTTGAGTTCAGTGACATTATAGCTCCAAGTCCCATTTTCTGAAAATAATCTTCATCCAGCCAGACTTGGAATGGAAAGAGAATTCACACAGAAAAGGAGAAAAAAGAGAGGAAACGTATCGAGTAAATGTTTACATGTGAAGCGCTGTCTGAAATGTTTTACATTTATCACATTTTATTTTCATGAAGACATATGGGAAAATGGAGGCGTAGCAGGCAACGTGTGTAAACGTCACTGTTTACTCATACTGACATGGGCTAAATGAAGATAGAATTAATGCCTCTGAGAGTTATTTATGTATATATAAGAGCTAATTACGTATTTTATCCCAAACATAGAGCAGCCAGCCACACATTTTGGACTCTGTGGAAGCCACAATTTTAAAAATTCAGCGCTGTCTTGTTCCATATTTTCATCTTATCATCAAACCCTCTGTCTCAAATTTAGAACAGTAAGTTTGGACACAGCTCCTGGCCAAACCTTCTTTTGGCATCTGTGAATGAAAGTGCAGTTATACAGCAAAGATCACCGTCAGTGGGAGATCCAGAATTAATGTGGATTGAAGCTGAGTCGAGACGCAGTGGCTTTAATTCAGAACTGCTGTTAATCCAGTGTCCACGGACACTCTCGTAGAGAAAAGAATGCAAAGTACGGGGTGCAGGAGATGATATTAAACAGTCTCCGAATGTAGGTAAGTGCAAGAAAAGAAGGTGGAGGCAGTTTATAGAGGTGATTTAAAAGTTTTCATATAGTAGAAGCACATCCTGAACCAATCAGGAAGAGTTGGTTTAAAAAAAATCATGAAAAGGATATTTTGGTGATTCTGTACTGAAAGGGGAGAAGACGAGAGAAAAATCAATCAGAAGATTCAAACCTAGAGATAAAGAGACTCAAACCTGGAGAGAATTACTTCATTTTGCTAGAGATGTCTAGCAAAACGAAGTAATTTTGCAAATGAAAGATTGAAGGTAGAGTGAAGAAGTGTCTTCTGAGAGATCCTTGGGCCTTGAAAGAGGCTGAGAACCCTATGTGGTCCCCTTGGTCAGTCCTAATACAGACCCTAAATCATAGCACACATCTCTCTCTCTCTCTCTCTCTCTCTCTCTCTCTCCTCTCTCTCTCTCTCTCTCTCGCACACATCTCTCTCTCTCTCTCTCTCTCTCTCTCTCTCTCTGTATCTCTTTCTCACTCCCTTCTCCGGGCAGGAGAGACAGCTGCAGGTGGGGGAAGGGTGGTGTCCAGTGAGGGGCCCAGGCCAGCTTTCTCAGGGGTCGCACTGGGCTGGTGAGGATCTTTGCAGCCTGAGGGCACCAACACTGGATGGGATAAGGGCAGACCAGATGGAAGGAACCTGGCACAAGCCATTTAATTAAATGCCCCTGCCCCTCACCCTTAAGTTAGAGAGAACCAGTCTGCAAGCTTCAGATTCCAGAGTAGGAACCCAGGTAAGGAGGGAGGAAGTGCCAGGAGCACACACAGACCCAGAGCCAAAGGGGAAGGTCTGTACAAAGCTGCCCCCATCCTCGGCATCGCTGGTGTGCCTGAGTGTCATGGGAGACAGCGACCACACAACACCCTTGGGGAAATGGGTGAGAGAGCAACACAGCGTGGCTAAAGATGAGCACTATTCTAAAAGAAAATACGGACTAAGAAAAGATGATCACAATTTTCATCTTTTCTTCAAGAGTGGTTACTTTTGGGGTTCAGTGAAAGAGTGGCTATCATTTTTTAGCTTAACTTTTATTTCAGTCTTCTTTTTTTTTCTTTTTCTTTTTTTTTTTGAGACAGAGTCTCGCTCTGTCGCCCAGGCTGGAGTGCAGTGGCGCAATCTTAGCTCACTGCAAGCTCCGCCTCCCGGGTTCATGCCATTCTCCTGTCTCAGCCTCCCCAGAAGCTGGGACTACAGGCGCCCACCACCACACCCGGCTGATTTTTTGTATTTTTTTAGTAGAGACGGGGTTTCACTGTGTTAGCCAGGATGGTCTTGATCTCCTGACCTCGTGATCCACCCACCTCAGCCTCCCAAAGTGCTGGGATTACAGGCGTGAGCCACTGCACCCGGCCTTATTTCAATTTTCTAACCAAGAATGTTTATGTGCCTGGCGCGGTGGCTCACACCTGTAATCCCAGCACTTTGGGAGGCCAAGGTGGGCAGATCACGAGGTCAGGAGTTCAAGACCAGCCTGGCCAACATGGTGAAACTGTGTCTCTACCAAAAATACAACAATTAGCTGGGCATAGTGGCATGTGCCTGTAGTCCTAGCTACTCAGGAGGCTGAGGCAGGAGAATCTCCTGAACCCAGGAGGCAGAGGTTGTGGTGAGCCGAGACTGCACCACTGCACTCCAGCCTGGGCGACAGAGCAAGACTCCATCTGAAAAAAAAAAAAAAAAGAATGTATATGTGATCATACTTTGTTGGTTTATTAATACATTTATTTTGTATGTCAACAAGGGTTATCTGACTGGTAAGACTGTGAACCATATTTTGTTTTTTCTTTGTTATTCTCTGCTAAAAACAAACAATAAAAGGAAATAAACAGAAGGTCCTCAAAATGTGGACTTGTAATTGTGCACTGATGGAAACAAATGAAAAAGCAACACATTTATCGCAGTATAATAAAACACAAACTGACATATTAAAAATGGGAACTTTTTTGTTTAATTACTCCATCAGGTACATTTTATTTCTATCCCTTTGGGAGTCAGCTGAGCATCTTTCAGGGAATTGACCTCCTGCAGAAAATTAGTCACCCTGGGGTCTCAGCTTTCTGGATTCCTGAGGATGTGCCCTACACCTGACAGGGCAGAAACAAGGACAGAATGCCTCATGCTTACTTCAGTTTGCTTTTCAGATAAATATTTATTTTTCTTTTCTCTCCAGCTCAACATTTAACTTTTCATGCATAGTAAGCATTCATCTTGAATTTATTGTTAATTACATAGCTCTCGTCATTTTGGTTTAGCAATATTGCCGACTCATTTAAATGCCAAAAAAATTTTAATTTATTTATGAAAGCTTCTAAAAAAGCTTGAAAACACAATTTGGTGGAGGTTAGCCATTTGATTTCAACAAATTTCAGATGTATATGGCTGGATTCTATTTAAATCAATTTTTTTTCTGAATGCAAAATTGATATTTCTTATAAATGCTAAGCATTATTTTATATAAAAATGCCAAACTTCTGTGATAATCAACATATTTCCCTTATTAACGTAGTCTAAAATATATTTAAAAATTCTAATTTGATGAGAAAATTTTGAATGGGGATGGTTATCATTCACTCTTTCTGGATTGTTTCTCAACATTGAAATGGACAGTCATCCTCTTAGGAAAAACCCAAACTGAAGTTCTCAAAACTAGGTTTGGGGAGAATTATAACTGATTTGAGATTTGGTTGATAAATGCATCATTCCTGATTGGGAAATGATTAAATTTTCAGCAATTGGCATTTGGGCCAATTTAAAGTGATTCGAGATAGATTGTAACTGCAGTAATATTACTGGGGAAATGGAGTATTTGCTCAAGACAGGTCTTGTTCTTTTAACCAATTTTCCTTTTTTCTTGTGATCTGAACTTATTTCAAATTAGTTAGATGAGACATGGCATATGCTATTCAACCAAAATGTAATGGTCAATGAAGATGTTAACACATGTCCTCGTTCACATTTTAAGCACATATTAATATTCTCAATCTCAAAAACATTTACAGTCATCTCCCTGCAAGGGATTGGTTCCAGGACCCCCTCGGGTACCAGAATCTGCTCATACTTAAGTCCCACAGTCAGCCTTGTAGAGACTTCTGATACAGAAGGCCAACCATATTTATTGAAAAAAAGGTGACACATTGATTATAATGCAAAAGTGTAAATATGAAGGAAACCATCTTCCTTTAGTACAGAAGGCATATTTGTGCCAGGTGAAATGACTGAATATAAGAACAATATTTAAAATAAGCTCTGTAGAACTCGCATATTACCTAACCTTGTTAAATATGGCTTATTTGCCTCTGGTGTTTCTATTTTTTAGTCCAAGGTGTTTTCCCTTTTTTTCTCTCTGATTACTTATCTTTCTTCTTTGTCATCAATATTCACAGTATTGAAGCATCCCTTTAATTTCTTAGTCTATTTGATTTC
Source organism: Homo sapiens (assembly GCF_000001405.40). NCBI lineage: Eukaryota > Metazoa > Chordata > Mammalia > Primates > Hominidae > Homo > Homo sapiens. The sequence continues at coordinate 42,027,789 of NC_000009.12, read as the reverse complement.
CTCTAAAATGTCATTAGCATACTCTTTACATACTCAGACACACAGTACTAATTGATTAAATAAATTCCAAGAAAGACATAAAATTAAGCACATTATTACATTCAGAACGAATGAGAGACATTTAAAGTCAAAAACCCCCACCAAACTTTAAATTTTCAGCAAATAGAAGCTCTGTATGAATATGATTTTAATTAACAGTCACTTCATTTTAAATAATCACATCACTTACAGAGGTATGATGTTAAGAGGCTTGGTTTTCGCATAATCGCTGTGGGAAGGTGAGCGCTCACATAAAAAGCACACCCAGCTGAACCTGGAGGATTCATGCAGTGGGGAAACTGAACTTGCGTTCAATGTAGCCTTGCTGAGGAATATTGAAAGACGTGACCAATCATAGGTACTAATGCCCTATTGGGACAACCATAGATCCTGATAAAGAATTCTGAGGAACTTAACACCAGAGCAAGCCTGATACAGAAGTATGTAAAACAGAACATCAGAGTAAGCTCACTGTAATTACTGGTGCAAATTGAACATCTGCTGACTATTTTCTAAAGATAGGATGATGTGTAACAACTGCAACATTAATTTCATATAAATGGAGCTGAATATTCATTACAGCTTTGTAGCCACTTGCTGCCTGTCCACATACATTCAGGTTATTTGTTTTGCCCAATAATAAAATCAACTAATTCTGTATTTGTGAATTGGCATGTTTCTTTGGGTATTGATTTTCCCCCCAACAATTTGGTGATGAGGATGGGATTTCTTGAGTGAGTGCTTCTATTGGTTAATTTGTGGGAAGATTTGTGTCCACCTTCTTAAAAAGTCATTTTATTGTGATAAAACACACTTAACATAAAATGTGGCCTCTTGGATTAGGTAAGAGACCCCGACTGTTTGCTTAAAAGTCTCCCATTATCTACTTTGGCTCAGCAGGATTGGGTTCCTGGGGAAAATTTCAAAACCTTACTACAAATTTGGAGTTATTATTGAGCAAAATGTGTAATACAGGCTCACAGGTCCTATATGATTCAGGATAGGTTTTAACGGCAGAAAAATATGGGAAGTCCAGAATGTTGCTGGCAGGTCTTTCTCTTAGAAGGGTTATTTCACTCTATTATGTTTAGAATGGGTAAACTTCTGAAAATTCTGCTTTGCAATGGCCAGAGAAAGGCTTTTTTTTTTTTTTTTCCCTGAGACGGAGGCTCACTCTGTCGCCCGGGCTGGAGTGCCGTGCCGTGGAGCCATCTGGGCTCGCTGCAAGCTCCGCCTCCCAGCTTCATGTCATTCTCCTGCCTCGGCCTCCTGAGTAGCTGGGACTGCAGGCGCCTGCCACCATGCCCTGCTAATTTTTATGTACTTTTAGTAGAGACAGGGTTTCACCGTGTTAGCCAGGATGGTCTCGATCGTGATCTGCCCGCCTCTGCCTCCCAAAGTGCTGGGATTGCAGGCATGAGCCACCGTGCCCGGCCGAGAAAGACTCTTTTGAGGTAGACAAATTAGTGTATGCACGGAGATTTTAAGGAAAAAAAATCCCAAATAAACGGATAATTTATATTCCTGAGATGAAGTAGTCAGTAATAAAACAAAAACCAAAAAGAGTGAATTAAGAAATTGGAAGAATAGAGTAAGAATCTGAAAGCTCTTTTTCTTCCTCCAGCTTCTCATTTCTTCTCTGCTGTCATTCCTTTTGTTTCCTCAGCTTCTCTTCACCCTTCTTTGCTCAATCTGGGATCTCAGAGGAGGGAGGTAATGGTCTCTTGGATGAATTGGAAACCTGGGATGAATTCCCTTTAGAAGGAGCAAATTGTTTAGCTTTATTAGAATATCCTGATATTGGATGCCCTAGTTCTGATCCCATCTCTGTGATTCCCTCTAAACTGAATATGCAAAACACAACTAAACATCTATAAATTACTCAGAAGAAAGATCAAAGAGTCAGTGAGAATTTGGGTAAGAGATTGTATCCTAGAATAAAGGTTTTGGGTTGCTGAATGGTTGATTGCCTTAAGAACTTAGAAGAAATGGAGGGAGTCAAATTACTATGGCATAACAGGGACTGAAACTACAGTGCCATACAAACCAACTTATTTTTCATTTCATGATGAAAATCAGCCCTATCCCTTTGCAACTGCAGTGACACAAATGCCAGAATCCATATTGCCTTCCCCCAAGTTGATATACTTCTCTTAAGAGATTTTTTTCTATTGCTCTGGGAAGATTCACACAAATTTGCAGAAGTGCTCTGCAGCATTTTTTCAACATATAACTACACACGTGAGGATATAAACTGGCTGCTGTGTGATGTGTTGCCTCTGGCTGACTTGCTCAACTAGTGGAACAGGTGTGATAGAGGCCAAATTATAACCCCCTCATCAGGGAGTGCCATGGCCTCAGGAAACCAGCCGTCCACCTCTTTCCATAACTCAGTGTGAGGGATGGCTGATGGCAGTCCTTGGAGCCTCTCTGCATATGGTGACCTCTAGCAGTGCTACAATAACGCACTCAAGAGGCAGGTGTGTCCCTGTTGCTTTTCATCAGCAGTGCACTGAAGCAGTTTATAAATTTTTGGGGCCCAATCCAAGGGAAGATCAGAATATATCCTTGGTCCTCTACCTTTTAAGCAGGCTTTTTGCCAGGAATTTCCCTGCCAGCAATTGTCAGGAGAAAAAATAGTTTGATGGCAAGGGCGGACAGTTGGTGCCAGCAATCCATTTTGGGAAAATGTGGGGAAGAACTTAAGACTGCAGTGTTAGCTGCCCAGTTAGAATTATTCACAGATGGGACAGACTTTATTGTGAGCCAACAACAAATAAAAAGGAATGCTCTAATGGAAAGTTGATATATCACTGTTGTAAGAAACCAGGATATTCAGAAAGGGGATGCTGAAGAAATTAAGACGCAAAGGATTCAACCTGAGTCTGAAGCTTTATTAGCTTCTCTAGGAGATTTTTCTCCTGAGAAACTGGATGAGAAATAATTGGCAAACGGTGCAAACTAGTGTGCAAAATTGACATAATGAGGAAACCTTTGAGTTGGGAAGCAGACAGCTTTATATGTCTGTTTCTTTTCCTCATCTTAATCTTTTCATGTTTTTTTTTCTTTTTTTTTTTTTTTGTGAACCCTGGAGCCATGTATTCTGTAATTTCTTCTGACCTTTTTTTTGTTTTAATGTTTTGGATATCTCCGGACAACCTTCTGTCTGTTCTTGCTGCTCTGAAATTATTCTGCAAATAGATCTTTTGTAAAAGAAACATGCTTTTATCTAGTCTCCTGATGCACCTAGCTATTTGTTGGAAAGGGACTCGCTGTGTAAACTAATGCCTCCCACCCATTCTGTATTCTGGGTGAAATGATTTTGGAGCCCTGGGAGGCAAGGCACCTGATGATAAGGTAAAGATGTGCCTTCTGAAACCAATGGGGGCAGTGGTGAGTGGCAATCTCACCTTGCACTGGAATAGATCAATTGACAAGAAGTAGATCCATTTTTTTGGATCCCAGGAACAAATATTTTAGTAAAATGTATCAATGCTATAATTATAGCTTACAACATGGAATAGCTCAATTATAAGATATAATCTATACATTTTTTAATTAGGAAAATGAGCTGTAATAAAGGGCATTCAGTTTGTAATGCTTCTACATTACCTGTGAAAAAGGAAGGAAAATATGACAGGGAAGGTGGACCTGTTTATAGATTTGTACAAGATCTTATAGAAATAAGTATGTTTGTGATTCTTCTGGTACCTGTGCTTGTGCTAGCTGACCTGGCTACTATTTTAATTACAATACCTATGCCAACTAAGTATTTTTCTGCAGTAGACTTTTGTTCAGGTTTTTTTCTGTACCTTTACATGAGAAATCAAGGTTCATCCTTACATTTACCTATGGCAGCTTTCAATATTTGTGGCAACGGATTCCTCAGGATTTAGAGATTCACCTACTATATTCTCTAGACATTTACTGTTCAAGAGAACTTAAAGTCATTTTCCTCACCTTAGAGTTTCATGCTGATTCAATATGCAGATGAATCATTGATAGCTGCTGACACCTTACATGTGATAAGAAGAAAATGTAACTTTCTACAAATTTTTAGCTTCCTAAGCATATAAAACATCCCTAGATAAATAGCAATAGTGTCAAACTGAACTCAAGCATTTGGGACATTTGTGACTGGCCAATAAAAAATAGTCCCTTCCTAGACTCAGCCTATTTTACAAATTAAGCTTGCTTAATTAAAAAAAATCAAGTTTGCCAGTTTTGGGGATTGGTTGGGAATTGCAGTCAGGAGATCCCTGCCTGTTCAGAAAAGGCGAAGCCTGTCACTGAGCTGTTGCATCAAACGTCACCAGCACCTTTACTGGGGTCATGTTAGCAGTGGAAGATCTGTACAGGTCTGCAACAACCTCAGTTCTTGCTACCTCAGAAGAAGGAATTCAACCGAGGAGCTTAAGGCGGAGGAAGAGACTGAGGCAGAGACTCGGAGCAGGAGTGAATGTTTATTAAAAAGTTTCAGAGCAGGAACCAAAGAAAGTGAAGTACATTTGGAAGAGGGGCAAGCCGGCAGCCTGAGAGATTCAAGTGCACGGTTTGACCTTTAACTTGGGGTTTTATACATTGGCATTCCATATGCACAGTGGCCTGTCAGCACTTGGGAGGGGTCATAGGCATAATGTGTTCACTGGAGTTGTATGCATGTTCCTAGAAGAAGGTCATGTACCAGTTAAACTCCACCATTTTGCCTCTTAGTGCGCATGCTTGAGGCCACTCACCCAGCTCCTGAGATCATATTGGGAAGCTTCTGATCACCAGTTACAGGTGTTTCTATCTATTGCGAGACTGCCTTTCCCTGGCACTGGCTACAACCAATTATTTTAGAGAGACAGTGTAACAACTGCCTGACCATCACCTGATGGTTGCCTGACATTCCTGGGGTCGGGGGGTCCTCTCCTGTTCTGCTCATGTCTGACTAACTACTATCACAGTCAGAAGAAGCTGAAAAGCCTTTCAAACCCTTTAAGGACCTATTGTCTCCCCACGTGTATTCATAACTCTGGTAAACTATTCTACTTTTTCCATCTGGAGAATAAAGGAGTTGCTAGTGGTGTGCTTACTCAGAACCTAGGCCCTGACTATAGACCTATTGGTTACTTTCCTGTCTTGTTGGATTCTGTTGTTCTGGATATGCCAGGCTTTCTACAAGCCACAGTAGCTCTTCTGATTGTGTCACTGCCCGATGGGTTCTTCCTGCTCGCTGCAAAAAAACAAAACAAAACAAAAAACATGGTATTTGCTGTAAAGAGTTTAAATTAACTCAAGGTTGGCAACACCACATTAGAGATGAAGTTATTGTTCAAGTCAGTCTCATCGAAGGCTCATAGGTTAGGGATTTTTCAAAGGTAGTTTAGGGAAAGGGCGGGGAGTGGCTAGGCAATGGGTGCTTGCCGCTGATTGGTTGGGGGTGTAATCATAGGGGTGTGGGAAATGATTCTTCTGCATGCTGAGTTACTTATGGGTGGAGCTACGGGAGCTGTTGGCAGGTCCAGTGGAGCCATCGGTAGTCAAACATGCAAAAAACCTGGATATCTCAAAAGGCTAATCTTAGATTCTACAATACTGATGTTATCTGCTGGAATTCATGAGGAAGTTGCATATCTCGTGACCTCTGGACAAATGGCTAACAATCATTTATGTCTGTATTTTAGCAGAATTTAGGCTCCTCTATTCTCCTAGCCTGGTGGTCTCTCATTAGCTTTAGTTTTGGGGAAGGGCTATTATCATTTAAACTATAAACTAGATGTCTCTCACGGTTGGCTTGCCTAAGCCCAGGAATGATTAAGGGCAACTTGAAGGTCAAGGGCAAGAAGGGGGTTAACTAGATCAGGTCTCCCCATTGCCATAATTTTGTCACTGTTAGAATTTGTGCAAAGGCAGTTTCAATTTCACTGTTAGAATTTGTGCAAAGGCGGTTTCAGAGCTCAGCTTTGACCCTAGGACATTGAACTTCCATGTGCCTCATGTTGTTGCTGCTGTTTTACAAATTCATAGACAGAAAATTTCTAGCACACTGCCGGATAAGCCACGAGCAAGTCTTATTATCTCATACTAATATTATTCTAGGCAGGTGGCACCTTTTGAGTCTGGTTACTCTGTTTGTAGATCCTAACCAAATAGGAGGATGTGACTGCCTCATAGTCACAGAAAATACTCAACCTAGGCCTGATTCATTCAGTATTCTTATTCTCAATGCTGGCAATATTGTTCATTGATGGATCTGTGTGAGAGACACACAGGAATATACAATTGCATCTTATTTTATAGGTAGAGATGGCTTTTTCTTAGAACATATTATACATGATTACAAGTGTAAAAATATGGTGAAATAATTTTATTTGCTTTTCAAATGATTTTTGTTGCTAAAAACTAAAATTAAAAATAGAGAACAAGTATCCTAAATGTTTTTGAAACTATTATCATAGCAATTCTCAGACTATCAAGACTATGAACTATTTTCCATGATAGCACACTAATCATAACAATCATAACCATTTGTATGTGCATATCTAATATCTAATATTCAGGGATAAGGTCATACAGATTACCCAGTTTAATGCTCACAGATTCTTATGTGAAAAAATATATATTTGGTCATAGTTAAAATGGACAAAATAAGTGAATCTGTCTGATGGTCAGATAGTAAATATGTCAAACAAACAAATGATTACAATTTTCAGTTAGAATAACAAAAGCACTTAGATCACTGATTTAATAATAGTGATTCCCTAGGTAATTTTTTCATCTGTGCAGGTTGATTATCAGGGATGAAAAAGTGTGAAAACATTCCAATTAAGTAAATTGCTCTGCAGTTGGTGGGAAGTACTAAGTAATTACTTGTGGTGAGTCCAGAGATGAAGATGGAGTGGGCATCTCTGAGTCATCCAGGCAAAGGAAGACAGGTGCTGCTCCTCACAGCAGAACAAGGAGCTGGGTTTAGAGAGACTGGATAGAATATAGCATTAGGAAGGTTATCTCTAACAATCAAGTCAATGCACCAGCATTTGCCTGGGACCAACTGTGTGTTAAACACTGGTAAATACTGGGAGGGTTAAAGGTGCAGATCTTGGGGAACCTAGCATAAAATTCAACACAGCAGACATTTATTCTCCTTGAAGAATTCCTGATTTTGCAACAATGCCTATCATGTCCCAGAACGAGGCTGGTTGTTGAAAGTCTCTGAGAAACCAGAGATGGCACCAGCATAATACCCTGAACTTTTATAAAGCACAAAGATTTATAATTATAATAAGGAAATCTGAGAGCAAGAAGACATGCTGATCGATCTCACACAGGAAATTTGTCCCAGATCCAAGTCAAATGACAAGTTAGATGAATTGCCTGCTTTCTAAAAAGGTATTTTAACATTTAACTAATGTGATCATTTAAAGTCAATAGCAATATCTCAGAAAGAACACCTGTTAAGTTGTGATATATTTAGTTATATGCACTATACACAGAGAGCTAAGTGGCTAGTTCTGCTCTCTTCATTATCTGAATTATTTTAAAAATTACATTTAAGTTAATCTTGATTCGTATTTTGGATTGCTTTATGTTTCTGAATGATCATTTCCTCAAAGTTATCAGTAGTGAGCAAACACAAGGAAACATTTATTTGTCTTTTTTAAACATGCACTACACTTTGTTTTTCTCTTTTTGACTTATTCAAATATGGTAAATTAATTAATTTTTATTTAAAAAAATGATAGGATGCTCAAGTATCAAACATACAAATGTATTTGCAGTGTTTCATTTTTCAATGATTATGTATATTTAATTAATTAAAGATATGCATAAGTGCATATACACATACATTTTTTTCAATAAGGTACTCTTGCTGTCATTGATTATTCATTTATTTTCTAACATTTCTTTCTTTCTTGACCCAAATATAAACTAACTATTTCAGGCCATGCTCTTTTAGTGCTAGAGAAAACTTTAGATTCCATAGTACTTTTTTTTTTTTTTTTTTGAGATAGAGTCTCACTCTGTCACCAAGGCTGGAGTGCAGTGGTGCAATCTTGGCTCACTGCAACCTCCACCTCCCAGGTTCATGTGATTCTCCTGCCTCAGCCTCCTGAGTAGCTGGGACTACAGGGGCACGCCACCATGCTAGGGTAATTTTTTTTTTTTTTTTTTTTGAAGTAGAGATGAGGTTTCACCATATTGGTCAGGCTGGTCTCAAATTCCTGACCTCAGGTGATCCACCTGCCTCAGCCTCCCAAAGTGCTGAGATTACAGGCGTAAGCCACCGTGCCTGGCCCCGTAGTACTTTGTAGCGTGCTTTCCAGCTAAACTGAAGCCTCAGGTGACATACCATGGCTCTCACAGCTAATTAATGAAAAAGCTGGAACCATCACCCACATTTCTTAATTCCTACTTCAGTTCATTTAATAATGCTAGAATAAGGCAAAGTCACACTTTTCTCATTTTGTGTTGATAAACATTGTATTCTAATGGTTAGTAAAATATTAATAATGCATTCATGAGCACTTTAAAATAATTAAGTACAGCTGTTCACATAGGCAGTTATCGATACTAATTTAAATAAGAAACAGTTTTGCATGTTACATCATTATCTGTAATCTTCTGAAAATAACAGGGACAAAAGCAGTATCATCCTTGCCTAATGTCATCTGCTAGTGAGGGGATGCAGACCTAAGTGACTAAGTTGATTCCGGCTGAGAATCAAAGGAAAAGGTCCATAGATTCATCCTTGCTTTCAAAGAGTGGCATAGTGAGAATGAGTAAGAGGAAATATCACTTAGTATTAACAGATGATAATAAGTAGTGTTTCCTACTAATTGATTATTTACCATATGCTAGTCCTATGCTAAGAGTTTAGAGATACGTGAGAGTCTTGTGAGTCCGGATCATCATTCTCCCCAGTGTTCAGAGGGGAAGGCTCCGCATGGTTGAGTATCTTGCCCATAGTCACAGAACCAGTATATGTTGGGACTTGGCCTCAGACCCAGGTCTCTCCAGCTTCGCAGCCTGTGTTCATCATATGATGTATCACTTACAGGAAACTCCAAAACTGAGCTGAAGTCTTTGACAGTCGCAGGAGTCAGCATCCTGCTGGAGCCGTGGCCTCACAGTCCTGTCTGTGTCCTTGGGAGGGCTCTGTGGCAGCCCCAGGTCCCACTTGCCAGGAGTCCCTTCTTCACCCATGGGCATCCTGAGAACAGAGGAGGCTGAGGGGGCAGCAGCAGAGGGTTAACAGCTCTTCAGCAGGCACTGGGTCCACATGCTGGAGCCCTTTTTTGTTGATTTATTGTGTTTAGACATCAGATGTGAAGGTTTCCATGAGTCACCTTCCTCAGTGAGGAATCATGAAGGAATGATCGGTCTGGCCTGCATAAGGCCCTACTCTTGCCTTGGTGTTCATTCATTCATTAATCATATTTTTTTATACATGATTCATATTTCCCCAGTCCAATACATTTTATTTGTACATATTCTTTTAAAAATCATAATTCTTTTGTTCACACATATTTACACTTACATATAATATTGTTTTATATCTTTCATTTTGCTTTTTACTGATTAACTCTGCATAAATATAATTGTACTAGTCATACTAAGGTGATAAAGATAATATGCTAATTTTTAATAATCTATAGAAACATTTTAATTACTTCATAAAATCATCAAGGTATATGTCATGGTAATTATATTATTAATGCTATATACTTAGAAATAATACAGTTTCTTCATATAACACTTATAATTAACAAAGTGTCTTAATCAAATAATCTTGTTAACAGGCATTACAGGGAGCAGCTTAACAATATCTTTCATTTGTATAGTTCCTTAGAATTTTCAAGTCACCTACAGAAACATCTTCCAACAAGCTATAATTGGGCAGAGCAGTTAGTATTATCCCCATGTTACTCATAAAGAAGCTGAGATTACAAGCACTAAAATTTGTATCCAATATCAGCATAGTCTGGCAATTAAGGAAACAGAATTAGAACTCAGGGACTCACGGGCACTTTCTTACCCCACACACAGACAGCTTAAAATAATAACAGCATATTAAAATAAGAATCTCTCGTAGTACATTTGAGTGTTTGGGAAACTAATAATAAGCTGAAGCTGCTGAAGAATCTATTTCTTTTAGACAGGTTTTTCTAACATCTTTGTGAGGACTAACTGAATTGATGTGTGAAATTGCATAGGACAGTGGTGGCCCTATGCATAGTAGAGATTTAATGCTTATTTTAAAATTCAGAGACTCATTTCAGTATCTCGTAATTTAAAATAAAGATTTGATGATAAAAACCCACTAAAACAGAAACGACAAAATGACAAATTTGGAAAAATAACAAATTTCTAACAGTCTTCTTAAAAATAGTTGTTGATGAGTCTTACCTTGACAGATTTTTTTCTGCTTATGGCTGTCAATCTGGGTATTTCATACTCAACCACAACTATCCATGTGCTTAACATTTTGCAGACCAGGATATCACATGAGCACCATCACTGACTGTGACTGTTAGATTTAACTAATGTGACTGCTAAAAATCAAAGTACAGTGTTGGAAATTTTTCAGTAATGTCATTAATTCCTAAGTTATTTATGAAACATATTTCCAGCATGTGAGTGGACTCCAAGCCACAGATTTCAGTCACTTTCATGTATACCTAAGGAACATGTTATGAAAACTGATCATTTTATCTGAAAATACTCATTTTTGATTACTTAATATAATACTTAGCTAGAATGCCCTCAAAGACAGAGAATCCACATCAAACTTAAGTGACTGTCTTTCAATAAGATGGAGCTTTTATACATGAACACACCACACACACACACAAATTGCAGAGGAATGCTGTAAAAAATAAATGATTTATAATCTTAAAAATACATTATATATATTAACTAGTTTAATTCTTACCAAGATTGCCAGATAGATATAATTTTTCTACTTTACAAAGAAAGATGATGATTTCTCCCAAGGTCACATGCCTGCTAAGACAGAAAAGAATTTGAAGGACTATGGCTTCCAAAAACTATTCTGTATACTCTCACTCTCCACAGAGCTGTAACTTTTGCTGTTTATGTCTAAAATGAAGACGTAATCCTCTGCAGAATTGTTGAAGGCTGCATATTTCTATAAAAGCTGGCTTATCCTTCTAGAAGGTTCATTTTTCCACCTTAATAAAACAAAGCAGGAATAGGTATTTGTGTTCGCCATTCTTTTGTCCGTAGTGGTCATGTGCTTACGTATGAACTCATGTCTGCTCTGCAAGCTCTCGAAGCAAACTTTGAATATAATGAATAAGAGACTACACTGCATATTTTTAAGACACACATTATTTTACTGTTATAGATAAGGTTATTTCAATAATAAGCCCTGAATGTTATGACAGTGAAATGCTAGTATAAATCTTTCCTGCCCAAAATGTATTCTCTTTAATTTCTATATCTTTAAAGAACAATGGTTCATTTGGTTGGTATCCCATGAAGCTGGTTATAATTCTATATAAGACAATAATGTGATTTCTGAAATTTCAAATGAATTAATGTGATTATATATATAAACTTTTAAATATATTTTAGTCATATGTAATAAATGTTTGATTTTTTATTGATATCTCTGAAGTTGCAAAGAGTATGTTTCTCATCTGCCTTATTCACAAACTATTAGGTAATGTCTATTTAAAGTTTCTTAAATGTTAATCTATTTAATTACGCAAAAATTGACATTAAATTTTATTTTGCTACATGATCCTATTATCACATCACTCAGAAGTATATTTTCCAGAGTTTACACTTTGAAACAAATTGAGAAAGAAGTAACATTTGGCAGATAAAGGTGAAAAAATTCTGTTTTGGTAGGGTTCCTTTGAAAGGTTTTTATTGTATTGTTTTTACTGAGGTTTACAAAGTTTATTCAGCTACAGAAAAATATGATTTTAATTCTGCAACTGAATTTTAACATTGGAGTCAAAATGCTCATAGGATCTGATGTTCCTGTATTAGCTTGGCTGTATGTCTTAGATATTAAACCCAAATTAGAACCAAAATAAAAGGATGGATCAACCATCTCTACCAACCATGCCAACAATGACCAACCTGGGTCACAGTCACAGCAGCCACCTCCACGCAGGTGGTGGGCTGATTGATTTCCAGGTGTTATCTCAATTAGTACTCTGGCCCTTCAAGATCAGTTTTACAGATGAAGAAACCGCAGCTTGCAGCAGAGTAGCAGGGTTTGAGGTGGTGGAGCTGGGATATGGCTTATTTTATATAGGTCAGCCTGGGCTGTCCAGACAGAAGGTTGTGAGTGCAGAGGTTGTGCAAATATTTACCTGAAGTTTGTATAGCGATTGTTAACTCAAAAAATGTTGATGTACATGACCCTTTAGTTGGAACAAGAGTGAAATGATTATCTCTGGCTGGGCATGGTGGCTTAATGACTGTAATCCTAGCATTTTGGGAGGCCCAGGTGGGCAAATTACTTGAGGCTGGGGGTTCGAAACCAGCCTGGCTAACATGGCAAAACCCCGTCTCTACTAAAAATACAAAAATTAGCCAGGTGTGGTGGCATGCTCTTGGAATGCCAGCTACTGGGCAGGCTGAGGCAGGAGAATTGCTTAAATCTGGGAGGCAGAGGTTGCAGTGAGTCTAGATCGCACCACTGCATTCCAGCCTGGAAGACAAAGTGAGAACCTGTCTCAGAAAAAAAAAAAAAAAAAAAAGGTGAAATGATTCTCTTGGAACTGGCATGAATTAGCAATAGACGAACTGTTACCAAGTCTGACATCAACACTAGCATTTAAAATTGACCACATTCACTAAGGCATTTCCTATATTTTTATTTCCATGTGTTTATACCCAGGGACACCCATTGGTGGTTGGATATGAGGCAGGCTGATCTTTATTCTCTTCGTTTTGTTGTTAAGCCTGGTACATTCTTTTTTTTTTTTTTTTTTTGTGACGGAGTCTACCTCTGTTGCCCAGGCTGGAGTGCAGTGGCACGATCTCGGCTCACTGCAAGCTCCACCTCCCGGGTTCACACCATTCTTCTGCCTCAGCCTCCTGAGTAGCTGGGACTACAGGGGCCCACCACCATGCCCGGCTAATTTTTTTGTATTTTTAGTAGAGACAGGGTTTCACCGTGTTAGCCAGGATGATCTCGATCTCCTGACCTCGTGATCTGTCCGACTTGGCCTCCCAAAGTACTGGGATTACAGGCGTGAGCCAACGCGCTGGCCCTAAGCCTGGTACATTCTTTAGTACAGCAAAATAATTAGGCAGGAGACATTCTTCATTCTTGGTTGAACTAACTGCTGGCCTGTTCCATACATAAATATTAACTATGTGCCCCAGTCATGTTAGGTGATAGCACTTCTAGTGCAAAAGAGCATTAACCCTTTCCTTGTTCTCACACATGCCATATTCTTAAAAATCTGAAAACAATGAAAAAATATCTAAAACAATTTTGTTTGCTTTGCACTCTGATCCTTCCCAATGTTCAGATAGCAAGATGGAGTGAAGAGTGAAAGCCCCTTTGTCCTGGAGCAGATAGTGGCAGTGTGCTCCTCTTGACACCCCCAGGAAGCAGGCCACAGGTGCATGGAGCTGTGTTCACTGTGAAGTGGATTCAGCCTGATAACATGGAATCAATGATGCCATTGAAATAAAAGCCAGATGTAATCCTGCCCACACTCTATGATAGCTGTCCTACATCCAGAGTGTCCTTTCTTCTTCCTAGACTGTAGTTTTTCATTTATAAATTAAGGGTGTGGGGCTGGAATCATGTCTAGGTCCCTTCCAACTCTCTAATTGCAGATTCCAGGATTCTCACTGCAGATCCTTTGCATGTTACCGTGGTGCTCGATTGCCCTGCCATGTGATGTGGCTTTTTGTGAGCATCTTTACCACTTGATTAGGGAGGAATCTGTGGGATAGCATTTTAGAAAAGTGAACTTCATAGAGGTTGCCATGTTTATAGTCATTTTAATGATGTGGATGAAATTTAAACTACCTTGTAAATAAAAAAACGTAGACAATGGTGACGAATTCAGGGACTGGAGAGGTTGTCACATCCTTGTTAACCATTAGCAGTGTTTCCTTTAAAACAGCAGCTTTTTGCATATTAGCAAAGCGAGCATACATTGCTCATTGCCATGAGAGGTGACGACATGAAGATGGTGCATCCTGCAGATACATTGATCCCTTTCTCTGTTTTCTCCTAGGGTTTTCCAGGAAACACAAACGCAGACAGTGTGGTGCACTACAGACTCCAGCCTCCCTTTGAAGCCAGGTTCCTGCGCTTTCTCCCTTTAGCCTGGAACCCCAGGGGCAGGATTGGGATGCGGATCGAAGTGTACGGATGTGCATATAGTAAGTGGCCTTTATTCCCTGTGTGAAATCAAGGTCAGCATGAGATTCTGTCAAAGCCAAACTGTAAAAGCCAATGTCGGCATGAAATGTTGAACTTGACTTTTTCTGTCTTTTTATATAGCTGGGCAAGCAGAACTGGTTTTTATTGAAACACTCTAGTGTCTCCCCATGACAATATGAACTTTAGTTACTGTCTTTTATAGTTGAATTTAGTGGTGGACCTGAACTGAAACTTACCTGTCTTTAGATTCCCAGAGTTTAGCAAAGTACTTGCAATATGGTAGGCATCTGATGAAACGAATACAATTCAAACTAACAACAGATGATGCTGTTTTTCTGAAGCTGAGATGACACGCTGTCTGGGAAAACAGGAGCTGTACTGGGGGCAGGGTGTGATTTCTCGCAATCTCTTGGTTCTCTGTGTTTTTCTCTGCTAACGTCCTCTTTTGCACACCATGCTGTCGCTTCACTTGATCTTCACTTGGTGGGAACCTGTGTTTAGTTAGCCTCTTTTCTCACCTATTCTTTGTTATAAAAGTGGAAAGGATGGGGCCGACATGAATATAACACAAACAAAAAGCCGGCCGTGAGATTATTTGGTGGTACTCAGTGACACAGTTGCCACTTGATGATCTAGAACATACTTGTATTCTTTCTTTACATTATCATAAAAATGTTTTAAATTATTGTCAAAATGGAATAAAATTGAAAAATACTCCTGTATAAAACTGGAGAACAAGTCAAAGAGCAGTCTGGATGGAAATGTCTTAAGTGGCTTCAATTTGGGTCCGGCCGGATGTTCATATCACACTATTTACACAC
Source organism: Homo sapiens (assembly GCF_000001405.40). Taxonomy (NCBI): domain Eukaryota; kingdom Metazoa; phylum Chordata; class Mammalia; order Primates; family Hominidae; genus Homo; species Homo sapiens. Next base: position 42,012,555 of record NC_000009.12, on the reverse strand, counting down.
AGTCACTCCCATTCTCTGCCTACTCACAGCTTTAGCCCTGCAGAATATTAATTTTCTAAAGCATGATAACAACGTCTGTCATTCATGCAGCATTTAATGTCTCAGATACTATTATTTCCATTTTATTACATAACCCCTGTACAACCCAGTTCATTTCCTAACTCTGCTTGTTTTTTAGTGTTTACATTTCTACAGGGCTAAATATAATGATGTTGCTTTACCAACGGTCTTTTTTCTTCCTGTTATTGTTCATCTCCTTCCATCCCTGTGTTTTCTGGGACCTATAACTGTGCTCTCTGTTTCAATGGCTAAGATGTCTGATATTTAGAATTTCTCTTTGATGCTGTGAAGTTACCTTCTCCTCTCATTACTCTGAAACAACTTCAGGTTTACTGACTCCAAAGTGGAACATGCTCTTTGATGGCGATTTGCCATTAGCTTGATGTTCCTTCATGAAGAGATATTACTCCAGTTCCTTGGGCTGGAGGTTGGTACCAGGAAGATCAAAGCCCTGTGCCTGATTCCAGGAAGGGCCGGTGGGCGGTGCAGCTGCCATGCAATCTGCTGGCACCGTTAACTTCTGTAAACACATGCTGTTGGCTGTAAGGGACTACTAGTAAAAAAACCCAAACATGCAGACAGATAATATGTGACCACTGCTAACTAGCTAAAAGTAATTCTTTAGAACAAGTGGACATCTACATTGTCTTTTTTTCCTTAGAAGAATAATTGTTCAAGTATGGTGATTTTATTTTTGTTGTTGACAGTAATACAACCCTTTATGACTTATGTTAATAATGGTAGTTTCAGTATTTTCCTTTGTATTTCCACTGCCCTGCTTGTTTTCTAGAACGTTGCTTATAATGACTTATAATATCCCTTCCACGCAGCATCTCTTCCCATTTATTTGTTTATGTATTTATCAATTTATCTTTTTTTATTTTAAGAGGCAAGTTCTCATTATGTTGCCCAGGCTGGAGTGCAGTGGCTACAGGCACAATCCCACTGCTGATCAGCACGGGAGTCTTGACCTGCTTCATTTGGGAGCAGGGCTAGTTCACTCTTCCTTAAGCAACCTGATGGTCCTCCGCTCGGAGAGATCACCATTTGATGCTAAAATTTGTTCAGACACCTGATCATCATAGTGCACCCCTGGGCTCCATCGATCCTCTACCTCAGCCTCCTGAGTAGCTGGGACTGCCCAGCCCTAGTGTTATTAGCTTTTCTACACTTCATTTACAGTAATAGATTCATTATTCCTTTAAACTGTGTGTGTTTTCACAGACTCCTGGCTTACTCTATGCATTTATTTCTATTTCCACTTCTAGCCTGGGGATAGGTTGTAGGTTCTCCCAGAGTTGCTGCTCAACTGCAGAATAAAGCCATGAGCACAGATGGCCTCGGGCCCTTCTTGACAGCTGTATTCTCCTGGTTTTCCATGCACCTTTGCATGCTACTCTTCTTGCCACTCCTTAAAGGCTAACATTATCCACAGATTGGTTGTAGGTCTTTTATCCTGCTCCCAAGCTCTCTCTGAGTCTTTTATCCACTTCCATGAGTTTTCAGTAGCATTTACACACTGTGGCTGATAACTTCCAAATAGACGTATCCGCAACCTACTCTGAGGAGTTCCAACCTCTGGTACCAACCTCTCTTCACTGGCCCTGTGAGCACTTAAAACTCAGTTGTCTATCTGCTCATTTTCCTTTGTTTTCCATCTTATAAAATGATACCAACAGCCACCTATTGACTGAAACCTGATTCTATCTCCTAAATGTTTTGAATTTCTTTCTCTTCCTCCAGTTTAGCCTAAATGAGCACCAGCCTCCTAAATCAGCTATTTGTCTCTGGTCTTGATCTTTCCAGTTTTTAGTCCACACAATAATCAGGATGATTCCTGGAAAAACATGCACATTCGATTGTTCAAACTCGATTGTTGAAACATGCTTAAAGCCACACCCAAGACACTAGGATTGTTTCCCAGAGGCCTTAGACAGAAAAATAAATTCCCTATGCTCTACTGCCTGTCCAGGCCTTTGAGGGCATCTCTCAAGAACAAAGGGGAACTCCCAGAATCTTAGGCCAGAACCCTATAAGTCCTTGACGCATCTATCTCTCTTGCCCTCCATGTCCAGTGAGTCACGAAATTCTGTATTCTTCCCTCCAAATTACACCTTGCATGATTTCAGCTCTCTTTAGCTCTACTACCGACTTAATCTAAACTTGGTGTCCCACAGATTATGGAAATTGCCTTCCAAGTTTGGGTCATTCTGTCTCTGTTCATAGCTGACTACATTATATTCTCCACACTGCAACTCAAGTTACCTTTTAAAAATGCAGAACTGATACAATTACGTCCCTGTTTAATACCATCAGTGGCTTTCCATTGTTCCTAAAACAACATCCAGACTCCCAGCAAGGCCTGAAGGAGCTTGTCCCTGAATAACTCTCCAGTGCCACCTCTTGCTGCCGTCACCTGCTACCTGTCCACTGTCAATTGTATCCAGCTTTTTACTGACTCAAAGCCTTTACGCCTGTGGTCTCCCCTGCTTGAAATGCTCCTTCCCTATGTTCTTGACTGGCTATTTACTCTTCCTCTTTTGGATCTTAGTTTAAATGATGCTTCCTAGGCCCTCACTCTACATTTGGTTCCTCATTATAAGTTCCCAGGAAGCCTATAGTATGACTTCATGTGCTATAGTCACTTTTTATAATGTATCTGTATCTGTCTTATTAGAGGCCTAATTTCCTTTTTCCTCATTAGCCTTCAGGCTACACTAGGGTAAGGTACATTCATTGCTGTAACATCAGCACCTAATACAGAGCCAGGAACATACTAAGTGCACCATAGCTTTGCATTGAGTGAATGAATGAATGAAGCAATTCAGAAAAAAAGTCTGACAGATGATAATAAAATCTGAATAATGAATCTAAATTTCAGATATTTATTTCTCTCTTATACTAGCCATCCAGGTAAGGCAGGTATCTTGGAGATTATATTGTTATAAAGTGTAGTATTAAAAATTGTAATAACTCTAGTAAAAATAGCGAATATAAGGTTTTACAGTTATGTTTCCATTCTTCCATCTGATATTTGATGCATCTTTATGTAGTAGAAAGGCAGTTATTAACACCCAGATGTTCCAAGTGAGCAATCTGAGAAGCCACACCAAGGGCCGGCAGTGCAGGAGCTACAAATAGTCACCAGAGACAGGGAGAGGACTCCAGTCCTCTGACTACCAATTCCATGTTCTTGATGGATAATAACTGCCGAGGTTTCATAAAGGATCATTATATTGATACTTGTTTTGATATATTGCTATATTGATTGATGGCGGCAGCTTCTTTTCTACTTTCAGAGAGACAGCATCAAGCTGCATTGTATTGTATATAAACATTTAGTTTTTGATTCTGTGCCTTCCTCCTTTTTATCATGCCAGCTTTAATTATCCTCAATTTCAGAGTTCTTTAAATCACTCCACTTTCTTTGATATTAATGCAAAAAATAGAACAGTCCTCTTCTTGTTGTTTTCTCAAGTGGTTAGTATCCTTTCCATCTCTTTAATTCCCAGTCCGCTAGTGCAGATTTTAAGGGCTTACATTCCACTCCATGCTAGTGTTTCAGTATTTTCATTAGATAACACTCAAACATGGCTTTTGTCTGATTCATGTTTCTGTTAAACTGAGATTGGGCTTCTATTCCTTTGTAAGTCACGGCAATAATTCATGAAGAAAAAAGAAAATGGTTAGTATTCAAGGTTGACTTCATAAATAACCAAGAAGAGCTTGGTTCACCACTTTTTTGGTCCCTTAGTGGCGGAAAATTTGGTGGGGGAGGGGGTCTGGGAGTGGTGGATTCCTTTTTAAAATTTTAATACTTGGAGCACAGCCGAGATAATTAACAGAATTCTAAAATGTTCTTTTCACGAAGATTTCTTTTATAATGTCCCAAGTGAAAATCATTTTTTATTACTCACAGGTAATTCTTTATTCATGCATTTTCTGTTACATTTTCTTATAACTTAGTCTTCAAATAGTTTTATATGTCATTCAGACTGTCTTACATAGCTATGCTATTACCAATCAGTCCTTTTCTTATTCATCATTCTAGCTTCACTTATAATTGGTTGAACCATATATTTGCCAGTTTTGTAGATCAAATACAGTTGAATATTAGCAGCTTCATCTGGATTAACTGAGTGCTGTACTGTTTTCTGTAGGAACAACAGATGGCAAGTGGAGGTTTCCGGTAAAACAAAACAAATAGAACAAATAGTGACTGGACAAAAGCAAATTTTATTTTCTCCCTTCCAAAATTTTACCTGTCCTTGATTAGAATTTGAGACATGGGAAATTTTCATAACTCCTGAGATGGTCCAAGTTTGTATTTCTTCATTGGTGTTCTAATGAAGTTAGAACTACCTACCTCTGTAAAGTTCCTTTAATTGTTTTATCACTTTTATATATACACGCTGTGCTAGTTTGCATCACTGGCACCAATTCTGCACCTGTTCCTTGCCAGTACGTGTGAGTGGCGTATGCTTCCCTGCCCCCTGATTTTTGAGCCAGCCAGTGACTTCCTTTGGCTAGTGGTAGGCAGAGTCAACTCTACAGTGTACCTACTGTCCTCCTTTGTGTCTACCATTAATAAGCATGCCTGAACTATGAATTCCAGTAAAATGAAAAGAGATACATGCTTTACATATTTTGAAGCTGTTTCATTAAATGCATATAGATTGGGAATTGTTTTATCTCCCTTAAAGTTGATTTTTTGTAATTATGAAATATCCTTGTTTATTTCTAATAATGCCTCCTGCATGTAAGTCTGCATTCTCTGATGATAGTACTGTATAGCTATGCCGGATTTCTTCTGATTAGTGTTTTCATGGAATAACTTTTTCCATTCTTTACTTTCAAACTTTTTGTCTTCATATGTAAGGACTCTTTCTTTATTATTTAAACCGAATCTGGAAATCATTGAGTTTTAGTTGTTATATTTAGTCCACTTATATTAAATGTAATTACTGACATATGTGAAATTGTAGCTGACATGTTACTCTCTGTTTTATATTTGGTTCACTTGTTTTATACTCCTTTTTCTCTCCTCTTCTTTTGGGTTAATCAAGTTTAATTTTTCCAGTTTTTCCACTATTGTTTGCTGTTCTAATTTTGTTCCCCCAGGTACTTGAGCTACTACTTTTATCACTTTCCAAACAATCCTAGGATGTAAGTACAACTTATGTTAGTTTAGTTAAACTCTTCCCACCATGTGTGCTATGTTGACACATTTTAGTTTCATACATACATGTGTATATGTGTACATATATTTTTAATCACAAAATTTAATATAATTTTGTTTGCAATCAGTATTCACTTGAATCTACTCACATATTTACTTTCTCTGCATTTTCATGCTCTTTCTGAATCAAATTCTTTCAGCTAGAAAGACTCCTTTTAATATTTGTCTTAGCCCAGTTCTACTGGTAATAAATTGTCATATAGCTTTTGTTTGCTTGAAAATTGTCTTTATTTTATGTGAACTTCTGAAGGCTGTTTCAGCTTGCTGGAGAATACGGTCTGTAGTTATTTTCTTTCGGCCTTTTAAAGATGGCATTCTATTGTTTTCATGATATTTATTAAGAAATCAATAGGTAATTGATTTTTATCCTATAAGGGAAATGTGTATTTTTCTTCTGGTTACTTTTGAGAATTTATTCTTTGTCTTTGATTTTCAGCAGTTTTGCCTTGATGTGGCTATTTTAGTTTTCACTGAATTTGTCCTCTTTGGATTTCACTAAATTTCTTTTTTCTGTGCATTGATTATTAGATTGGGTAATTCTTCACTGTTACTTCTTCAAAATATTGCCTCTGTCTCGCATTTCCTTTCCTCCTTTCTGAGACTCCAATTACATCTGTCTGAGATGTTTGTATCTTATTTTCTTTCTTTGTCTCTCTCTTTCTCCCTCCTCCTGCTTCTCTCTCTCCCTCTCCTCTTTCATCTTTTCTTTCTATTTATGCTGCAGTCTAGACATTGTGTACTGCTTTATCTTCTATACTACTAATCAGATCTTCTGCTGTGACCAATCTGTTGTTGAATATGCCAGTGAGCTATTAATTTTAGTTATTGCGATTTTCAGTTTGGGAATTTCTGTTCATGTATCCTAGTGAAACTCCTTATCTTGCTCTCTATTTTCCTGGAAATATTAATTACAGTTATTTTAAAGATTTTTCGTTAACTTCAATATCTGGATTATCTCTTGATCTTTTCCATTGTCTGGTTTTTGTTTCCGTTTTGATGTCTGATAATTTTGGCTGAATTCTGGACATGTTGGACAGAAATTTGTAGAGGCTAGAGAAGACAAAGTGATCCCCCAGTGAATCCCCACCACAGCCTCTGATAGGCTTCTAGGTTAGGCACAGTTGTTAATTCAAATCAGCATTTAACTGACTCAGTGCAGCGTCTCAGTCCCCATGAGACCTAGTTGATATCTTATATCTGGAGTACAGTGCTTCACTAGTCCCAACTGAGATTTGAAGGCCTTTGCCAAAACATTTTTTTGAAAATCTCTGAATTCTGCCATCTGACTCCTAATTGTGATGAGTCTACAGAGACCCCTGCTTCGTGACCCAGCCTCATAGCTGTCCTGTCACTTTCTGCTTGGCCACCTTGTCTCTTGCCCATTGCTCCTTGGGAGTTGACCAGTGCTTCAAGGGTAAAAGCAGAAAGAGTGTTCTGAGCTTGTCTTCTAAGATCTTTACATTCTTGAGTCCTGGCAGTCATAGTAGATCTTTAAAACTTTCAAGAAGATTATTTAAACTTTACTTGGTACACATTTTCTACTTGTCCTTGGTAGGAAGTGTAGTCTTCTGAATGTTTGCTTGTCATAACTGAAAATATAACTAACTGCATTTCTTTTAATGCCATGGGAAATGTATTGAAGAAAACAAAGTGTATATAATTTTTTCATATAATAATGTGTTTATAATACAATCTACTTAATATTTTGGAAAATTATTTTTCTGTAAAACACTGAAGTGCTAATTAAATTTCAATAAATATTTTTTAAAAATAAATAAAGCCGGTCACAGTGGCTCATGCCTGTAATCCCAGGACTTTAGGAGGCCAAGGCAGGCAGATTACTTGATTGCCCAGTCTGGGCAACACAGCAAAACTCCATCTCTACAAAAAATACAAAAATTATCTGGACATGGTGATGTGTGCCTGTAGTCCCAGCTACTCAGTAGGCTGAGGTGTGAGGGTCGCTTGATCCCAGTGAGGTCAAGGCTGCAGTGAGCCAAGATCATGCCACTGTACTCCAGCCTGCGTGGCAGAGTGAGACCTTGTCTCAAAAAAAATAAAAATTTGTAATAAAAAAGTAAAATAAATAGAAACTCAAAATAAGATGAAAAAGTAAATCCATGTCCATCAGAAATAAGTAAGTTGAAGAATTGGAATGTGAACCTACTCACAGAGGATTCCAGACTCTGTGCAATCAACTATCTTTACCAGGAAATGGGAGAAGGAGAAAAGAGAGAGGAAAGAAAAGAAATAGAGAGGAAAGATCATGCATGAAAATTAAAGATAGAGATCAAGGCCTTTACTGAGAATGCAGAACCAAGGCCTGTTTTCCCTAAGTTCCTCTTATTATGCCCAGAAGGAAAGAAAATATGTGAGTGAATAAAGGCAAATATTTCCTAGGAAAGCTTTGTGTATTCATCGATTGCAGGATTCAATATTCTTATCATCCTCCCCGAATTGATCTACAGAATCCCAATACATCTATTCTAACTTATTATTATATTAAAATGAATCGTCACTAGTCTTTAGAGAAATAAAATCACAATGAGAAACCACTATACACCTAGCAGAAAGGCTAAAATTAAAAAGGGTGGAAACACCAAGTGTTTGGCAAAGATATGGAATTCTCATACATTGCTGGTGGGAAATGTGAAAATGATACTATCACTTTGGAAAACAATTTGGCATTCTTCTAAGCTAAATATACACTTAATATATAGCTCAGCAATTCCACTCCCATGTATTTACCCAGCAGAAATGAATGCATATGTCAACATAAAGATGTATGTGTGAATGTTCCTAGCAGCTTTATTTATAAGAGTTTAAACCTGGAAACAGTTCAAATGTCTATCAGCAGGTAAATGGATAAACAAGTTGTCAAACAGTTGAATACCCCAAGCAATAAGAAAGAACAGACTGTTGATATATGCAACAGCATGTGTGTATCTCAAAAATGTTACACTTAGCAAGGAACTCAGACACAAAAGAACACATACACGATACAATTTTATGAAATTTTGGAACTGACAAAACTAATCTGTAGTTACGGAATGTAGATCATTGGTTTCCTGGGTCTGGGTCTGGGTCTCGGTGACAGTGTTGGGAGTTTGATGCAAATGGCAATTAGTGAGTTGATATGAAATTGCCTACACCTTGATTCTTTGGCAATAACGTAGGTATATATATTTGTTAAAACTCATTGAACTATAACCTTAAATTTATTGAATATAAATTATAACTCTATGAAAATGATATTCATGTTTCCATATTGGCAATTGTGGGTTTTGTTGTTGTTTTTTTGAGAGGGAGTCTCTCTCTGTTGCCCAGGCTGGAGTGCAGTGGAGCAATCCTGGCTCACTGCAACCTCTGCCTCCTGGGTTCAAGCTATTCTCCCACCTCAGCCTCCTGAGTAGCTGAGATCACAGGCATGCACCACTACACCCAGCTGATTTTTTTGTATTTTTAGTAGAAATTTTACCATGTTGCCCAGGCTGGTCTTGAACTCCTGACCTCAAATGATCCACCTGCCTTTGCCTCCTAAAGTGCTAGGATTACAGTGTGAGCCACTGTGCCTCACCCCATATTGGAATTAATATTCAATTTATTTAGAGAGTAAACCTCTGTAATTTGCCCATTATCCCTGATAAATCATCCTGAAGCCTTTGTGTCATCACAGCTACCTAGTTAGCTTATTAAATATGCAAACCCCTGGGTCTCAACCACAGAAATCCTGATTCCTGGTCTGGTTGAGGCTCACGTTCTAAAGTCTCCAAGTGGTCACTCCTAGTCAATCTGAGTGAAGGTGATTGATAGAACACTTTAAGAAAATTTCTGTGGAATCGTGTTTTTTTTTTTTTCTTTTGTAAGACATCAGTGTTTGCACCCTATGGAATCTTGCTGTTTTCAAGCAATGTTTTCCTCTCAATGTTGATGTTTCCCCTGAAAAGGCAGTACAAGGTAGGATGGGGATGAGACATGCCTGTGCTTAGAATGACAGTGAGAAGTAGAAAAGTAGTAATGAGAAGCCAGATTTAAGAGTACATTCTGGGTGTGAAAAATGTGAAAGTAGGCCAGGCGGGGTGGCTTATGCCTGTAATCCCAGCACTTTGTGAAGCTGAGGTGGGCAGATTGCTTGAGCCCAGGAATTCAAGACCAGCCTTGGCATCATAGTGAGACCCCCATCTCTAGAAAAAAAGTAAAAAATTAACCAGGCATTGTAGTGCATGCCTATAATCCCAGCTACTTGGGAGGCTGAGGCTGGAGGATCACTTGAGCCCAGGAGTTCAAGGCTGCAGTGAGCTATGAAGGTACCACTGCACTACAGCATGGGCAACGGAGTGAGTCTCTGTTTCTAATAAAAGTAAAATGTGAAGATAAAATATGGCGTAAGGAAATAAAGGAAATAGCAACTCAAAATTACTTATGTCTTAGCTTTTCAGAAGCGTCATACTTTGCAGGAGTCTAAAGAAGGTAGACTCCTTCCTTATCCTTTCTTAGAAGTCATTCTGGACCAGATGCCTGTTTACAGAAGCATCACTGTGAATGTGGCAGAAACAATCATATTTCAGGATTATATGTCCTCTTTTCCATACTGTGGGATCCTTAAAAGTAATTCATTGTCTTCTGCATTTTTATCTTTCACCTGCATATGGAAGGCTTTCAGTGAATATTAGCTGTATGAATGAGGACATAACACATTTTAGCAAAATTACTTCTGACACAGTTCTTCCTTGTATGACAAAGTTCTTTATCTGCAAGAATTCGTATTTGGGAACTTTGTGAACATATCTGTCCTTAGTTTTTCCGGTATTCTTTGAGGAAGTGTGACAAAAACATTATAATTGCACCAATAATCTTCAAGTATCATTTAAAAACTCTCGTGGTCCTCTAACACAAGAAAATGAGATAGATATATTAATACTTCTGAGTAAGATTTAGGTTACCAGTGATTGAAGTGAGTCAGCCCAGGAACAAGCTGGCTGGCAGAGAAGGAGCTGTGTAAGTGTGGATGAATGGTTGTAAATCTCTTTTTCCTGGTGGAAACTGAAGATTTCCTAGGTCCTTCAAAAATTAAATCTGCTATCATTTTAAGCTGTCTACTTTCCTATATATCCCCTATGTGCTATTTTAAACTCATTTCCACCTCTTTTTCTGCCCAGTGCCCTGACAATAATAATGAAGCAGTCGTTCACTGAAGGTACCCCATGTGCCCAGCACTGTTGTAAAAGTACAAATACTAACTCATTTAACCCTCACAACGATCTTGTGAGAGAGGAGTGTATGTGTTCTCACTTCACTTATGAGTAGACTGAGGCAGAGAGAGGCTATGTAACTTTTCCAGGATGGAGTCAGGATTCAAGCCCACACAGTATATACTCTAGTGTACTAGAAAATGTGGCTCCTGATCTAATGGTGACAGACTAACGTGTCAGGGGTCCACATTGCTAATACTGATCGAGATTCAGCAATCAAAACTATAATCTTAATTAATAAAGCTAATAATTATAAACTAAATTCATATAAAATTAGAAAAGCACTTCCTGCTTTAAACCACAAGCTAAGTTTTCTTTATTCATTTTGGATAGCAAGGCTTTTATTCTGAAAACTTTGAGGAACGTTGGATTTTATCGTAAACATAATAAGTGACATTAATTTTCCAGTATCCCACTACATTTCCTATTTATATAATTGAATTTCATACAAAGGATTTTTTCCAACAGATTTCTGAGAAAAGATTATATTAAATGTGTTACTGGAATTATTTTATTTTAGTGTATTATTCAAATATATATTGTAGGGGAATATTTGCATTGATTATGGCTAGGTAGAACTGTTTTTTTCTTGAAATGGGGTCTTGCTGTGTTGCCCAGGCTGGGGTGCAGTGACACAAGCACTGCTCACTGCAGCCTCCACCTCCCGAGCTCAAGCGATCCTCCCACCTCCCCCTTCCAAGTAGCTGGGAATATAAGCAAGTGCGACCAGTCTTGCCATGCTGCCCAGGCTGGTCTCGAACTCTTGGGCCCAAGTGATCTGCCCGCGTCAGCCTCCCAAAGGGCTGGGATTACAAGCATGAGCCACTGCACCTGACCAGCTGGGAGAACTTTTCTTTGCTCTTGCAAGTGTTTTAAAATGCTAAAAGTATGACTTTTGTGGACAAGTGAGAAGAGAGTTTACCTTTTAGCATTACTTCTAAAGACCAAGACTTGAAATTTTGCTTCTCCAGTGGGAGGATCTTATTCAAGAGGGACTACATGGGAGTTGTCCCTCTCCAGTGCTGATCTTGGTGGGCTCATTACTGTTGACTTATTGAACTCAATGCTTTCCATCCCAAACATCATTTTTTGTTTCATATTTTTATGTATTGACTTCATAAATCATAGAATGTTTTATGATTTTTAGAAAGTTTGGATTTACAATTCATTAATCTGCTTTTATTTTAAAATATGCATAATGAGCTATAAGTATATTCTTAAATTTCTAGATACAAGCACTAGCGATTACAATAAAGAAAAAATCAAGGTATTAGCTAAAGAACAAAAGAGTTTCAAGGTCATTGCTTTATGTCTCTTTTACTTGATAAGTTTTTTACTATTCTATTTGCCTGAGGGAAACATTCCAGGAACTGTACTTCACATGCCTTAGAAGACCAATACTGCTGTTGGAGAGTAATAGTAAACATAGAATGAGAAAAAGAAATGTATAGGTTGCAATAATCCAGAAAAAACCTTTTCGGGAAGAAAACTTTGTTAGTCAACTAAAAAAAAATAGCTCAAATATTAGCATTTTCTTTAAGCAACAAATAAAGACATGATTATAAGTATAAGGGAAGTGCTAAAAATGTGAAAGTCTGTAGTCAATCTTTTTCAAGTTTCCCTTAGTTCATGGCCAGGGAATAATAATCTTAGATGTCTTCATTTACATTTGACAGAGAGTTTTGTTTTTATCATGAACACATAATAAGTTATGTAACAAGGAATAATTGTTTAATTTACACATATTTTACTCAGAATGTGCTTATTCATCATGCACTTGATACATTAATTCCTTGTAAGTACATTAACCCAATGTGAGAAAATCAAACTTCTAAATTTTAAAATGATACATAAAATGGAGAACTTTTGAAGTGCAGTTTACTATATGTATTTCAGATACTGTGAATGAAATGGATAGCCATGCAAAAAGTACTAGTAATATTTTTGTGAAATTAAATATAATTAAACAATGCCATCTTATTGGCTTGAATGACATCAGCTCATCAGCTTCAAATAGTTTCATATTTCACTAGGTTTTCATGCATCTTCATTTATTAAATAAATATATTTTTCAAAGGACAATTGCTTATTTTTCTTTTTACTTTTAAAAAGAAGAGATTTTCTGGGTAATATTAATTTCTTCATGTGATTTTGACAAATATTATCAAATATTATTTTATATTACTGATAAAATGAAACAACTTGTTTTTTGATGAGCTGAACATATGTGACATTTATAGTGAATTTATAAGACCCTGACAGAGTGCTGAGAGAGTGTGGCAGCATTGGAGTTCTGACAAGCTACAGCAGGAAGAACCAAAACAGAGGTGTTAAGGCCATGCTCTCTCAACAAAGCATCCAAGAAAACAAAACCTCTGTGCCTTTGTCAGTCAGGGCTCTCCAGAGAAACAGAACCAATAGGATGTCTGTGTGCCTGTGTGTGTGTGTGTGTGTGTATGTGTGTGTGTGTGTAGAGAGAGAGAGAGAGTTTTAAGGAATTGGCTTACCTGATTGTAAGGACTGGCAAGTCCTAGGTAAGAGGTGATATTGCAGCTGGAGTCCAGAGGTTGTCTGGAGGCAAAATTCCTTCTTTCCTAGAGAACTTCAGTTTTCTTTCTTTCTCTTACAGCCTTCAACTGATTGGATGAGGCCCACCCACGTTATAGAGTTTAACCTGCTTTACTCAATGTTTACTGATTTAATATTGGTTACCTCTAAAAAATACCTGCACTGCAACATCAAGACTAGTGTTTGACCAAAAGCTGTTTACCATGGCCTAGCCAAGTTGACACATTGCAGTGCCCATTAGCAGTACCATTAGCTGAGGGTTGAGAAAAATATTACATGTCAGCTCATTTAAAATACATTTATTACATGTCTAAAGCAGTAATTAATAAGTATGATATGTGTTTCTGTATCTTTACAGACAAAATCTTTAGTAAAGTAGGTACATGTGTAAGAATTAAGAGAAGCCAAAGCTACTGGGAATGAACAAAGGTATTTAAATTGAGTGACACTGATATTTAATATAAGAGTGACCTTAAAATAAATAATTTATGTAGTGAAATATGACTTCTTTCCTGAGTGTTTTTAATCAAACAGAATGAGAAGAAATGGGCTGCTCTAAAGATAAGAGCCATTGGGAGTAGATTAATAAAAGCATTTCTAGATGATGAAGTTTGAGAAAATGTTAGAAAAATCTAACAGTGGGTATTACATATATCAACTCCTGATGCCACCAGAAAATATATTATTGTCAGTTGTTTCCTTCAGTGAATGGCTTAGAAATACAATGTGTGTCTATGTGTGTGTGGTGTGGCATATGGATGCACACATTTTCAATGTGCTACTGTATGGCATATTTATATTTAGAATTGCTTTTTAATATCTTCTTTCCTAGAATCTGAGGTGGTTTATTTTGATGGACAAAGTGCTCTGCTGTATACACTTGATAAAAAACCTTTAAAACCAATAAGAGATGTTATTTCTTTGAAATTTAAAGCCATGCAGAGCAATGGAATTCTACTTCACAGAGAAGGACAACATGGAAATCACATTACTCTGGAATTAATTAAAGGAAAGCTTGTCTTTTTTCTTAATTCAGGTAAAAAAATACTTGAACTTTATACCAGTAGTTAAAAAAAATCTGTTTACATTTGTTGGTACTCAGTCTTTTCACAGTTAGATAAAATGACCATATAATTCATCATCTAAACCAGAACACCTTTAAGAAATAAAAAATACACAAGTGATAGTTACTCTGGGACAGTAAGTGCAAAGTAGAACTGCAATGAACAAATGTAAATGAAAGTTTAAGAGCATTACTACCAGATGCATGCAATACATATCCTAAGTATGATTTCTGTAAACAGCATATATTTTGACAAACTGTGCAAGATCACCATATGTGTGTATAATATATATGTAATATATGATTATCCATATCATAAAGACAATACATCATTATAAAATTATGAGATAATGCTGATAATGAGGTTCTAAGAAAGAAAATATTTGCAATGTAAATCCAAATGTCATGAGTAATAGAAAAAATACTAAGAAAAATTTCAACAAAGTGTAGAATTGAACTTAAAAAAATAAAAACAGGGTAAGGTTATTGTGTTCAAGATAGGGAGAAAGTGAGAAAACAACTCTGTAAGATGGAAAGTTGGATGCAAACTGTGATGCTCAACTAAAAAAGGGAAGCCGTGATTTTGAACAGAAATAACTGTTTTTTTCCTTCTCCTTTAAGGCAATGCTAAGCTGCCTTCTACTATTGCTCCTGTGACCCTCACCCTGGGCAGCCTGCTGGATGACCAGCACTGGCATTCCGTCCTCATCGAGCTCCTCGACACGCAGGTCAACTTCACCGTGGACAAACACACTCATCATTTCCAAGCAAAGGGAGATTCCAGTAACTTGGATCTTAATTTTGAGGTTATTATAGATATATAGTTTAAATTAAATATAACCTGAAAAATAAGGTAGCTGCATAGAGAAATGCCATTTTATAGTAATTCATAACTAAGTTGACTAATAGTAATAGGTATGTCTGTCCCGGTACTATGAAACTGTTTATGCCTTCTAATAGGTCAGTTTATTATAATAGATCATCTTTTCCACCTTGAAAAGAAGTAAACAGTCAGTGTTAGGTTTAGGAAATCCACAAATGCAGAAATACCAAGGTAGCAAGCATTGTTATTAAATGTACTCATTTGAATATATTTCATTTGAAATTTCATCTGGTATATTACACTTGTTGTTTGACTATGCAGATTCCTGGGGGATTTTTTTTCTTGTCTTGGTGCAATCCTAACCAACATAGCATTATTTAGGATCACTTTGAGAAGTTAACAAGATAAACACCAATAGATTTATTAAATAACAAGAAAGTCAGATGCTCACATATAAATAATATCCTGATATTTTTTAAGTCATTAATGCTTTTTGCAACCCATTGCCCATATGTATCTAAGCTACACTGTTAAATAGCATCTATTCTTCCAGTCCTTCACAGGACACCTTAAAGTGTATGAAGGATCAGAACAAACCAGAAAAACTGTGATATTTACTGGCATAAGTGGCTTTGGCATATAATATTAAACTGAAGATCCTAGTCCTATACTGGATTATTCAGTTTTATTACTTTAATTTAACCATGTAATAGCAAAAGATAATATCTAATGCAGAGGTTGGCAAACTGGGCATCAGGCCAAGTTTGGACATTTTTTAATTAAAAAAATACAAAGCCTGTTTTTGTTCAAAAGAGAAGGTTTTATTGGAACATATTCTCTTTCTTTATGTGTTGTCCGTGGCCACATTGGTACTTCGTGTCAGAGTTGAGTGCTGCAAAAGAGATCATATGACCCACAAAGGGTAAATTTAACTACATGGCTGAAAATTTCAACGTGGCAGAAAATGTGTGTTGACTTCTTCCTTTTAAGTTTGTTCAAAACTGTGTGGTGCCAGAAATAAAGGTATTAACAGCTGCCATTATGATAGAACACTTCATTTGGAATAAGCAAGCATGCAAATATAAGATAATGGGAATGGATTTGTGACAATTAGTACTAGACCTATTAATTTATAAATGCTTTAAACACGTACCATCAGAAAATCACTAAACAATGTTATTTATGTCATTTTTCTTTCTAAGATCAGCTTTGGGGGAATTCTGTCACCCGGAAGATCACGGGCATTCACACGTAAAAGCTTTCATGGGTGTTTAGAAAATCTTTATTATAATGGAGTGGATGTTACCGAATTAGCCAAGAAACACAAACCACAGATCCTCATGATGGTAAGGAAGCCTAATGGGAAGGAAAGAAAAAAGGACATTTTATTTTTTGCATTTAAAAATTATTCATGTGAAGTCTCCATTTCATCTAATATTTTAAGAATCAGTTCTTACTTTAACAGCTGCCCATGTAATATAGTAATTTAGTTTTATTTATTTATTTATTTTTTTGAGACAGAGTCTCTCTCTTGTCTCCCAGGTTGGAGTGCAGCGGCGCAATCTCAGCTTACTGCAGCTTACGCCTCCCAGGTTCAAGCAATTCTCCTGCCTCAGCCTCCTGAGTAGCTGGGATTACAGGCGCCCGCCACCATGCCCAGCTAATTTTTGTACTTTTAGTAGAGACGGGGTTTCGCCATGTTGGCCAGGCTAGTCTCGAATTCCTGACCTCAGGTGATCTGCCTGCCTCGGCCTTCCAAAGTGCTGGGATTACAGGTGTGAGCCACCGGGCCTGGCCAATTTTTTTTTTTTTTTTTTTTTGAGACGGAGTCTCACTCTGTCACCCAGACTGGAGTGCAGTGTCACGATCTTGGCTCACTGCAAGCTCTGCCTCCTGGGTTCACGCCATTCTCCCGCCTCAGCCTCCCGAGTACCTGGGACTACAGGTGCCCACCAGCATGCCCGGCTTTTTGTATTTTTAGTAGAGACGGGGTTTCACCATGTTAGCCAGGATGGTCTCGATTTCCCAACCTCGTGATCTGCCCACCTTGGCCTCCCAAAGTGATAGGACCACAGGCGCACTTTTTTTGTTTTTGTTTTTGTTTTTGTTTTGAGATGCAGTCTTGCTCTGTTGCCCAGGCTGGAGTGCAGCGGTACAGTCTTGGCTCACTGCAACCTCTGCCTCCTGGGTTCAAGCCATTCTCCTGCCTCAGCCTCCTGAGTAGCTGGGACTACAGGTGTGTGCCACCACACCTGGCTAATTTTTTTTAGTACAGACAGGGTTTTGCCACATTGGCCAGGCTGGTCTCAAACTCCTGACCTCAGACGATACACTCGCCTCGGCCTCCCAAAATGCTGGGATTACAGGCATGAGCCACCTTACCCAGCCTAATATAGTAATTTTTATTATGCATAAAAAGTTATAAAGTAAATATGCCTCATGGGACATCATTGTTTCATTTTTATATGAAATAAAGTAACTTTCTATTTTTACATGGAAATCAGAATTCATATGTCTCACGTGTTTTTGGTGTTGTTATCCACAGGAGACCAATCATTTTGCAATGGCAGTCCCTAATGATCTATTCCCTAATCAACTGGAAATACTTCCAAATCAGTTAATAAACTTCTTTCAATGTTTAAAGTTTGAAATATCTAAGTTGGGTTAAAGGGAAAGCTCATGTTTAGTTGTCAGTGTATCTCAGCAGCACATCATGGGAATATTTATTTGTATTGTTGGAAACATGTTTTCTTTCCTGTTATGTGCTGGAGGAGTTGGCTCATGGGTTGCAGGACCAAAACCTGAAAATATCTCTGACTGTGTGTCACCAGACCACACAATGAATACATCACTTAGGTTAGCATGAGAAAAGGGGAAAAACAGCTGTGAAGCCCATGAACTTTCCAAGAAGGTAAAGGAGAAAAAAAAAAAAAAGTTGGGTTTGAAGTCTAAGTTTTACTATGAACAGCACCCTGCTGAGATCATAAAAATGAAAAATACCATCAAGATACATGAAAAAGGAAACACCAAAGGGAAGAGTGATAACAAGGCTCCACAGAGCGCAGTTTCCTTTGACAAGATGAAAAAGAAATGAAAAGAGGAAGGAGATAAATGGAACAGCCCTCTACCTAAAGTTTCTGTCCATGGAGAAACTGACATTTAAGTGCTGCTCAACAGGAAAAAGAAAAAAGACCTGGTTATTGAAGTTGGCTTTGTTGGAGATGCGTTACTCAGATACAGATACAAAGATGGGTTTGGCCAATGGGCATCCGTGTCAAGAAGCCTGACCTAACACGTTCTGAATATTAAGCTACCTTTTATCTGCCAGTCCTTGGTGTTCAGAAGAATCCCTCCTCCTCACCCTAACTTCTATGGGGCTATTTCCAAAGACACTGTCATTGAAGTGAGGAAGAGTGAGTTGGGCCTTATGACACAAAGAGACAAGACTATTTGAGGACAATAGACACAGGTTTTCATATACATTCCATGTTATTCTGAATTACTGATGGGTTCGCTGATGGAATTATTGAGTATAGCCAATAAGGAGAACCACAGTTAAGCTGGTGTCTCTGGGTTCTGGATATCATCCTCAAGAAAACTATTTACTAATTACATTGAATGAGGTTATTAAAATGTGTAAGTTTCACACAAAAACAAAAAGACAATTCATTCCAAATTGTGCATATGGATATATAATGTTAATTATGGGAATTCCATTTTAAGAATTACTACAATTCTATGTGTTCTGTATAAAAACAGGAAAATAGTTGTTCCAATATATAAAAGGAAAACATTTAAAAATGTATTTTCTTGGGAAAATCAGCTGCCAGAATTCATTAGTCAACTAACAAGCACTCCTCTGTGGCAAGAAGCCCTGCTTCTCTGTTGTAGCAGGCAGCTACCCACCTAAATGATGAGGTCAAGAAATATACAGCTGATAAAAAGATAAAAAATATGTAATAGTCCAGTGATTACATGTGTACTACGGATCAGCGCCAATTAGTTGTAAGCTTTTGGTATTTAGTTCGTTACAGCAAATGTTTTCTTTTTTAAATTTTCTTCTGCAAATGTTTTCTTGTCATGAAAAGTGTTTTCCGTTTAGCAGAATTACAAAAATAGTCAAGAAGAAATGTTCTGATTGATGTATACAGTTAGAATGTGTATTAAAGATTATTATAAAATGATAACTGAATTATATCCATTTCTAAAGTATGTTGGGACAAAATTTTTTAAAAATGTGATTCTGTTTTGAAAATTGTTTTACCACTGGATCAGTGTGGTTCTTAAACTTGGCTTTATCTTGGAGTCACCAGAGGAGATTCAAAAGATACCTTTACCTGGCTCCACCTCCAGAGATCGGGATTTTAAATGGTCTGTATCTGGATTTTAAGAGCCCTTCTGGTGATTCGACTGTTTAGCTAGGTTTGAGAGCCACTACCCTAGATGAGCTGTCCTGCTCCAGTAACATTCTTTTTCTAAAATCTTTTATAGTATATTAGAAATAAATCCATGGAAATTCCAAGTAAAATCAGAATTACTGTGGTTTTTCTCTGGAACTGAAATTCCTATGTGTGAATAATGCCCAAGAATTGCTTATTCCTTTCACCAGCCAAACAAAGCAAAACAAACAAACAAACAAAAACCATTTAAAAACCTAGTAAGATGTTGACTTACCAGATATTAAAGCATGCTAAAAGCTTCTATACTAGAATCAGTATGGTAATGGATAGGAACAGAGAAGTCAGTAGAACAGTCAAGATCTCAGAAAGATCCCAGTTTATGTGCAAAGTTGTTAGTAACAAGGAATGTGGCTCAATTCAGTGGAACAGGGATGAATTATTTCTGAAATTCTGCCGGAACAAACAAGTGTCCATAAGGCAGAAAATAAGCATGATCACTATCTTATACACACTAAGAATATGTAAATTAAAGAGGATGAGAAACAAACAACAATCTTAAAGAAAATCTATGAGGTTGTATGTAGGACCTAGGGTAGTATGAAACTTTCTTAACAAAGATTGGAAACTCAGAAGCTGTAAAATACAATATAGACATAATTGACTATATAAAAACATCAATGTTTTCATGCTAAAAATACTATATGCAAACATTGTATATAACTATTAGATCTGAAAACCATTTGAAAGGCTGTCAAATATAACTTTCCAACAGCTAAAAATATGACCAATACAAATATCAAATAAGCATGTGTCAAAGATTTAGTCAATTCGTTAATGAGGGAACCAGTAAAATAGTAAGCTGGTTCAATAGAGATTTTGAGGATTGTGTAGAGAAGACCAAATGTTGCTCAGGAGAAAGACTGAGTATGAAAATGTCCTGTTATTTGCTGTATCCTCAGGGCTAGCACAGGGCCTGGAAAATAGCTGGCATAGATTAAACTCCTGTTGAACTAAAATTATATTGAGACTCCTTTACTAATGCTGAGAAGTAGAGAAGTGGAGAATTTCTCACACACATACAGAAAGCCACATGGATATCTGCCCAATTATAATAATACTTATGTTGAAAGAGAAGATAAATGTCATAGATTTCAGCTTTAGCAGGCAGACTAATCCTGGATTGATAAAAAGCCTTGTACGTCTTCGTAAAATCTGGCTTTAATTAGATAGAAGCACCACCTGTAAGGCTGCTCAATGTGCTCTTTTGTTTTATTTATAGGGAAATGTGTCCTTCTCATGTCCACAGCCACAGACTGTCCCTGTGACTTTTCTGAGCTCCAGGAGTTATCTGGCTCTGCCAGGCAACTCTGGGGAGGACAAAGTGTCTGTCACTTTTCAATTTCGAACGTGGAACAGAGCAGGACATTTGCTTTTCGGCGAACTTCAACGTGGTTCAGGGAGTTTCGTCCTCTTTCTTAAGGATGGCAAGCTCAAACTGAGTCTCTTCCAGGCGGGACAGTCACCAAGGAATGTCACAGCAGGTAAGAGTTGTATTCCCATAAACCTGACATATCCACACGGAAATCATTTGGTAATTAGTGAGTGAGTGAGGCAGTGAGATGCTCCATGCCCCCACTAGAGGAACAGATTGCTGCTTCCTTTTAGACTGTTCTGTGTGGTACACCCCGCTGCCACTAAAGTGTTCTTTTGACCAAAATGACTATATATGAGAAATATGAAATGCATATTTCTGCAGATGTACCTTCCCATATACAAGGAATACCCTTGAGCTCCATTTCCTGACAAACATATACCAGCCTCCATCCCAAAGAACTAGGGTCAGGACCTCATGGAACAGACAATACCTAGAGGCACATTCCTCTCCTGTCCTCCTTCTCCTTTCCCTTCTCCGCCCTGCCGCTCAGGGTCTGTGCACAAATATTCTATACACAGTAGTCAATTGATAACTATCACTTTACAGGGAAAGATGCCCGGCAAATACCAAGAGTTCTTATTCTTTCGTTGATGGCTGATTCGTTTTCTGGGATAGCCGGGCACCCTGGAAGAATCTCAGCTCCTCCACTTACTGCCCTTCTGAAATGTAAATCACGAAGCCTCCTAAGCCTCAGCTGTTTTCACTTGTGAAGTGGTAAACCTCAGATCTCCTTTGCAGGGAGAACAATAGGAAGTCTGATTTTATTAGCACAATGTCCACCCCACACACAGGCCCTCACATCCCCACTCCCCATCAGGGCCTGTTTTTGTTGGGCAAATGCTAGGTTAGGGGCTCAAATCCCATGAAGCCAGACTGAGTTACAATAGATGGGAACTAATCTCACATGCAGTCAGATGTGGGCAAGTTTGTTAACTACAGAGCTGCTGGATTTTGATGATTGGATTTGCAGATGGGAGGAGCACTGGGTCCTAAATTGACATTGTGCCTAAATTGGCATCGGAACTAAATGGGGGCTTTAAAAAAAAAAAGCGTAATCTGAAAAAGAAAAAGGCACAGACGAAGAGGCTGACTTCTGCTTGAGACCAGGGGGATATCATACTCAAAAAAAGATTCCTTTTGGCTGTAAGAGGCACATGTGACTATACTGCTATTAAATGTTGTGGTACGAAAGCACGATTTCAAGACCCGTGAAGAAATTCGGAGGGCGGGGCCTTATCTCAGTACTTCTGGAACAATCAGGCAAGTCCTGGGTGTTAGAATCTGTGTCCACCTCACACAGGTGTTTCAGGGGAGATAAAACAGATATTCAGAGGAGACGTATATTTTTTATCTTTTAGAAATGCAAACCTAGTTTCCATTTCCTCACGAATAAGATTTTTTCCAAGAAAGGTTAAAATCGTGACCCACACACAGATACAGAATGAACACATGTCAGAGATTTTCTTTAACTCATTGATGAGAGAACCAGTGTTAGGGAAATAAGTACAGATAAAATTGCCTACCAACATAGTGAATCAGTTTCACAAGGTAGAAATGAAATAGTCTTATTATGGAATAAGTATTAAGCCAGACTGTGATGTACATTTCAGGCAATTGCTAATGTGATTGCAAAGATAAAGAAATTTCATCCATTTATATAGCCAGGCAGATACAACCCATTACATACATGTTCTAAAGATAAAGGACAACTTGTCCTCAAGTAAGAGGACTTGACAGCGCCTTTTGCTACACAGCCCATCTTACATTCACCTGGTGATTGGGGAGGCACACTCCTTTATGCAAAGGAAAACTAAACTCCATGTCTCTTTGACAAGTGGGTAGTTGCAACTTGGAGCCAGGCACCTACGTTAAACTCCCACGGAGACAAGGAGATAGGAGCACTGCCTTTCTTGGTGTTTACATTTCAAAGAAATGTCTCCAAGGTCCTCAAGAAAAACACTCCTGGAAACAAGAAAGAGGCTAAATAAGATTTTGTTTGTTTGTTTGTTTGTTTGAAGATTTTAAAGATGTACAATTACAAGTTTTCTGAAAGAAATGCTCTAAGGAAAAAAAGTGAATGAAAGTGTGTATCCCTTTTAGCACTAAGAAAGCTTTTGTTTGTTTTGGTTTGTGTTTACCCTTACACCAGTAAGGCCTGTTTAAAGAAGTACCACACATTTATAGTCAGAAAAGAGATGCCGACTAGCTAAACTTTTCAATATCCAAAGGGAAAGGCAAATCCCTTCTCTGTACACACTTTGCATCTCTATGGACAAGCATTATTTGCATTATTATCAATGTTCTGCAAGTTAACTTCTGTCACTACACAGCTGTAAAGTAACTAGTCCAAGATGATGGTTTACAATCCCGTAATATCAGCTGATCTTTCCATTGAAAAGATACCCAGTAATCTCCTTTGCCCATTTCAAAGACTGCCCTCAATTTTTTTCCTACAGTAGTTGGTTCAGTTTTACTGCTGATGAGTTGCATATATTCTGGATTCAATGAAGTGCTGAACAAGCACTTCATCCAGTTCTGGGTTGCACAATAACTAGAATTAAATATAATTAAAGTTCTTAAATCTCATCAGGATTTTGCTTTAGCTCATGGCTTTGTGAGTATGATATTTTGCCTCTGCAGTTAAAATGTTGTAGTTGTTAACAAGAGATCATCTTCATATCAAATGTGTTTAAAATAACATCTATGTTGTGGGCAATTAATTTAGTAACTTCTCATTGAAATATTTACAGATTCTACTGTATCTGATTTTCTTGTGCATAAACTATGGCCAAAGGCCAAATACAACCTAATAGAAAACAAAAAGAAAACAAATGTGGATGATAGACATGAAAACAGTTATACAAAGATCTGCTTTTATTTGTCAAAAGATATTCTTAAAGAGGGCACTTTTTGCAGTTATAAAAAGAACATGTCAAAGATTTTGTTTAACTCATTAGTTTATGAGGGAATCAGTAAGATGTTACTGCTGCAATGATTTTGTGTATAATGTAAAACTGGCTTATTCCATGGGATGGGGTAGAGGAACCAGGAAGAAGTTCAGTTGTATTTCTGCCAGACAAAATTCATTTGCATGTCTATGGACAATAATCATTTGCCTGCTTTCAATTTTCTACAATTCACAGGGTGGTAAAGAATTCAAAGAAGGGGCCAGGTGTGGTGGCTCACGCCTGTAATCCCAGCAATTTGGGAGGCCAAGGCATACAGATCACGAGGTCAGGAGATTGAGACCATCCTGGCTAACAACGGTGAAACCCCATCTCTACTAAAAATACAAAAAAATTAGCCAGGCGTGGTGGCGGGTGCCTGTAGTCCTAGCTACTCAGGAGGCTGAGGCAGGAGAATGGCTTGAACCCAGAAGGCGGAGCTTGCAGTGAACCGAGATGGCACCACTGCACTCCAGCCTGGGTGACAGAGCGAGACTCCATCTCAAAAAAAAAAAAAAAAAAAAAAAAAAAATTCAAAGAAGGTAAAAGGCACAGAAACCTGCAGAATCATATAATCCTCCAGATTGTGTTTAGACAATGCCTAGTTTTACATTGAAGACATCCAGAATCTTGGTTGATTTTAAAGAATAATTTATTTCCTTACACTTTATTACTACTTCTGTTTCTGTTTCATACATCACTGAAGGTTAAAAGGGAAAGCTAAAATATTAATGTTAATGTTTAATTTTTAAGAAGTACTACATTTGAAATGCTAATAATATACTAACTTCACATAAATGCATGTTAGGAAGAAAAATAAATGAAGCATAGAGTCATTTTAATAATTTACAGGTTTCCCAAGACTATCAAGTAAAATGTTAACTTTATAGGAAAATTTCTGTTAGTCTAAAGTTTATTATAATATATGTAACTTCTGAAATAGTTTCAATCTTGGCCTAATTTTAAACTTCAGTGCAAAGTTAATTTAATAGGCCTCATGAAGCTAATCTTATTTTTAGCCCATTTATTGGCATGTATCTTTGACATATTATCAGGTAAAAGAAAGCACGGAATACCTCTAGTGATTTTAAATACCTTAACATTTAAATTTACCATCAAAGACAATTCATTATGTTACCAAATTATTTGACAAGATTAATTTCATAATTACTACTAAGAATCATAATGTGGATGTGAGTGTAAATATATAAAAATATTGTACATATATAAAGTACAACTCCAGTTCTTTCCTAAGCATTTTTTATCAAATATTAAATAATCGCTTTTATTTTATTTTATTTTATCTTTTTGAGACAGCGTCTCACTCTGTCACCCAGACTGGAGTACAGTGGTGTGATCTCAGCATACTGCAACCTCCACCTCCCAGGTTCAAGTGATTCTTGTGCCTCAGCCTCCGAAGTGACTGGGACTATAGGCTAGTGCCACCATGCCCAGCTAATTTTTTGTTTTTTAGTAGAAATGTGGTTTCACCATGTTAGCCAGGCTGGTCTCGAACTCCCAACCTCAGGTGATCTGCCCGCCTCAGCCTCCCAAACTGCTGGGATTACAGGCATGAGCCACCATGCCCAGCGAATAATAACTTTTAAAAGACAGTATAATTATATCTATAATAATAATTTAATTCAGAAACACACGAATATATGTTAAAGATTTTAACTAATCAATGAAGAAACCAGTAAGATGTTACAATCAGTTCAGAGGATAATTCAAAGTACTACACATACAGGCAGATAAGAAATGCCAAAATGAATTACAGACAGATATGAAATGGTTCAGTAAGCAACTGCACCTCGCTAGGCACAAGTCATTTGTATTTCTATGGGTACAAGTCATTTTGCATTACTATCAGTTTTCTACAGTTTACAGGGCTGTAAAATAGCTCAGACAGTGAAAGCAGGGTTTACCTTAATTAATGGGTGCAGTAAGCCAGACATCCAGTGATCTTCCATTTCAAATCCTGTCACACCCCATAAGTATGTGCAATTTTGTGTCAACTTTTTCTAAAAAAACCTTTTCACAATCATTCTTGACATATTTTTTATCAACTCACTTTCTTGATTCTTGTAAAATGTTTTTGTTAGATTCAGTAAAGCAAGTAAGTTTTGCATTTGAAGATTAAACCAAACTGTGTTGTTTTTATCCCATTGTAAAGGCTTCTACTGTATATATTTGATAATTAAATTCTAGTTACTTTAAGCAAATTACCAGAATTTGTTACAGTGATTCTTCAGAAAGAGTAATATTTTTATTCATGTGTTATTTTCATAATAAATGAAATTTTTAAATTAAAGATAGGTGGTTAATGTTTTTTTCAGTGATACATGAACATGTAAATACCACTCTTCTCTGACTTATTCAGTGATCTGAATCAAATTGTTTTCAAGTGTTTACAGAGCTCATAATTTAGAGTTGTCTCTGACTGATTGTATTTCCTCCAGGTGCTGGATTAAACGATGGGCAGTGGCACTCTGTATCCTTCTCTGCCAAGTGGAGCCATATGAATGTGGTGGTGGATGATGACACAGCTGTTCAGCCCCTGGTGGCTGTGCTCATTGATTCAGGTGACACCTATTATTTTGGAGGTAAGAGAAGGCAACTGAATGACACTGGCAGTGGAACCACTTTTTATCTTTATTGCTTTGCATTTTGAGTCTCTAGTCAAATTTAAACCAAGTTGATACTAAGAAATAATTTATCTCTAGCCATGAAATTAATACCTTTTGAGTTTGTAAAAAACATGAAACATTTAATCAATTTTTCTTCCCAATACAAAAATAAGTATCTGCAGAAAGTTTACTTGCTGTTTAAATAACTTCATATTTTCATTTAACATTAAAAGAAAAATATATTTGAGCTACATGTAGTAAATAAGTGGAAACTTTCAAACAATATCATAGTCATATCTCTACAACAGATAAATCCATTTATACTTCTAACAGTTAGCTCATAAAAACAAAACAAATCGTACTGTCTGAAGTCATTGGCTTACATAAAATATTACTTATATATTTAAGTCCACATCTAAATCTATACTATTGAATCATTATTAGTACACAGCTCAGTTTATAGATAGATGGATAAATATTTTTTACATGGAGAAGGCATAATAGGAAATATCATACTGATTATGAAGTACTTTCAAAACATTGACAATGTAAACAAATATTAATTAATAGGAGACAAGCATATTAAATGAATCCAGTATAATTGGTGTTACACTGGTGCAAAGTATTGAATGTTTGCTTCCCCACCCCAGATTCATATGTTGAAATCCTGACCCCAAAGTCATGGTGTCAGGAGGCTTTGGAGGGTAATTAAGTCAGGAGGGTGGAGCCCTAATGAATGGAATTAGTGCCCTTATAAAAGAGGCCCAAGAGAACTCCCTTGCCTTTCCTGCCATGTGAAGTTATAAGGCGAAGACTGTGGTCTGTGAAGCAGACACTGCATCTGCTTTGCCTCAAACTCAGACTTAGACTTTCCAGCATCCAGACTGAGAGAAATAACTGTTTGTTGTATAAGCCACTCTGTTCATGGGGTTCTGTTAATAGCAGCCCAAACTGACTATGAGAACTCATACAGCTAAAGAAATGGAAACAAGTGGATCTTTTGATTATAAAGGAAGTTTGGATTTTTTTAAATTAAAAGAACCACTAGGAATAACAGCAAAACCCTGCTATGTATTCTAGAATGCTCCTGTGAATCCAAAGATTATGCTTTTATATCTGGAAACCACAGTTAAGAGAAACAATCATGTGAGAAAACTTATCACATGGGGGCATGGATGCCTGTACATTACAGCATTCTGTTATCATCCCATATCACCACATATATGATAAGAAAACTCACTCTCAAGTAAGAAAGTTTTCAACTAGGTACGAAATTCCATGCTGGACACAGATACAGAGAGCCACTTGCACTGTACCTAAACACTGAAGTGTTACTGAGGTAACTTAATTACTTGTAATTCTTACTGGAAAGGTAAATATATTCAGCCTTTCTTAGTAATAAAAATTATATGTAAACAGAAATATAGATCTAGTAATAGAAGACTTGTTATATACATGCAGTCCTATACATTGCATTTTACCTCATCAGTATTTGTGGTATTTCGCAAAGAATATATACTTTTCCAAATATACAGCCACAGACATTCAAAGACTTCACTGAGCTGTCCTCTGGCACACAGGTGTATTTAAATTGTTAAAGAAAATTAAAATGGCCTGAGGTATCTCTGACCAGACAAAGCCTTGTAAGTGGCCTTAACTTTGCTTGATTTACCAATATAAGCAAAACTTAACTTGAGCTATTTCTTGTAAATGGCTTTAAAAATAAAAAAAGTCAAACTTAAGGCTAACCAATCAGAAGCCAATTAACTTATATAACTAGAGACTTTCCAGCAGGATCAACCAAATAAGGCAATTGTATAACTACAACCAGTGAAAAATTTGCTACTATATTTACCTTACAGAAGCTGTCCCTTTTTGTTCCCTTGAAAGGGTCCCTGAACCAGTTCCCATTTGAAGCTGCTTCAACAGTGATTCATGAATCACTGTTAGCTCAAATAAACTTTTGTGCCTCCATTTACCTTTTATTAATGGATACATTTATATCTGTAGTTGGATGCTTTTTTCCTCTAAGCAGACACAAAGTAAACCTGAAGAGCTTAAGATTTTTATTTATTTATTTATTTTTATTTTTTGAGGCGGAGTCTCGCTGTGTCCCCCAGGCTGGAGTGCAGTGGCGCGATCTCGGCTCACTGCAAGCTCTGCACCGCCAGGTTCACGCCATTCTCCTGCCTCAGCCTCCTGAGTAGCTGGGACTACAGGCACCCACCATCACATCTGGCTAATTTTTTGTATTTTTGGTAGAGACGGGGTTTTCACCATGTTAGCCAGGATGGTCTCGATCTCCTGACCTTGTGATTCGACCGCCTCGGCCTCCCAAAGTTCTGGGATTACAGGCGTGAGCCACTGTGCCAGGCCAAGATTTTTAAAATTAGTTAATGCCTTGGTGTATCTTGAGTGGATGATAACATAGGAGTCCTCAGAAAAATGCAGCCATGCCCGCCAGCCTTTTCAGAAGAGCGAAGTTGGCTTAAGGAATCATCATCGGTCCAAGATTGTTAGTGATCTGAGAAATTTCATGTGCTGAGGATGATGCCAAATTAAGGGTTTCCAAGTATGAGTACCAGGATACCTCCTATACCTGCTCTCAGCCATATGTGGTATCGACAATTGCCTCTAACAAAATTTTTCCAAACCAAGTAGAAGAAAACAGTAAACGGAACAGAGATTTTTTTTTTATTAGGATGGGACTGAAATCTGTCCCTCCTTCAGGATGAGGGCTGTAATCTGTGTGACAGAAACAGATGACAGAGTTTGATCCACACTACTTTGTTTTCAGAATTGCTAGCCCAGATTGAATAGGTCCAGAAAGAAACTAATGAAATAAGCAATAGAAAATCTCTAACATTATAGTCTTTGACAATGTATATTCATATATAATTCCCATTTCCTACAGAAAATACGTGATGCTTCTCTTTTTTTTTTAAACTTATTTTAGGTTCAGAGGTATACATGTGCAGGTTTGTTATATAGGTAAATTGCATGTAATGGGGGCTTGGGGTACAGATTATTCCATCACCCAGGTAATGAGCATAGTACCTAGTAGGTAGTTTTTCGATCTTCACCCTCCTCCCACCCTCCACCCTCAAGTAGGCTGTGGTGTCTATTGTTCCCTTCTTTGTGTCCATGGGTACTCAATACTAAGCTCCCACTCATAAGTCAGAATACATGGTATTTGGTTTTCTGTTCCTGTGTTAGTTCACTTTGGATAATGGCCTCCAGCTCCATCCATGTTGCTACAAAGGACATTATCTCATTTTTTTTATGGCTACATAGTATTCCATGGTATATATGTACATTTTCTTTACGCTACCGTTGATGGGTATTTAGGTTGATTCTATGTCATTGCTATTGTGAATGAACATGCACGTCTGTGTGTCTTTATGGTAGAAAGATTATTATTCCTTTGGGTGTGTACTCAATGGGGTTGCTGGGTCGAGTGGCAGCTCTGCTTTAAGTTCTTTGAGAAATCACGAAACTGCTTGCTGCAATGGCTGAACTAATGTATAATTCCCCCAGCAGTGTATAAGCACTCCCTTTTCTCCACAGCTTTACCAGCACCTGTTATTTTTCGCCTTTTAAATAATAGCAATTCTGACTGGTGTGAGATGGTATCTCATTGTGGTTTTGATATGCATTTATCTCATGACTAGTGATGCTGAGGAGTTTTTCTTATGCTTGTTGGCCACATGTATGTCTTCTTTTGAAAAGTGTCTGTTCACGTCCTTTGCCCGTTTTTTAATGGGGTAGGTTTTTTTTTCTTTCTTGTTAAGTTCCTTATAGATTCCAGACATTAGACCTTTGTCAGATGCATAATTTGTGAATATTTTCTTCCAGTAGGTTGTCTGTTTACTCTGTGGATAGTTTCTTTTGCTGTGCAGAAACCCTTTAGTTTAATTAGGTCCCATTTGTCAACTTTTGTTTTTGTTGCAATTGCTTTCGGTGTCTTTGTCATGAAATTTTTGCCATGTCCTGTGTCCAAAATGGCATTTCCTATATTTCCTAGGTTATCTTCCAGGATTTTTGTAGTTATAGGCTTTACTTTTTTTTTTTTTTTTTTTTGAGACTTTAGAGTCAGTCTCACCTGTTGCCCAGGCTGGAGTGCAATGACACGATACAGCCTCAACCTCCCAGGCTTAAGAGGTTCCCCCGCCTCAGCCTCCTGATTAGCCTGGACTACAGGCACGTGCCACCACATTCAGCTAATTTATTATTATTATTATTATTATTATTGTTTGTAGAGACGAGGTCTCGTTATTTGCCCAGGCTTGTCTCAAACTCCGAGGTTCAAGCTATCCTCCCACCTCACCCTCCCAAAGTGTTGGGATTATAGGCGTGAGCCACTGCACCTGACAGGTTTTACATTTTATTCTTTAATCCATCTTGAGTTGATTTTTGTATATGGTGTAAGGAAGGGGTCTAGGAACTGCTTATGGTTAGCCAGTTATCCCAGCACCATTTATTGAATAGGGAGTCCTTTCCCTACTGCATGTTTTTGTCGACTTTGTTGAAGATCAAATGGTTGTAAGTGTGTGGCATTATTTCTGGGCGCTCTATTCTGTTCCATTGGTCTGTGTATCTGTTTTTGTACCAGTACTATGCTATTTTGGTTACTATAGCCTTGTAGTAGAGGTTGAAGTTGGCTAACGAAATGCCTCCAGATTTGTTCTTTTTGCCTTGGATTCCCTTGGCTATTCAGGCTCTTTTTTGGTTCTATATTAATTTTAAAATAGTTTTTACTGGTTCTTTGAAGAATGCCATTGGTGATTTGATAGGAATAGCATTGAATCTATAAATTGCTTTGGGCAGTATGGCCCAATATGGTTAAAAACCATATTTATTATTCCTATCCATGATTATGGAATGTTTTTCCATTTGTATGTCATCTGTGATTTCTTTGAGCAGTGTTTTGTAATTCTTCTTGTAGAGATCATTCATCTCCCTGGTTAGCTGTATTTCTAGGTAGTTTATTCTTTTTGTGGTCATTGCGAATAGGATTGCATTCTTGATTTGGCTCTCAGCTTGCATGTTGTTGGTATATAGGAATGCTACTAATTTTTGTACATTAATTTTGTATCCTGAAACTTTGCTGAGATTATCAGATCGAGAAGCTTTTGGGCAGAGACGATGGGGTTTTGTAGGTACAGAATCATATCATCTGCAAACAGAGACAGTTTGACCTCTTTTTCTCCTGTTTAGATGCCTTTTGTTTCTCTCTCTTGCCTGATTGCTCTGGCGAGGACATCCAGTACTATGTTGGGTAGGAATAATGAGAGACGGTATCCCTGTCTTGTCCCAGTTTTCAAGGGGAATGCTTCACATCTTTTGCCCATTCAGTATGATGCTGGCTGTGGGTTTGTCATAGGTGGCTCTTACTATGTTGAAGTATGTTCCTCCAATGCCTCATTTGTTGAGGGTTTTTAACATGAAGGGATGTTGAGAAAATACCTGATGCTTCTCTAGAGACAAATATATGAAAGCAAACAACATTTCATGAAGGAATGAGGAATATTTTGTGGCAGCAAGAATGAGAATGACTCTCCAAGATGCCCTGGAAACTGAATATGTTACATCACATAAGGGATTTTGCAGATGTAATTAAGGTTGCAGACCTTAGGAGATGATCGTGATTCATGCAGTGGGCTCCATGTAATCACATGAGCACTTAAGAGATTTAACTCTGGTTGGAGGCAGAAGAGACACAGAAGAGAGGTGTGGGTGAGGGGAAGCCAGAGAAACTAGAAGCAGGAGAATGTCTCTCTGCACCATTGCTGGTTTAGAAAATAAACTGGGCACTATGAAGAGCAACGCAGGCAGCCTGACATTGCTGAGAGGCCCCAACTACCAGCCAGTGATGAATTGGGACCTCACTCCTACAACTACAAGAAGTTGAATTCTGCTCTAACCTGTATGTGCTTGGACACACATTCTGCCCTAGGGCCTTCATAAGGAGCCCAAGAGCACCTTGATTTTGTCCTTGTAAGACTATAAGCAGAGTCATCAGTCCAGCCCTCCCACACTTCTAAAGTGAGAGATAATAAAGAGAATGTTTTAGTAATTTGTTACAGTGATGATTAAAAGCTGATACACATTCCAACCTCCATCAGATCCATTTACAGACATTCCCATTCAGTTCTAAACCCTTGGACAATGGCCAAAAAAAAAAAAAAAAAAAAAAAAAGGTTTCCTCAAACACACCCTGAGAATATACTGAAAAAGATTACATATATATATATATATCTTAGGTGGTGGCCCACGCCTGTAATCCCAGCAATCTGGGAGGCTGAGGCCGGCGGATCACCTGAGATCAGGAGTTGAAGACGAGCCTGGTTAAAATGGTGAAACCCTGTATCTACAAAAATACACACACAAAAAAAATTTAGCCGGGCATGATGGCAGGTGCCTGTAATCCCAGCTACTTGGGAGGCTGAGGCAGGATAATCACTTGAAAAAAAAAATATATATATATATAAAATATTTTTTAAATATATATATGACCAAAGAGAATAGTTTCAACAGAAAGTCAAAATAGCCAACACAGTTTCTGTGTTTTGTTTTGTTTGGATTGTGTATGGCCTTCGAGTGAAGTAACATACATGATAATGAACCATATAGGGACACAGTGACAGAAATGGGAAGGCTGATCCATGATCATATATGCATACATAGATACACTATGGATTCCAAAGTCCCCTTTGACCTGAAAGTGTGAGAAGAGCCCATAACCCATTTGAAACAGATACGCAGCAACCACAACCCAAATTGTATATGCATAAGTAAAGTTGTCCTTATTTCAGAGATGATATTATGGATTGAATTGTTTTCCCTCAAATTCATATGAACTCCAGAATGTGACCTTGTTTGGAGATAAGATCTTTGCAGAGGTAATCAAGTTAAAATGAGGTCATTAAGGTGAGCTCCAATCCAATATGACCAGTGTCCTTATGAAAAATGGAAATGGAGGTGCAGAGACACACAGAGAGGGAAGACGCTGGGACAACATGCAGGAACAACGCCTCAGGAAGACAGAGGCCTAGACTGTTACACCTGCAAGGCCAGGGCTGTTTACTGGGTTCCTCCCTGACCCCACATCCCACCTGGGGATGAACCCGACCCAGACCTTACCACCCACTGCTGCTACACTGCCATAAATCCCTTTTTCAAAAAAATTAAAATATTTATTTGACAAATAAAAATTCTATATATTTAAGGTATACTATGTGACGATTTGATATAGGTATACACTGTGTTCTGATTACCACAGTCAAGTTGATTAACACATCCATCACATCACACATAGTTACCATGTTGATGGCAGAGGGGAGTGAAGTCATTGAAAATCTGCTCTCTTACCAAATTCCAGGTAAATAACACAGTATCATTATGTATCACCATGCTGGATCATCATGCTGGATCCCTTTTGTTTCATGGGGTTGTATCACCATGAAACAGTATCACCATGCTGGATCCCTTTTGTTTCATGGGGTTGTTGAAAAAAGACTACAAATTAAGGACTGAAATGCATGTCTTCCAGATAGGCCTAAATAAAAGATCACACTCAGGAACCGATTTTAAATAGACCACCCTTTATGAAGCTTCCCTTCATCATTGTGCCCAACGGAATTGTAACAGTGTGAAATGAGTGCCACTACCTTTTCCACTGCTTTATGTGCTGGTTTTATTGCACCATACAGGTATCCCTAGAGCCTCGGCTCCTCTGGAGCATCTTATTGATTTCCCACTGCCGCATGAAGAAAGGCCATGCTTTGCCCAAAGTGACTAATAGTTTTACTCAGTCGGTTATTTCAACTTATTTTTATTGCCCAGTAATGATGCAGTGAAACATTTTACCAAGTCAGGGAGCACATCAGCCTTTCCTAGACAATAATAAACAGAATATTTGCCAGCTCAGTCAATGATTGAGTACAGCCAAGAGACACTGCAGCCTAAGAGAGGGCAGTCAGAGTGGGGAGGTCACAGAAGGGTGCAATAAATCTTCTGCCCAGGGATGTTTACTCAGAAAGTCCTTGGTCATTAGAAATGTCATTTAACTCTGTAAATAATAAGATACATTTGCTAATCAATGCTTGAGGTGCTTCTTGAGAGTATTAGTATAGTTTTGCATTTTACTGTTTTTTTTTTCCAGAATCCTTTTAAAATTATGTTGGAGACAGCACAATATGAAAGTAAAATTCGGCCAGGCACAGTGGCTCACGCCTGTAATCCCAGCACTTTGGGAGGCCTAGGCAGGTGGATCACAAGGTCAGGAGATCGAGACCATCCTGGCTAACACGGTGAAACCCCGTCTCTACTAAAAATACAAAAAAAAAAAAAAAAAATTAGCTGGGCATGGTGGTGGGCGCCTGTAGTCCCAGCTTCCCAGGAGGCTGAGGCAGGAGAATGGCATGAACCTGGGAGGCAGAGCTTATACAGTGAGCTGAGACTGCGCCACTGCACTCCAGCCTGGGTGACAGAGTGAGACGCCGTCTCAAAAAAAAAAAAAAAGGTAAAATTCATCCCTAAAATTGGCTGTCAGCATGGAAATTATAAAACTCATTTTCTAAACTCTAACAGTCCTTCAGAGCAAACTTTCCAAGAGCAACTGTGAAAACAGACAATGTCAATCTGCAAAGTTTCTGATTGTTTTCTTTCCTCATATTCCGAGGTGTGCATATGTGCCTCAAATTGTATTAAAACATTTGCTATAGATGACACATTTTATAACAAAAAACAAATAAGCCAATATATCCAAGACCTATCATTTCAAAGGTAAAATATTTAGGAAGCACTAAAAGGGATAAGAATGAAAGTACTATTCATTTTTTTAAGTGATACTAAATAAAGTTGATTACAGAAAATGATTTGTCAAAGTATAAATATAGTATCACCTTTAGGGTTTAAATTCTACAGGTGAGATTATTCAAGAGCCCATTTCCATAAATATATACATGCTAATGTGAGAAATGCTTTTGAGTTATTTTTATGCATATCATAATTTTATTCATTTTTACTGTGAAATAGAT
The DNA here is from genome assembly GCF_000001405.40 of Homo sapiens. Classification (NCBI taxonomy): domain Eukaryota; kingdom Metazoa; phylum Chordata; class Mammalia; order Primates; family Hominidae; genus Homo; species Homo sapiens. The sequence continues at coordinate 41,977,102 of NC_000009.12, read as the reverse complement.
CATATATGTACAGTTAAAAATATTGCTAATTTTTCAAAAGAATGTATATATTGTTACATGAATATACCACATTTTATCAGTTCTACTGTCCCATTTTGCTATTGTTAGGCAATTTTCATTTTTGCTTTTAGATTTGCTTTATAAAATTTAGGGGGGTGGTGTTTCGTTGTTTTGCCTTTTTTTTAGACAGGGAGTCACTCTGTTGCCCAGGCTGGAGTGCAATGGAGCAATCACAGCTCACTGCAGCCTCTGCCTCTCCAAGCTCAAGCACTTCTTCCACCTCAGCCTCTGGAGTAGCTGGGACTGCAGGCCTGCACCACCACACCCAGCTAATTTTTGTTGTTGTTGTTTTTCTTCGTATTTTGTAGAGACAGAGTTTTGCCACGTTGTTCAGGTTGGTCTGCGGTGATCCATCCACCTCAGCCTCCCAAAGTGCCAGGATTACAGGCATGAGCCACCATGCCCAGCCTAAAATTTAGTTTTTAAAATATTCTTAACATACCTAGTTTTTCCAGTGAATTTTGCATTCCTTGTGTGTGCTTTTGTAACTTTATTTACCCATCTGTATAGTAAACTTCGGGAAACACCAGCTCTAACCACCATGTTTAACAGCATAAGCTGGTTGTTAAATTTTACTGATGTATATAAACCCAAAATAGATCATTTCTTCACATAGAAACAGCCTTTGGTTCCGCTAGTATTCATTACTCATTTTAGTAATTTAAAGACCACATGACCCAAATTCTTCTTGAATGCTGTGCAGTGCACTGAAAGAGACTAATAAGCCCTTTTCTGTTTTCTAAGCAAATTTACTTCTTGGGATATTTCTGTTCATACGGTTTCCTATGACACATAGCATCACTAAGAGTCAAATAAGTGAAACTGAAAACATTAAAATTAATCCTGTAATCCAGTTTTAATAATGAGTTCATTTCATTATGTTTCTTTTTCCTTTCCATTTGTTTTATACTGGCCTGGAGAAAACAGGCTTGATGGATAAAATCCACAGTATTTTCTTCCTAACTAGCTTATATATTTAGAATGGCCTGAATATGTACAGCTGCAGACACTAACTTCATTCCTACAGTATAATATCTACCAATGATTGAAACTAGTCAGCTGCACGTTTTATTTATTTATTAAAAAGGATTTGGATTTTTATACAATATTTAAAAACCACAAAATGAAAAGGGATCAATCAACGTATATCTTGGAGGTCCTTCCAAGAGTCTCAGTATCTAACAGCCATGGAGGCTGTGACCTTTTTCCTTCTTTTCTCAGCCTGCTTGTCATTTAAGGGTCACCAGAGATGACTCATGCTCTAGTTCTTAAAATCAAACTTGTTCCACCAAATCCAAGATGCTGAATTTGTACAAATGTAAAAACATCCTCTTGCCACCTGTCCACCAAAATACCTTCTATTCAAGTGAACAACAGCTTTAATTGCTGACTCAACTCTCAAATTCTAAAAAGGTCTGTGCTTCATCATCAGGGACACCAAGAATTTCACATATCACACATTTTCTAACTTTGCCATATTTTTCATGGCAAAATTGGGAAATACCATGGACTTTATCCATCAAGCCTGTTTTCTCTGAGCCAATATAAATTGACAATGGAAAAGAAAAAGAAACATAACAGAATGAACTCATTATGAAAACTAGATTAACTATACTCTTTTCAGTTTCACTTATTTTATCCTTAATGATGCTATGTCTCATAGGAAACCATATCAACTGAAAAATATGTCATCACACATTCTTCTCTGGTTTCAACTTCCAAGTCTTCTTCCACCTCCCCTTCACCAACCATGTTCCTTAGTAGGACCACCTTAGTAGGACTCAAGTATTTCAGTCAGTGGATTTGTACCTGACCTTTCAATGCATCTTTCTCTGCGGCGTCGCCCACGATGATCTTGCCGCCTGATTTGCTAGTCTTCCCCACCGGAAAGGCGTCTCGAAGCCCCTGCAGGTGCTCCCCGAGGCCCCAGCCTTCCCGGAAGCCGCGCTTCTGCATGATGTTGTGCACCACCGTTCCCACCACGTTAGTGAGGAAGGAGCTGCTAGGACGGTTTGGAGATCTCAGTCTGTCCTGTTCCTCCTTCACTGGGGGAGGAATGGCTGCTTTGGAAGACCGTGACTGAGGTCTTGAATCCTCTTCATAAGGAAAATCTCGGGGTGACTCTTGGTCTTTCTCTACCAGAGAAGTGGGAGGGGCAATGGCAGCTCCACCCTACTACTTTTCCTCCTCTCTCCCTCCTAATCTTCCCCTTCATCAGAATCTGGATTTGGTCGCCTTGATCAGAACTCCCCTAATTTCTTGCCTGTCTTCAGGCCTCTTTTCCCTTTCTTCTATTTCCTTTCATATTTCTAGCTCCTGCTGTGTCTGTCGTTCCTCTCTTTGGCACTTCACTACTTTCTCATAATCATAAGGGAACATAGGATCATATTCGTCAGCTAAGGGAATCAGAACGTCCCCTGCAAAAACCCACTGGGAGCAGGATCCTTCAGCCCACCTGCTGCATGCCGTGGTGTGTCCCCAATTTGCAGGTCATCTGAGGAGCCGCCTGGCCTTAGGTCAATGACTGGCAAGAGCTGCACTGTTTCTAACTTTGGCTCTTTCCCTGAGTGAGAGCTGCCTTCCTCACCTGAAGCTGAGACTGCAGAAGTTTGACGTTTTGGAACCAGCCTTCTGCTTTTGAGTCACTGGTCTCCACTCTCAGGCCATCGTATGGGGGCATCTTTTTTTTTTTTTCAATTTAATGTTGCCCTGCTGACTCTACCCATGGGTAGCCAGGTTAATATGAAAAAATGAAGAAGAAGAAAAACCCACCAATTTCCTGATGCCAGATAAATGGAAAATGTTATTTGCACCAAAGAAACCTTGAGAGACTTGGAACAAATCACTGGTGGATGTGGGTTTCTGGATCTCACTAGATTTATTTTAATAGAAAGTTTAGGCCAGACGCGGTGGCTCTCACCTGTAATCCCAGCACTTTGAGAGGCTGAGGTGGGTGGATCATCTGAGGTTAGTAATTCAAGACCAGCCTGGCCAACATGGTGCAACCTTGTCTCTACTAAAAATACAAAGATTAGCTGGGCATGGTGGCGGGAGCCTGTAGTCCCAGCTACTGGGTAGGCTGAGGCAGGAGAATTCCTTGAACCTGGAAGGCAAAGGTTGCAGTGAACCGAGATGGTGCCACTGCACTCCAGCCTGGCAACAGAGCGAGACTCTGTCAAGAAAGAGAGAGAGAGAGAAAGAAAGAGAAAGTCTAATTTGCAGATGCAGACCTATCTTCTATACTGTCATTTGTCCATTCTTTTTTTTCTGGTCTGTGATTTCATCTTTTTGAAGTGTTTTTCAAGCAGCACTCTGTACGGTTGCAGGTTGTGCATATAGCCTGCAGTTTTTTGCATTCATGCCTGAAATAGAGATTGACTGAAGGTCAAATTCTTTTAAACTTACCTTTATGGAATCTTTCTGCTATTCAATGCCATGCCTCCTTCCATGATATTGAGAATACAAAATTGACTGTTGTGTCGCCAGTCCTCACATCCTTCTTGTAGGAATCTGCTAGACCAAGAACTTGTGGCAACACTGCATTGAAGTCTGTCACTGCAATAACACACAGTGACAATTTTCTTGCCAACCTCATATGCTTACACAAGTGAAAATAACCGGGCTAAAATTTTCATGGGTCTTAATATCTTTATTTGTTTGATTTCATATCCATGCAGTACTTTATGATTAGAATTTGTCCTGAAAGTTTCATAACTTTTTGCGGGACACCTGGATTTATTTTAGTTTTTTTTTTTCTAACAGAGTTATCGAATTCATTTTCTTTTAAGAATAACCTGGCTGGGCGCTGTGGCTTATGCCTGTAATCCCAGCATTTTGGGAGGCTGAGGCAGGTGGATCACGAGGTCAGGAGATCAAAACCATCCTGGCTAATATGGTGAAACCCCGTCTCTACTGAAAAAAAATACAAAAAAAAAAAATTAGCAGGGCATGGTGGTGCGTGTCTGTAGTCCCAGCCACTCGGGAGGCTGAGGCAGGAGAATGCTGTGAACCTGGGTGGTGGAGCTTGCAGTGAGCAGAGATCACACCACTGCACTGCAGCCTGGGTGACAGCATGAGACTCAGGTCTCAAAAAAAAAAAAAAAAAAGATAACCTAAGTTATGTGTCAGGAAACACCACATGGTGAAAGAAAGATTAGCAGAACTGTTGATATTCCTATAATTCATTACTGGAAAATATTTATTGAATTAATAATCCTCTTAATTCTTAATGTGTTTATTTCTTAATGATTAGTGAGATGCAGTAGAATTATACAAAGTTCACTCTCTATCCCATTCTTCAGAAGGTTCTGCTGTACCATTTAAACTTTTATTTCTTTTGTAAATATAAAAATATAAAAGATTTTAGTCTTCAAACTTTTAAACAAATATGGTGTTAAATGTTAAACTTCCAAGTGTCTGTGAGGTTATGTATAGTTTCGATAAGCTAAAAAGAAGCCTTAATATGAGGGAGGCTTTTACTTTAGGGATCTAAAGCAGAAAGTATTAAAGTTAAAGAGATAAAGCTTCAGTTATTAAAATGGAAATCTAAACACAACATTTAATTTTTATGGAACTTTTAGGGAGGAAATAAGAGTACAGGCATTGAGAGGTGCTTCATTTATTCCAGTAAGAGGAATCTTCATTGACTATTTTTTGAAATTGTGCTAGTGATTAACAATATAAGGTCAAAGAGAGGTCAATGAAAAACACATAAGTACAAATTCTATACTTCATTTTTTTCATTTTAATGAACACTGTAAAGAAAACTCAATCCTCTAGTGATAAATATTGATGTATATTTACTATAATCTTTGGAGAAAAGGGTATTTGCATGGACTGAAAGTGTCATGCCAAATATTAGGTTTAATACCTAATATTTGAATGATTGGGAAAAGAAAATAAGAAATTATATCTCACAAGTTTGAAAGAGACAATACTTACAGAATCAATATAAGCAGGCTTCTTTTTTAAAATAAGGCAAAGGATAAAATTTTTAAAAGCTATATAATTTCATAATATACAATTAAATTAATTACTAATTCAATTTCTCTTGTCATTGGCATTACACCATTATGAAATGAGGTTCCTCTTTCATATTTGTATGTTAAAATTAAGTATTCATTTAGATCAGAGGTAGGCAAATCACGGTCCATGGCATATTATATAAGCCCAAATGAATAATTGCTTTGTATTTTTATTTTTATTTTTATTTTATTTGAGATGAAGTCTCGCTCTGTTGCCCAGGCTGGAGTGCAGTGGCACCATCTCGGCTCACTGCAAGCTCCGCCTGCTGGGTTCACGCCATTCTCCTGCCTCAGCTTCCCGAGTAACTGGGACTACAGGCACCCGCCACCACGCCCAGCTAATTTTTTTTTGTATTTTTAGTAGAGACGGGGTTTCACCGAATTAGCCAGGATGGTCTCGATCTCCTGACCTCATGATCCGCCCGCCTTGGCCTCCCAAAGTGCTGGGTTTACAGGCGTGAGCCACCGCGCCCAGCCCTGCTTTGTATTTTTAAAGGGTTATAACAAGAAGGACATGCAACAGAGACCAGGTGTGACCCACAAAACCAAAAGTGTTTACTATCTGCGTTTTACAGAAAACCTTTGCAGACTCCTGACGTAGACAAATGCCTTATGATTTTATTCTGAATTAATATGACTCTTTCTACAAACAGTTGTCTTTAAATAATAAGATTTTACAATTATTGTGTTTTCTTTAACTAGAGTGTGTACTTTCATCCTTTTCCTTACTTTTCAAACTTAGAGTTCCATTATTAGGTTATATATTGTAACTCAAGAGGGTGGGAGTAAGTTCAAGACACTACTTTCCTATATGCTTGGACTGGTGTGGAGTAATACTGCTTACGTCAAAGTCAGGCACTCACCACTGCTTCTTATAAGTACTCTTCTTGTTTCACAAAACAAGCCCACATAGTAAAGGGAAGTGATGTCATAAGCATTGCCATTTGTAATTTAGGTGAAATTAGCTGACGATTGTAGTGAAATTTTTAATATTTAACTTCTAATATTGGAAATAATCAAATGTCTATTTTATCTCTTTCTATTCATAGAACATTCTGGACTGCAAATTTTTATCCTTATGTACCCTAACAGTGTGTTATGTCCTGTTACTTTTTGTGTTGTTGTTAACATTAGAATTTAATCTTTAGTTATATATTTGACTAAAGTACCTAATACCAAAGAAAGTGTTACTAGAAAAGCAAATCTAGGTATTTCCACCCAGTCAGTATAAAAAAATACGTTTTTAAATACTCCCAAATATACATACATCGCAACGCACAAAAACAGCTATAGGGTAGATATTTAACATATTTTAGATAAATGGTAGTATACAATTATATTTTCAGGTAGCATTTTTCACACTTCACAGCATATCCTAAATAAAATTTGGGCTATGATTTCATTTATTTTAATTTAACCTCCACTTTAATTTTTTTCACTTATACTACATAATGCTAAAATGCATGCTTATTTCTTAGATGAGATTTCACAAAAGAAGCCAAACCTCTTTTCACTTGGTTGGGAAATAATTCCTGTTATAGGAATTTTAGATCTGAATTTTCCCCCGCAATTTCTTATTCTGAATTCCAGGTATTATCTTAAATTTGATCAGTTCTAACCTTGCCCCTTCTCACCTCTCTAATGAATGGTGAAGCTCATCGCATCATACCGATGTCCATAAACAAGCGGGAGCAGCAGTCTTCATATAGTAAATACTGTGGAATAGTTTTGTCATAGTTGTTGCTTTTGTCCTATTTTTGTCTTCATATTCAGGCTGCCTGGGCAACAGCTCTGGCTCTGGATGTAAAAGCCCCCTGGGAGGGTTTCAGGGCTGCCTAAGGCTCATCACCATTGGTGACAAAGCGGTGGATCCCATCTTAGTACAGCAGGGGGCGCTGGGGAGTTTCAGGGACCTCCAGATAGACTCCTGCGGCATCACAGACAGGTAAGGGCCATCCTAGGTCACTTTAGCTTGCCTGTTTTCAAAGTTGAAGAAAGCAAATGTAGAGAGCTGGAAAAAGGCATTCCGTTCTCTTTTTCGTTGTTGTTATCTTTCGAGAGGGAATGAAATAGTCATAATTACTATGAGGATTAGAAAACTTCATCTTGGCCGGGCGTGGTGGCTCACACCTGTAATGCGGCTGAGGCTGGCGGATCACGAGATCAGGAGATCAACTTCATCCTGGCTAACATGGTGAAACCCCGTCTCTACTAAAAATACAGAAAAAAAAAAATTAGCCAGGCGTGGTGGCAGGCGCCTGTAGTCCCAGCTACTGGGGAGGCTGAGGCAGGAGAATGGCATGAACCCGGGAGGTGGAGCTTGCAGTGAGCAGAGATCGCGCCACTGCACTCCAGCCTGGGCGACAGAGCGAGACTCGGTCTCAAAACAAAAACAAAAACTGCATCTCTAATGGAATAAATAGCATTTTTTAAATGATAGTATTTTATTAGAAGATATACACCTTATGAATTTTACCTTAATATGATCCCGAGTTGCTCAGCTAATAGTTATAAAGCTCGCTTTTGCAACCACACACCCATCAGTTGGATGATATTTTTCCAGGCAGAGGAATTTGCCAGGTTACTATTCATCAGCCACCCAACCCCACATGTTCTGCAGAGAAAATAAAAAGTAATTTCTGCTAGAAAAGTTTGAATCATAAAGACGGATGAAGATGTGTGCAGAAGGACATACTCAATGAAATATGGAGGTTAGACAAGAAAAACATTTAATTCAAATAAGTATTACAACCACAGTTATGCTAGTTGTGCCATAATTTTACAAAGATTTTGGCTGAGAAGAATCATAGGGTCACACCTGGAAAAATAATATTTCTACATACAATTTGCCCCAGTACATTTGGTATTTACTTTCAGTGAATAAATAAATGCTACAGATTTAAAAATTGAAAAGTGATAATCTGGCCCAGCGTGGTGGCTCACGCCTGTAATCCCAGCACTTTGGGAGGCCAAGGCGGGCGGATCACGAGGTCAGGAGATCGAGACCATCCTGGCTAACATGGTGAAACCCCGTCTCTACTAAAAATGCAAAAAATTAGCCAGGCATGGTGGCGGGCGCCTGTAGTTCCAGCTACTCGGCAGGCTGAGGCAGGAGAATGGCGTGAACCCGGGAGGCGGAGCTTGCAGTGAATGAGATAGTGCCACTGCACTCCAGACTGGGCAACAGAGCCAGACTCTTCTCAAAAAAAAAAAAAAAGTTATATCTGCATCTGGTAGAACTTTCAAAACCTGCCTTCTTCATGGAGTAAATTCAGTTAGTCAATTCTGTTTTAAACATTAACTGTAAAATTATCTTCTCTGGCTAAACAGGTTTTAATTTATAACTCACAGTTAGTGACATACTAAAAAAACGCAATTACTACTAAATGAAAAGTTCATTCATATGGACTTTATTTATTCAGCATGGAATAATTTCCCCCTGTGAACATTCTGTTGATTTGTAGGAAAAATGAATTAATTCAAAGATGAGGAGTATATGAAGTGTAAGAATTTGTCAAGTACCTCTCATTCTTGACCTTGAGATTTGAATTCTTGGCACACAGCTGGGACTGCATTTACATCTCAACACCAGCTCCAGAACCACACTCTGTAGTCGTGGGAAGGGTAGTTGGGAAGGTTTCTGGCCATTTGCTCACTTAATATAATCCCAAGTTGCTCAGCTAACTAGCCAGGGAGCTCATCTCTCTCTGAGTTAAGGGGTAATGTCCCATGGGCCCACACTGTGAGTGACAACAGCTGTCAGCTCAACTGTGATGCAAGTGTGATTTTCTTCACTTGTATGACATTATTTTGATACCTTGTTAATTACTCACAAAATATGATCCATTTGCAGTGTTTCTGTTATGAGATATATATTGTGAGGCTGCCTCTTTTCAGAGATGATCCATTTTGCCTGCTTTGTGCATGTAGCTCCCAAAGTACAAAACTATTGTTTTTACTGTTATAGGCTGTTTTGTTTTAACCTTAAAGTCCCAAGAGTTACATTGGTGCCTAACTTGGTCTCTAAGATCCCACATTTTAAAAAGGCCTCCAAATTGTACCCCAAAGTTACTTGTAAACATGCTCAACTAAGCATGAATGTGTGAGCCACACTTAAACTTCAGCCATGATGTGTACAATAATCATTGCAGATAAGGATTTTAAGAAAGCACTTTTAAATTATTTTCAAATAGGGCTACAAATAAAGGCTATTTACTATTTCATTCCCAAAGTCAGTAACGTAGAAGACTAGCTCCTCTGAGATTATTTTGAAAACCTGAATTTTATAAAGCAATAAAATTAGAAAACTTTGGGGACACAAAATGACATCCTACAGAGTTAAAATTAAAGACCTTTGCTGTTCCCTTTACATAAAGTTTTGAAAACCTGAAAATACTGAAAATTCACTTTTAAGTATCCTGAAAACAGGCCTGTAAGCATCTATCAGCCTTTCTTTGTTGTTGTTAACAAACAAACAAACAAAAATCTAATTGTATTAGTCTGTTCTCATGCTGCTAATAAAGATATACCCAAGACTGGGTAATTATAAAGAAAAAAGGCTTAATGGATTCACAGTTCCACATGGCTGGGGAGACCTCACAATGATAGCAGAAGGTGAAGGAGAAACAAGACACGTCTTATATGGCAGCACGCAAGAGAACCTGTGCAGGGAAACTCCCCTTTATAAAACCATCAGATCTCGTGAGACTTATTCACTATCATGAGAACAGCATGAGAAAGATCTGCCTGCATGATTCAGTTACCTCCCACAGGTTCCCTCCCATGACACAGTGGGAATTATGAGAACTACAATTCAAGATGAGATTTGGGTGGGGACACAGCCAAACCATATCACTAACTCACAAAGTAGAAACATATGTTACTCAAATACCACACCTAAAAATCCTACTTAGGGACAGATAAGGGGTATGAAGTTATCTTTTTTAGTCAAAATTTTAAGCTACGCAAAAAATAGCAATGGGCACTTTGGATGACAGAGTCACAAATAATGGATGTTTATGTTTGGATAGGTGTTTGTTTGTTTGTTTTTTTGAGACAGAGTCTCGCTCTATCGCCCAGGCTGGAGTGCAGTGGCACGATCTCGGCTCACTGCAAGCTCCGCCTCCTGGGTTCATGCCATTCTCATGCCTCGGCCTCCCGAGTAGCTGGAACTACAGGCGCCCGCCACCACACCTGGCTAATTTTTTGTATTTTTAGTAAAGACGGGGTTTCACCGTGTTAGCCAGGATGGTCTCGATCTCCTGACCTCGTGATCCACCCGCGTCAGCCTCCCAAAGTTCTGGGATTACAGGCGTGAGCCACCACACCCAGCCAGGATAGGTTTTAACTTCTTAATCACCTCTTACATCAGACTCCTATACTGTTTTAAGGTTTGCCCTGTATACCACATGGCAGAGCTTCCAGTGGAGTCCTGTGCTGCGTTCCAACTGGGGCTCCCTGAGCAGGGAGGCCTCTGTCACCTCCTCACCTGGCTGTGCTGACCAGGCTGCTGACCCCACTCCTGCCCTCCCTCTGCCATCTTCCCCTCTGTTGGTCTTCTGCATGCTAGCTACTTCCTCTATTATTTGTACTACATGTAAATTTTTCACAATTGATGTTGTGTTTAGTTGAAGAAAAATAGTGTATACATGTTGATAGTCTCTAGATCACTTAAATAGTTCTTATTTCCAAATATTTTGAACTAAAATTATTCTCTCCCTGTTGATATCAAACAGCAGTGGTTTTTAATGTTTTTTAAAATTTGTGGAATCTTCAAGTCAGGTATGATCTTAAGATGCTCCATTATATTAAGAAGGAAGGGGAGGAGGGGGAGAAGGATGTGGGGGAAGAGGAACAGCTGCTCTTTTAAAAATGGTATGAGGGTGGGCCCCCACCCCAGCCAACCTTGCCTGTCGCTCCAGCTCCCCCTCTTCTGATCAGTTCACACAGGCTTTTCCATGCCTTGGCCTTTGAAATACTTGAAAAGTTGTGATTCTCATGGCCCCTAACTCTTCTCTGAATGCAGACTAAATGCTCATTAACACCATGTAATTATGGAAGTCTTGGCCCTGAGCTGGTGGTGCAGTGCTGGAGAGCCAGGATAGGGGGCTGGGGGCATGGGGAGGGTAGGGAATGCTGCGGATTCTTCCCAGCCCCTCAGGTTCCCCTCAAAGGATCTCTCCCGAGGCCAAATACAGGCCCCTGGGGCTTTCTGTCAACTTCATACCCCAGTTCTCTGCTGGTCGTCCTTCCACCACAGCCAGGAGGCCTGTCACAACCTCCCAGCCCCTCTTCTGTTACTTCTCTGGGTCCCATGGTGAGGGGCACTTGGGTGCTCCCCGCCTCTGCCGCTCCAGCATGGACTATGATGTCCCTCACGGCCTGGAAGGTCAGTGTCCTTTAGAATCTTCACTCTTTACCAGGTCCTTAGCTGTGTACTCAGCAGTGGGAGACAGCGGCCAGAGGCTGAGATCCAACCCTGCTCAAGGCAGAGGTGGGTCATGGTATTCAGGCCAGGCCTCCAGAAGGTCACACTACCTCTTGGTGACACTCTGTGTCAGGTGCTGGTCAGTTTCCATAGTGTACCCTGCTCCCTGTTCCCCTAACAATCCTGAGAGGCAGGCATGCTAGGCCCCCAATATTATAGTGGGCGGCAGCAGATTCCAAGAATTCTGAAAGTGTGAGACCTCCAACTGTTCTTTTTCAACATTGGCTGGTTCAGGGTCCCTTGAGGTTCCCTGTGAATTTTAGGATGGATTATTGTTTTCTGCAAAAAAAGGCATTGAGATTTTAATAAGAATTGTATTGAATTTGTGGATTGCTTTGGGTCATATTGACATATTACCAGTGTTAAGATTGCTTAAAAAGCAATAACCGACTGCTTATTGCAAATCTAAAAGGCGACAAGATGACCTAAATTAAATGTTCTTCAAAATTTCTGAACCTCTGTCACTATGTGACTGAAGCTGTTCCTGTTTCTTTCTTCTCCCCTCTGTATCTTCCTCCCTGTTTCCCCTTCTTTCTTTTAAAAATGACCACAATATAGTAACTGAGCATGCCATATTTCATAGTTTTATGTGTGTAATTGGTTTTGCTAGCCACATGTCAAGTTATTGTGTCACTTGGGACAAAGAAAAAAAGAAATGTGTTGAAAATTCAGCTGTCACAGAAACCTAATAATCAGCTGCATGCTAATGGATATATTTATCTAAAGTTTGTCAATATAATTAGAGAACCTTGATGGCAGACCCAGTAATCACGTCATGTGGGGTTATCTTGCGTATGCTGGCCTTTCACATTAACCTGTTTTTGGTAAGACACTTATTTTTTGATGATTGAAAAAGGGAAACAGCAGTTGTATCTGTTTTCTTTTAGGTGCTTGCCCAGCTACTGTGAGCATGGGGGCGAGTGTTCCCAGTCGTGGGACACCTTCTCCTGTGACTGTCTAGGCACAGGCTATACGGGCGAGACCTGCCATTCCTGTAAGCCTCACACCTCCCTCTCGTTTCTGTCAGCATCTCTTTGTCATTTCATTTTGATTAGTTGTTTATATGTATCTGCATATTTGCAATCATGCAAACACATCAGAAGAGATATTTCAGCACTCAATTTCTAGTTTACTTTTAATCCACCTTATTTAATACAAGGGTGTTGAGACAGTGCACAGAAATACGTGGTACGCATAGGATTGAAAAAAAGAAACTGGCAAGCAATGGGGAAATAAGTCTAGGAGAATCAGATATAGTAAAAGGTAGAAACTAAATTAAATTAAAAATGCATGATGTTAACAGCTTGTTCCATTACTTGAGTTGGACCATAATTTTAATTCTGAGAATCTTCTCAGTCAAAGAAAGGTGGAAAAACAACCCCTTGCCAGGCTGTCAATGTTACATTTAAGGTATTTAAAGATTTTTTAACAATCACTGGGATGATGCAATCATGGGATTGTACATGGCAAGATTTTTGAAGAGGTAATGGGATATCAGCTAGAAACTAGAGGACCTTTAAGATCTCTTACAATGACTGTGATTTTCTTTGGTGGTGGTGATGATGATTGTAAAGTGAATAATTGTAAAAGTATTAATGTATTGAGTACTTATGTCAGCCCTCTGCTATTGCTTTGCATATATTAACTCATTTAACCCTAAAGCAGCTGGAAGAAAGTACTCTTATTATCTTCATTGCAGAGTTGAGGACAGAAAGAGGTTAAGTAACTTGGCCCCCAGCTAGTTTGTGGGAAGATGAGGAGTTGAGCTAAGGAGGTTGGCTCCACAGCCTTGGCTCCAGGATGCCTGATTGGTGGTCCATGCACCAGCAGCACCCACAGCCCCTGGGAACCTGTTGCAAGTAAAGACTCTCAGGCCTTACCCAAACCTACTAAATCAGAATCGCTGGAGATGGGGCCCCGAGTCTCTTGTAACCAACCTTCCTCATGCTTCTGGTAGACATTTAAGTGTAAGAACAATGTCTAAGGGATGGCATATTCTAACACTTCTCAACTGCCTCTGCCATATTAAAAATCATCTGTCTTTACTGAAGAATCACCCTCTGTGAATTTCAAAGGCCATGCCGTTTTATTGAACTCTAACCTGTTATAATTAGAACATCACAGAATCTGAAAAGCCTTTTTTTTCCTATTTGTTTTTAACTTTTAGAGTTTTCTTTCTGTATATCTCTACTGACGTTTCTGAGCAACTTCTCCTCAGGAATATTTCGCCCATCCCTGGGTCTTCAAGGAAACAGAGATGCAAAGTCCTCAGTTCCACTTGCTCATCCTGAGTTCCTAATTGAAACTTTTAAGAACTCTTCCATGAGACATTTGATTTTCACAAAAGCCACAGGAGAAAGGCAGGCTGTGGAGTGTTAAAACCACACTTCATACATGCAATGAGAATTCTGCGCTCCCAGTCCTGAGGTTCTGTAAAGGATCTGGGCAAAAGAGGAGACAGTCCAGGAGTGACTCTCACAGATTGAAGCATGAAGTATGATTTTTGTACTAGAAGGGTCCCTGTTTATAAAGCTGTGACACATTTTCTTTTTTTTGTTTGTTTGTTTTTTGTTTTTTGAGACGGAGTCTTGCTCTGTCGCCCAGGCTGGAGCCCAGTGTCATGATCTCAGCTCACTGCAAGTTCCGCCTCCTGGGTTCACGCCATTCTCCTGCCTCAGCCTCCCGAGTACCTGGGACTACAGGCGCCCGCCACCACGCCTGGCTAATTTTTTGTATTTTTAGTAGAGACGGGGTTTTGCCATGTTAGCCGGGATGGTCTCGATCTCCTGACCTTGTGATCCACCTGCCTTGGACTCCCGAAGCGCTGGGATTACAGGCATGAGCCACCATGCCCAGCCGCTGTGACACATTTTCTAGGAGTTGAGTGGCCTCTCACACCAGAGGCTGAATGTCTTGATAAGGTCATAGAGTTGGTGCAGGGACCACATCTTTTACTTCTGTGTATCTTTCATCCTCCAGGCATAGTATCTTACCTAAAAGCAGAAGCCTATTCTTGTGTGTTACCTGGAAAATTTATATCTGCCACCACACTCAGCATTGTCTGATTGCATTTAATGTTGCAATTAATCAATGAGTTATATTAGTCCATGGTTATTCACTGCAATCAAAATATAACTCCAAAAACTTCTGAGGGAAAATATCAGGAGATTGAAAAAGTATTTCAAGTGTCAGTCTCATCTAATAATTGACGGCTATAGGTAGAAATTTGCCAAGCCCACAGTCATTCACTGTGAGACTAGACTGCCACACCTAGTTGAATAGGTTATTTTGTATTTCTAATTGTATAACATGTATCAATTATGTGCAACTAATTAATTGTATATAATTATTAATTGTATATAACTCATTGTATATAATTAATTATACAATTAAAATCAATTGTATTCAATTAATATATACTATACATTAATACATGTATACATTATCATTTAAAAAGCCAAACAGTTCACATAAAGCACAAGTTCTAGTCACTTTCCTCAATATTTGTCTCCATTCCAAACCTAGTCTGTGCCCTATATTTAAGTATTGTTATTAATTTGAGTGAATCCTACCAGACATATACAAATATATGTATCTATTTAAATCAATATGCCATAAGTGGCACAAAAATAAAGATTAGCAATGTCCATCTCCTGCAGATATTAATTCCATACCTTGTACTTGGTAAAACATTTACTTGCACAAATGAAAATATTCAATTATGCTAGAGTAAATTTACATTATATAGGGATATCTTTCAAAAAAGTTTCTCTCCTGTTTTGAATTTCAGCTGTCTTGAATTGTCACTTGCAAAATACTTAGGGACGTTTCTTTTTTAAATCAGCTTTAATTATTTTTTAATGACGAGAAGTTGATAGCTTATAAATTCCATTTATCTCTTTAAAATGCTCATTCATATTGTTTTAAAGGAAGCAAAGGGTATAACTGCCGCATAGCTTAAGAAAAACTTTACAGAATGCTTATGGGAAAATACCAGATTATTTAGGCCTTTTAATGTGCTTAGGTATTCAGTTATTACAGGGAGAATGAGGGTTTCTTCCTTAATTATAGAGTTTAATTCTGAGGTATATTTGCCATGAGTTTGAAAAGAACCATGCTTCAATAGCACGCAGAATTCAGATTCACAAAGTTTTCCTCTCGTATCTCTTCAAGTGTTTTACACTGTGCTTCAGAGTTTGCATGCTTTCTTGCCTAAAAGCAAAAGAAAACATTTATGTAGAGAAAGTACAGTCTCTAGACATTGCCAAAAGATTGTCTATTGAAGATAGTATCGCATTCCCACTGTAAGCACATCTTCATGTTTGAACACCAACACAATCTTTCCTTCTTCCTCAAAATAGAAATACACTGTGACCGAATATTTATTCAGCATCTAACAACATCCAACATTTGAATGTATTTTGACTAGGTAATTTTTTTCTCCTTTGTTAATAAAAATAGATTTAATTTTTTAAATGTCATTTTTCTTGCATCTCATCAAATATACTTTCATACACTATAAAAATGATGTTGGGTCATATGTATCACATGTCTGTAATTCAGAAATGCAAACCTTTGGACACTGACTCAACATCTGGAGATATTTTTTCTGGTTCTTATGGCTGGTGTTCTCCTACAGCTCTCTACGAGCAGTCTTGTGAAGCCCACAAGCACCGAGGGAACCCATCCGGGCTTTACTATATTGATGCAGATGGAAGTGGCCCCCTGGGACCATTTCTTGTGTACTGCAATATGACAGGTATGTTGATAATCGTTAGATGCATAGATCAGAATAGACCAAGGAGAAATTTACCTAGTTGGCAGCATTATTAAAACATGCAGTTTGATAGTGTGTACTTGCTAAGTAGAAGCATTAAATATGTATTTATTAATTTTGTTGTCAACAAAATTTTCTTGTATTTCTTCTTTGCCTGGGTTGGATTATAGGCAAGATTCAATGCTCTGCCAAGGCATCTCTCTAGCTCCTACACTCCTCATAATACATCTGTTCATGTGCATCATGATAAAATACAAACCTCTGATTCGGTGATTTACATGCTTTCTGTATTTAGAAAAAACAGAGGTGTTTAAAAATGCTAAGAAATAACATAGATATGTTAATGTTCTATGTGCATCTTAAATAATTTAGTGATTTTTATGTCATATAATTTTTTCATAACCAAAGAAACTTGATTATTTCTCATGCTTTAGATATTAGAAATGAACACTGCTTGGGCTGCGCATGGTGGCTCACGCCTGTAATCTCAGCACTTTGGGAGGCCAAGGCGGGCAGATCACGAGATCGAGAGATCGAGACCATCCTGGCCAACGTGGTGAAACCCCATCTCTACTAAAAATACAAAAATTAGCTGGGCATGGTGGCGCCCACACCTGTAGTCCCAGCTACTTGGGAGGCTGAGGCAGGAGAATCCCTTGAACCAGGGAGGCAGAGGTTGCAGTGAGCCAAGATTGCACCATTGCACTCCAGCCTGGCGACAGAGCAAGACTGCATCTCAAAAAAAAAAAAAAAAAAAAGGAAAAAAAGAAATGAACACAGCTTGATTATAGAAGATTGCACTAGAACGCCTTTTAAATAGTTACATTTTTACAGAAATTTGTTGTCACCTAGCTCTTCCAACTCTCTGCAAAGTGGAAATCTGGAATAAACTGTTCTCATTTATTGTGCTGACAAAAGGTTTCAAAAGTTTCATAAATTTGGACAATAACCAAATGGGTCAGCAAGCATCAAGGATAAAGAAACAAATAACTGAAATTACATGGGCATTTAAAGTGCCTTAGCAAAGATTGTCAAAAAATAGTAAAACTTTACAGGGGATGTTCAGAAGATTCAGAGCCACCTGCACAGCAATGTGCTGAAGATAAAGAAACACAGGCGTTCTGCCATAAGATACCAATTACCTCCAAAATCCCGACTCAAACAATGAAAGCAAAGTGAGAAATCCCATAAAAATGGTCTTGGTGGATATCAAAAGACTCAACCAAAGTCACAACCAGGAAGGACCTTGGTTGTCATCATTTTAAGATGAGGAAATCAAGGCTCAGAAAAGTTGGTTAGGGAAGTATCTACTGACAAAATCTAGCTAATGGTAGGGGAATCACTAAACTCTGGTCTCTTTTCTGCCCTAGAAAATGTCACCTTCTCTTTAGATGCCGCATTGCTCTATAGCCAGTAATAAATTCTCTAGTTGTACAAATCAAGCAATAATGATTATAAAATGTGCAATTTCAAACTACTCTAATAGCTTGAAATGTATATATCGTAATAACCTTCAAAAAGCAGTTGCTTCAGAGCTTGGAAGTCAGCACTCTATCTTAAGAACAAGTAAAAAGCCAGGCAAACTGAAAAATTAACCAATTTTTTTAGATCCAGCAGAGAAGTGAGGTCACAGAACAAACCACTGCCCCTCAAAATTGGAGAGACAGGCAGGCTTATATACAGAATGACAGTTTTCTTCCACAAGCACTAACCTTTGGGGAAACCGTTGTCAAGGTAGGAAAACCTAAACTTAATTGACGAATTGTTGGATGTTTGATGTGGACACATCTGAGAATTAAAAACTCCAGGAAGACCCAGACAGAGAAGGATCCCCACACTTCTGTGAGTTTGACACCTAGCTTGACTGGGTTCTCACAGTGAATGTTGGAGAAAAATCTCCTCATGCTTCCAGAAAGGGAAGGTGAAAAGGAACCGTCTTGAAGTACACCAGAGCTTTCTGTTCTTCTTAACAAGGTCTTTCCTCAAGGGCAAATATTTCACCTAAGCTACTGGTGTTTTGTTTTCTTTTGTTTTGTTTTGTTTTGTTTTTTGTTTTCAGAGCCTAACCTGCCTGGAGGAAGGAAATTACCCACCTCTGGCCATCCTGTCCCATGTAAGGGTGGTGATGGGAGGGAGGGCTGAGAAGCTCTTGTGAAGGTCACAGCCCAGAGGCACAGGCTCCCTAAAGGACTCAGACCTAATCACAGGACTACAGAACCTTTCCCCTTCCCACACATGTTACTTATAGTACTGCAGGCCTCTTTACAGCAGTTACAGTTACTTTTACCTGGTACATCACATCTGGTTATCAAGAAAAAATTTCAGCTGGACCTATAATCCTATTACTTTGAGAAGCTGAGGAGGGAAGATAGCCTTAGACCAGTTTTGAGACCAGTCTGGGCAACACAGTGAGACCCCCACCTCTGCAACAACAACAACAAAAACAACAACAAAACAGCATTGTGACAACAACAACAACAACAAAACAGCATGGTGACATGTATCTGTAGTCCCAGCTACTTGGGAGGCTGAGGTGGGAGGATCGCTTGAGCCTGGGAGTTGGAGACTGCAGTGAGCCATGGTCACACCACTGCACTCTAGCCTGGGCAACAGAGAAAGACCTTGTCTCCAAAAAAAGAAAAAGAAAAAAGTTCAAGGCAAAAAACACACTTTGAAGAGACAGAGCAAGCATTAAAAACAGACGGTGGCTCACGCCTGTAATCCCAGCACTGTGGGAGGCTGAGGCAGGCGGATCACGAGGTCAGGAGATCGAGACCATCCTGGCTAACACTGTGAAACCCTGTCTCTACTAAAAATACAAACAAAATTAGCCGGGCGTAGTGGCGGGTGCCTGTAGTCCCAGCTACTCGGGAGGCTGAGAAGGAAGAATGGCATGAATCCAGGAGGCGGAGCTTGCAGTGAGCTGAGATCATGCCACTGAACTCCAGCCTGGGTGACAGAGCGAGATTTTGTCTCAAAAAAACCAAAAAACAAACAAAACAAACAAACAAAAACCAGAGTCAGATATGGCAGGGACATTGGAATTATCAGACCAGGACTTTAAACAACTATAATTAATATGGAAAAAGCTGTAATGGGTAAAGTAGATAGCATGCAAGACCAGATGAACAATGTAAGCAGCAAGATGGAAATTCTAAGAAGCAAAAAGGAGTGCTAGAGATCAAAAACAGCATAACAGAAATGAAGAATGCCTTTGATGGGCTTATTAGTAGACCAGGCACAGCTTTGGAAAGAATCCCTAAGCTTAGAGATACCTCAATAGAAACTTGCAAAACTGAAAAGCAAAGAGAAAAAAAGACTGAACCCCACCCCCTGCAAAAAGAAAACCCAGAACATAATATCTGAGTACAGTGGCACAACTACAAAAGGTGTAACATACGTGTAAAGAGAATTCTAGGAGAAGAAAGAAAGAAAGGAACAGAAGCATATTTGAAGAAATAATGACTGAGAATTCCCACAAATTAGTATCAGACACCAAACCACAAATCCAGGAAGTTTAGAGAACACCAAAGAAGGAGAAATGCCCCCAAAACTCTACCAGGCATATATTTTCAAACTATAGAATTCAAAGATAAAAGTAAACTCCTTTTTTTGAGATGGAGTTTTACTCTCGTTGCCCAGGCTGGAGTGCAATGGTACGATCTTGGCTCACCACAACTCCGCCTACTGGGTTCAGGTGATTCTCCTGCCTCAGCCTCCTGAGTAGCTGGGATTATGGGCATGTGACACCATGCCTGGCTAATTTTTGTATTTTTAGTACAGACAGGGTTTCTCCATGTTGGTCAGGCTGGTCTTCAACTCCCGAACTCAGGTGATCCACCCACCTCAGCCTCCCAAAGTGCTGGGATTACAGGCATAAGCCACCATGCCCAGGCCAGGTAAAAGTAAATTCTTAAAAATAATCAGAGGAAGAAAGCACCTTACCTACATAGGAGATAAGTATTACAGCATCTTCTCTTCAGAAATCATGCCAGCAAGAATGCAGTGAGATACTTAAAGTGTGAAAGAGAGAAAACAAAACAAAACAAAACCTTCTCCTTGAAAAGTGAAGAAATAAAGATTTTCTCAGACAAATGAAAGGGTCAGTTCTCTAAAAGAGATAACCTTAATATGTATGCTCCTGACAACAGAACACAGTGGATCTTATTTTCTTTTTTCTTCTGGGACATATAGGAATGGGTATACCAGATGCTGGGGATTTCATATGATATACTGAGTAAATTTTAAGTGCAGACAATCCCCGTTTACAGTAGTTCTACTTACAATATTGCGACTTCCCTATGTGAAACCATATGCATCCCTATTTCAAGTACCCATACAACTATTATTTTATTATTATTATTATTTTGAGACAGAGGCTTGCTCTGTCACCCAGGCTGGAGTACAGTGGCACGATCTCGGCTCACTGCAACCTCCACCTCCCGGGTTCAAATGATTCTTCTGCCTCGGCCTCCCCGGTAGCTGGGACTACAGGCATGTGCCACCACGCCCGGCTAATTTTTTGTATTTTTAGTAGAGATAGGGTTTTACTATGTTAGCCAGGATGGTCTCGATCTCCTGACCTCGTAATCCGCCTGCCTCGGCCTCCCAAAGTGCTGGGATTACAGGCGTGAGCCACCACGCCTGGCCACAACCAATATTATTATTTTTTTTTTTACTCTCAGTACAGTAGTTAATAAATGACATGAGATATTCAACACTTTATTATAAAATAGGCATTGTGTTAGATGATTTTGCCCAACTGTGGGCTGATTTAAGTGTTCTGAGCACATTTAAGTTAGGCTGGTTTGAGCTAGGTTCAGTAGGTCACATGTATTAAAATGCATTTTTAATTTATAATAAGTTCATCCAGATGCAACTTCATCATAAATTGAGGAACATCTGTACTGTTAATTCCAATCAAAATCATGAGTTAAATTAGCTTAATTTTCAAAGTTGGATATTTATTTGAGCAACAGGAGTGGAACAGGGATCAACGTGTTACAGTTACCCTCCTTCTGGGCTAGTGAGACAGCCTCCAGTGTGTTCTGACTCAGCCACACCTCTGAACCCCTTTCCACATTTAGCCACTGTTATAATTAATCTACTCAGGTCCAATTCACTTGAGCCCAGGAGGTCGAGGCTGCAGTAAACTATGAAGGTGCCACTGCACTCCAAGCTGGGCAACAGAGGGAGACCCTATCTCTAATAAAAAAGAAAAAGAAAAATATAAGGGTTATATTAGATGCTCTTTAAGATCCTTTCCAGTTCCAATATGCTTATAATCAATTGAAATAAATTATGAGCAATTAGGGAAACCACAATGGTCTGTGTCCTTCTTTGGGTCTTTTACTACTGATATTATAAGGAGAAGTGAGTCAAGTGGAATTTTATAAACACAAATGCATATCCTATAATGTCCCTGGTTACTATTCTACTCTTCAGAAAAACAAGTTTTACAGATGTATTCTCAACAGTTCCCTTCTCAGTACTGAGGGCATTTCTGTGATTACATCTTAACCATGGGTGACTGCAAATCTATCATACTGCCCACCAGCCTATGTGAACTACTCCGGACCATCATTTCTCTCCCATTGTACAAGAAATCATGAACACATGGCCAAAAATGGCATGTGGTTGAGCATCTTCAATGCCCAACTTAGTGTTCCATAGGTTTTTCTATATTTGATTCAGTTGATAGGAAAACTCTGAAGGTGAGAGTAGGTGATGTGCACAGAGTAACACCAGGTTGTAAAAATTCTAAAATGAGGCCAGGCGTGGTGGCTCACACCTGTAATCCCAGCACTTTGGGAGGCCAAGGCGGGTGGATCACCTGAGGTTGGGAGTTCAAGACCAGCCTGGCCAACATGGTGAAACCCCCGTCTCTACCAAAAAATACAAAAATTAGCCAGGTGTGGTGGTGTGTGCCTGTAGTCCCAGCTACTTGTGAGGCTGAGACAGGAGAACTGCTTGAACCCAGGAGGCAGAGGCTGCAGTGAGCTGAGATAGCGCCACTGCACTCCAGCCTGGGCAACAGAGCGAGACTCTTATCTCAAAAATAAATAAGTTAAATAAAAAATCTAAAATAAAAAAATAGAGCAATATTAAAGGAAGAACCCATGGAATTGAAATTACCATAGGCACACTTAGAGCCTCCTTTGGTGAGTACAGTGAGTGGAGTGATAATTTAATTTAAAATTGCATTCGTTATTTAAATTTGCAGATTTTTTTCTGTACTTGTGGCTCATTTGTGGGTATCACACCTTTGCTCTCCATGGGTTCTGTGACTAAAGAGATATTTCAGTAGCATGGCTGGTTTTCTTTTCCTTCTTTCCTCTGATCTCTGTTGTTAGGCGTGTGTAAGTAACAGTAAGGCTGTGAAATTTGTCTTACGCACAAGCCATTTAGCCATTTAGCAGCCAAGCCATTAAAAATCCTGAGATGTGAAGGGCTGGGAGGGTGATTTCTCAAGGTAAAATGTATCACATTGTTTTGTTTCGTAGTTCTTAAAAAATCCCCATACAAATGTTTCTTCGTTTCTCCAGTTCGGAAAATTTTTATGTAAAATGTCCATTATTCTAAATACATCTTATTAGAGGTTAAAGGACCAGACAGCACCAGCATAGTAGAATTAAAGTGACTTCAAGTCTGGTGGGAGGTCCATTGTTGGGAACACTAAAGAACTCAAGATGCACTTCTTCCCTTTTGAGATTGTGGAGTCATTTTGTTTTTATTTCATCAAAACAATATAAGTAATCAAGTGACAGAGATACATCAGAAATGATGTCAGCAGGCAGTCAGATGCTCAGGGTCACCGCCTGGAAAGTGCTGTTAGAAGCTCAAGGCCTCTGATTCCTCTGGGCTTGGTCACTGATGGAGAAGCTGACATAATTAAACCACTTTATTTTAATAGAGCTGCTTCCTATCATACCTGTGAGTATGTGCGTCACATCGTCCCAATATGTATCTTTTATAAATTTATTCGATAATGAAAGAAATAGAGGCACATACAGATGAGGAAAATGCAGATGAGTTTAAAAAGATAAAGGTCCAGGTAGTAACAGTTTGGCCCCATGCTTGTGTTGATATAAAAAAATGGTTTTAACAACTAAAAAGTCATTGCTTACATGATACATTTTTAGGCGTGACGTCGCAAAAGTTTGGTCATCAGTTCTTCCAATATGCTTTCTCTTAGAGGCTGAGTTCTGGCTCAGTACATTGTTACACAGGTCCAACTCCTCAAATCGCGGCAAACATGCAGTAATGTAAATTTCAATTAAACGTTAATTCACATAAAAGGTCTGCTTTGCCTCTTGCTGCTGGCGTCTGCCGCCCAGTGATGCCTCTCCTTTGCCCGTTTCTGCTCAGCAGACTCCGCGTGGACGGTGGTGCGGCACGGTGGCCCCGACGCGGTGACCCTCCGAGGTGCCCCCAGCGGGCACCCGCTCTCGGCTGTGTCCTTCGCGTACGCAGCGGGCGCGGGGCAGCTGCGGGCCGCGGTGAACCTGGCGGAGCGCTGCGAGCAGCGGCTGGCTCTGCGCTGCGGGACAGCGCGGCGCCCGGACTCACGAGGTAAGCGCCACTGCTGGAGGCTACAGGGGCTCACGAGGCCGGGGCGCGGCCCTCGGGCTGCGAGATGCCTTTGAGGGAGAAAAGGCCAGGGTCCCTCCCGTGGCTCTTAGTTCAAAGCCCTGACCGCTCTCTCCTTCTCTTCCCGCTCTTGGTTGGACCAAAGAGCATTCAAGAGCGCCTTCCTGACCGTTGAGAGACGTTCAGCGCGTTCATATGCAGGACTAGTGACTTGTCCTTTCTTAATCAAGGGAAATTTTGCTAATAACTTATGCCTTAGCTTTCCGTTCACACTGAGGAGATAATGGCTGTAGGGCAGGCTGGGTCTAACAGTTCTTCATGAAGACCAGTGGGAACCGGTAACCTCCTTACTCTTCTCAAAGTCTTCCTCTAAATCTACTTGGAACCTTTGTTTCCTCCCTTTAGATTAACTGAATATGCCCTTCCTCAGCCCCGCCACTTTCACTGTGGTCTAGGATGAAATAATGACTAGGGTTATTAAAACCTTTTGTCAGTGGGTGTCTCATTTTTTTGAAATTATATCTTGAGAAATGTATACCTTAATCTTCATATATGGAAGTAATGTTTTGGAAACTCTGCCTGCATCAAAACCGTCTTCTCCTAAGTTAAAGACCAACTTCCCCCTCCTTTCCGGAATCCCCACAGTCCCCTGCAGGACTCACCGCTGCTCTCCAACAGTTTCCATATAGTTTCTTGAAAGCACTTTATTGCTAATTATAGTTAAATACTGAAATTTACCTTTCATTTTTTTAGTTTTAGCAATCCCAAATAGTATATAGGCGGGAGGATCACTGGAGCCCAGGAAGTCCAGGCTGCAGTGAGCTGTGATTGCTTCACTGCCTCCAGCTTGGGCAGCAGAGCAACACCTTGTCTTAAAAAAACAAAAACAGTGTATGTCGGTAGCATAATAAAGCCACTTAAATTAAATTTCACTCTTAAATTTTCAATACAAAATCTTTAAGTTGGAAAGTGGTGTATGACTGTCATCTGAAGGTGGTTTGCGCTGATCCACTAACCCATACCTGCATTGCCTTCCCTAGTCCGTCTGGCCAATCAGCCCCTGGAATATGCCAGACCATTTCCTCTGCCTGGATTGACCTCTCTGTCACCCAGGCTGGAGTGCAGTGGCACGATCTTTGCTCACTGCAACCCGCTCCCCTCCCGGATTCAAGCGATTCTCCTGCCTCAGCCTCCTGAATAGCTGAGAATACAGGCGGGTGCCGCCACGCCCGGCTAATTTTTGTATTTTTAGTAGAGACGGGGTTTCACCGTGTTGGTCAGGCTGTTCTTGAACTCCTGACCTCAGGTGATCCGCCCGCCTCAGCCTCCCAAAGTGTTGGGATTACAGGCGTGAGCCACCGCGCCCGGCCCTCACACTCTTAAATCTTACCCACTGTGCTAGACCTGTGCAGTCGGCATCTGGGTCCCTTCCCAGGGTGATCCCTCTCTCCCCTGGATGCCTGCCAGCCAATTTGGTCTAGTAGAAAGAGCAAAGGTCTGGTTGCATTCAAAGTTTGAAGTTCAAGTGCTAAGTCTGTCACTTAGCAGTTGTGGAAATTTAGGCCATTCCTTAATCTTTCTCAGACTTTGTTTCCTCTTTGATGAAATGGACCCTGTAGTACTGATCTCATGGGGTTTCTTTTATAAATGAGATATCTTACATAAGTTCAGTAAGTAAGAAACTCTCCTTCCCAGTTCTCCAGTTTTTTAAAGTTGGCATTACAAAACTTAATTATTTGTTAGTTCATTGCTGTTGAATGAAGTGTAGCCTTGGCTTTGGAATCGTTTAAAAAAAAAATCCCCAGGTGATCTTTTGGAAACTACTGGGCTAGGGGCTAAAATAACACAAGAAATGGAATATTCTACTCCCATCAGTGAGAATTTCCCTATTTCTCCTCTTTTGAAAAGATAATTTAAAAAAAATTTTGAGATAATTGTAGATTTACATACACTTGTGAGAAGTAACAGAGAGAACCCGAATAGCCGTTAAGCAGTTCCCCCACCCCAAGGTGACATCTTGTAGAAGTATAGTGCAATATCACAGCCGGAATCTTGACATCCATACAGTCAAGATACACAGTATTTCCATCAGCACAAGAATTCCTCCTATTGGCTGGGCACGGTGGCTCATGCCTGTAATCCCAACACTTCGGGAGGCCGAGGCGGGCGGATCACGAGGTCAGGAAATCAGACCATCCTGGCTAACACGATGAAACCCCGTCTCTACTAAAAATACAAAAAAGTAGCCAGGTGTGGTGGCGGGTGCCTGTAGTCTACTTGGGAGGCTGACGCAGGAGAATGGCGTGAACCCGGGAGGTGGAGCTTGCAGTGAGCCGAGATGGCGCCACTGCACTCCAGCCTGGGCGACAGAGCAAGACTCCGTTCCGTCTCAAAAAAAAAAAAAAAAAAAAAAAAAAGAATTCCTCCTATTGCTCTATTGCTCGTTAATAACCACTAGTATGTTCTCCATTTCTATGGGTTTTTTTAAACTTCAAGAATGTTATGTAAATGAAATTATATAGTATGTACTCTTTGTGGTTGAGTTTTTTTCACTCTGTGTAATCCTCTCTAGATTCATTTGCATAATTGTGTATATCAGTAATTTGTTCCTTTTCATTGCTGATTAGCAATCGGTGGCATGGATATGCCAGAGTTTATTCACTCATTGAAGGGCATCTGGGTTGTTTGTTTACAGTTTGGGGCAATTATGAATAAAGCTTTTATGAACATTGTGTACAGGTTTTGTGTGAACATTAGTTTTCATTTCTCTGGAATTAATGCCCCAAAGGGCAATAGGTGGGTCATATATGGTAATTGCATACTTAGTTTTATAAAAAGCTGCCAAATTGTTTTCTAGAATGGTTGTACCATTCCCACCAACAGTGTATGATTTCATTTCCTCCACATGCTCATCCGCATTTGGTGTTGTGACTATTTTTTATTTTAGCTATTCTGATAACTGTGTAGTAATATCTTTATTGTGGTTTTAATTTGTGTCTCCCTGATGTCTAATAATATTGAGCATGTTTTATATGCTTATTTGCCATCTGTATATCGTTTTCAGTGAGATAGATGTCTGTGAATGTTTTTGTTGTTGTTCATTTTCTAATTGGATTGTTTGGATTTGTTTTGTTACTGTTGAATTTTCAGTTCTTTATATATTCTAGATACTAGCCTTTTGTTGGATATGTGATTTGCGAATATTTTTTCCCACTCTGTTGCTTGCCTATTCATCGACTCTTAACTGGAATTTTTTAGAGCAAAAGTTTTAATTTTGATGAGATTCAGTTTATCATATTTTCCTTTTATGGGTTGTACACATCGTGTCAATTCTAAAAATTCTTTACCTAACCCTAAATTCCAATTCCAAAGATTTTTGAATTTTTTTCCTAAAAGTTTTATAGTTTTACCTTTTACTTTTAATTCCATGCCCTATTTTGGGACACATTTTATATAAGATGTGAGAGTTGATTCTCTCTCACTCTCTCTGACTATGAATGTTCAGTTGCTCCAGAACCATTTGTTGAAAAGGCTATCCTTCCTGCATTGAATTGCATTTTAAATAGTGTTAAAAATTGGTTGAACTTACTTGTGTGGTGGGTCTGTTTCTGCATTCTTTATCTGTTTCATTAATTTATATGCCTCCACCAATATCACACTGTCTTGAACGTGGTAGCTGTGTAGCAGGGTTGAGTTATTCCTCCTGCTTTATTCTTCTTTTTCAAGATTGTTTAAGTCTGTAGCTTGCCTCATTCTGTATAAATTTTGTAATAAATTTGTTTATGTCTACAAACATCTTGCTAGAATTTTTATGGGAATGACATTAAACATAATAGCTCAATGAAGGGAAAATTGGTGTTTTACTGTTTTGAGTCTTCCAATCCATGAACATGAGATATCTTTCCATTTATTTGGATCTTTGATTTCTTGCCTCAGCATTTTGTAATTCTTAGCATCCAGAGATTATATGTTTTATAAGTATGCTTAGGCATTTAGTTAGTTTCTTGATTGATTGTAAGTGCTGTTGTGCTTTAAATTTTTGTTTACATATGTTTCTTGTTAGAATATGAAATATGATTGTTTCATACTAATCTTATAAGCTCTTTTTTGAACTTAATATTTTTTTAGATTCCTTGGGATTTTCTATATGGAAAATCATGTCATCTGCAAGTAGAGTCAGCTTTATTTCTTCCTCGTCAATCTGTAGGGAGTTAATTTATTTTTCTTGCTTTATTGCAGTAGCTAGACTTTCAATACTAGGTTGAGCTAGAGTGGTGAGGGCAGACATCCTTGCCTTGTTTCCTGTCTTAGGGGAAAAGCATTCATTCTTGTTTCCTATGTTATGTGGAGGTAGTTCCCTTTTATTCCTGGTTGGCTGACAGTTTTTATTTTGAAAGGACATTGGATTTTTGTCAAATGTCTTTTCTGTGTCAATTGGTATTAAAATATTATATTTCTTCTTTTGTCTGTTGATATGTTGAATCAGCTTTGCATAACTAGAGCAACTCCCATTTTGCCATAATGTATAATTTAAAAAATACATTTCTAATGTGTTTGATTTATTAATATTTTATTGAATATTTTTGCATTCAAATTCATAAGAGATATTGATATGTAGTTTTCTTTTTTCATATTGTCTTTATCTGGTTTCAGTATCAGGACAATACTGCCTACATAAAATGAATTTGGTAGCATTCTCTAGTCTCCTGTTTTCTGGAAGAGATTATGTAAAATTGACTTTAATTTTTATTTAAACATTTGGTAGAATTCTCCAGTAAGGCCCGGCAGGGTGGCTCTGTGATCCCAGCACTTTGGGAGGCTGAGGCAGATGGATCACTTGAGGTCAGGAGTTCGAGACCTGCCTGGCCAACATGGTGAAACCCCGTCTCCACTAAAAATACAAAAATTAGTTGGGTGTGGTGGCACACACCTATAATCCCAGCTACTCAGGAGGCTGAGGCAGGAGAATCGCTTGAACTTGGGAGGCAGAGGTTGCAGTGAGCCAAGATCACACCACTGCACTCCAGCCTGGACAACAGAACGAGATTTCATCTCAAAAATAAAAACCAAAACCAAAACAAAACAAAAAGAATTCTCCAATAAAACCATCTGGGCCAAGAGATTTTTTTTCAGTAATTTTAAATTATGAATTCAATTTTCTTAATAATTACAATTACTTAAATTACCTATTTCATGTTAGGTGAATTGTGGTAGTTTGTACTTTTTGAGAAATTTGTCCATTAATCTGAATTGTCAAGTTGATTTGTGTAGAATTATTTGTAGTATTTTCTTATTATTCGTTTGATGTCTCCAGCATCTGTAGTGATATCCACTTAAATTTCTCATATTCATAGTTTGTCTCATCTTTTTTTGTCTGTCAGTCTTTATAGAAGTTTTTCAATCTTACTGTTTTTTAGAACTAGATTTTCGTTTCTTGATTTTCTCTATTATTTTTGTTTCAAATTCTATTGAAATCTGCTCTTCTCTTTGTTATCTCCTTCCTTCAGCTTGTATGAGTTAATTTTGTTTTCTAGTTTCTAGAGGTAAGAACTTACATTATTGGCTTTAGGGCTTTCTTCTTTCCTAATGTAGGCATTTAGTGCTACGTTTTCCCTATCAACACAGTTTTACCTACATTTCACATATTTTGATATGTTGTATTCTCATTTTCATTTAGTTTTTCATGTAGTTTCATTTTCATTTAAGTATTTTAATAAATTTCTTTGAAGCATATTCTTTGACCTGTAGCTTATTTAGAAGTGTATTTTAAAAAATTTCTAAGTGTTTAGAGATTTTCTTTTTCTCTTTCTGGTATTGATTTCCAGTTTGATTCCATTATGCTTAGAGAATATACTTTGTGTGATTTTAGTTCTTTTAAATATGTTGAGGTTTGTTTGGCTCCCAGGGATATGGTCTGTCTTGTAAATTTTTCATGGGCATTTGAAAAAAAAATGTATATTCTGCTATTCTTAAGTGGAGTATTCTGTATGTATTTCAATGAGATCCTGTTGGTTGATTATGTTGTTCAGATCTTGTATATCCTTGCTGACTTCTTGTCCAGTAGTTCTGTCAGTTGCTAAGAGAGACATTTTGAAATCTGTACTATAATTGTGGATCTGTTTATTTTTCCATTCTGCTCCATCAGTTTTCTTATATTAATAGGCTTTATATTTTTTAGCAATTTTAAGTTTACATAGAAATTGAGCAGAAAGTACTGGAAGCATATGATTTTTATTCTTTAGTTTGTTGATCTGATGGACTATATTAATTAATTTTCAAATGTTAAAGGCATATCTAGAGTAAATCCCACTTGGTTGTGGTGTTTATTTTTAAAAATTGTTTGGTTCAATTTGCTAATATTTTTTAAGGATTGCTTCATCCATGTTCAAGGGAGATATTTGTTTGCAGTTTACTTTTTTGTAAGGTTTTGCTGGTTTGGGTATTAGGGTAATGCTGGCCCATGGAATGAGTTAAGAAATAGTCACTCTGCTTCTATTTTCTGCAACAGATTGTGGAAAATTGGTATCATTTATTTCTCCAATGTTGATAGAACTCACCAGTGAATCATCTGGGCTTGGTACTTTCTGTTTGGGAAGGTTATTAATTACTGGCTTAGTTAAAAAATTTTGTTTCTCTTGAGACTTTCTCTTTCACCATGTTTTATTATTTAGAAATGTGTTTTTAAATTTTTTGGTATTTGAGGATATTTCAGCTCTCTTTCTGCTATTATTAGTTTAATTCCATTCTGATTCAAGAACATGCCTTTTGTGATTTCTATTCTTTTAAATTTGGTAAAGTGTTCTGTGGCCTAGAATGTGGTTTAACTTAATGAATTGTGCATTTGTATTTGAGAAGAATGTGTATTCTGCAGTGTCTAGATAAAATATTCTATAACGCTAATTGAATTCTAAAGTATTCAGTTAGATCCAGTTGATTGATGGTGCTGTTCAGTTCAAATCTATCCTTAATGATTTTCTTCCTGCTGAGTCTGTAACTTACTCATAGAGGGGTGTTGAAGTCTCCAGTGG
Source organism: Homo sapiens (assembly GCF_000001405.40). NCBI lineage: Eukaryota > Metazoa > Chordata > Mammalia > Primates > Hominidae > Homo > Homo sapiens. Next base: position 41,946,136 of record NC_000009.12, on the reverse strand, counting down.
TAATAATGGATGTGTCTCTCTGTCCTTGCAGTTCTATCAGTTTCCCCCTAATATATTTTGACTCTTCTGTTGCTAGGTATATACATATTAAGCATTATTATATCTTCTTGTTATATTGACCCCTTTATTATTGTGTAATGCCCTTTTTCATCTCTGATAATTTTCCTTGCTCTGCAGTTGGCTTTGTCTAAAATTAATTTAGATACTCTGTCTTTCTTTTTGGTTAGTGTTACCATGGTATATCTTTCTCTAGCTCTTCAAATCTACCCGCTATTTTATATTTAAAGAGGATTTCAGTAGACAACATGTAGGTGGATCATGGGTTTTGTTGTTGTTGTTCACTCTGACAGTCTCAGTCTTTTATTTTATTATTATCATACCTTAATTTCTAGGGTACATGTGCACAACATGCAGGTTTGTTACATATGTATCCATATGTTAATGGTGTGCTGCACCCATTAACTCATCATTTACATTAGCTATATCTCCTAATGCTATTCCTCCCCTCTCCCCACACCCCATGACAGGCCCCGGTGTGTGATGTTCCCCTTCCTGTGTCCAAGTGTTCTCATTGTTCAATTCCCACCTATGAGTGAGAACATGCAGTGTTTGGTTTTTTGTCCTTGCGATAGTTTGCTGAGAATGATGGTTTCCAGCTTCATCCATGGCCCTACAAAGGACATGAACTCATCCTTTTTCATGGCTGCATAGTATTCCATGGTATATATGTGCCACATTTTCTTAATCCAGTCTGTCATTGATGGACATTTGGGTTGGTTCCAAGTCTTTGCTATTGTGAATACTGCCTCAGTAAACATATGTGTGCATGTGTCTTTATAGCAGCATGATTTATAATCCTTTGGGTATATACCCAGTAATGGGATGGCTGGGTCAAATGGTATTTCTAGTTCTAGATCCATGAGGAATCGCAACACTGTCTTCCACAATGGTTGAACTAGTTTACAGTCCCACCAACAGTGTAAAAGTGTTCCTATTTCTCCACATCCTCTCCTGCACCTGTTGTTTCCTGACTTTTTAATGATCGTCATTCTAACTGGTGTGAGATGGTATCTCATTGTGGTTTTGATTTGCATTTCTCTGATGGCCAGTGATGATGAGCATTTTTTCATGTGTCTGTTGGCTGCATAAATGTCTTCTTTTGAGAAGTGTCTGTTCATATACTTCGCCCACTTTTTGATGAGGTTGATTTTTTCTTGTAAATTTGTTTAAGTTCTGTGTAGATTCTGGATATTAGCCCTTTGTCAGATGGGTAGATTGCAAAAATTTTCTCCCATTCTATAGGTTGCCTGTTCACTCTGATGGTAGTTTCTTTTGCTGTGCAGAAGCTCTTTAGTTTAATTAGATCCCATTTGTCAATTTTGGCTTTTGTTGCCATTGCTTTCTTAATTGGTATATTTAGACTGTTTACATTTAAAGTGATTATTGATACTTGGATTAATATTTGCCATATTGTAACTCTTTTTTATTTGTTGCCCTTGTTTCTTCTTTTTTTCCTGAATTCCCCTCTCACATTTTTTGTTTTAATTGAGCATTTTATATGATTCCATATCCTCACTTCTCCTAGAATATTAATTACATTTCTTGGTAATTGTTTTAGTGGTAGCCTTTGAGTATAAAATATACACTATAACAATCTACTTTCAAATAACACTATTCCACTTCATTAATGGTGCTGGTACTTTATAACACAGCATTTCCAATCCTTCTGTCTTATTTTGTATTACATTATTATCATTCATTTTACTTATTCATAAGCCATAATCACCCAATACATTGTTAGTATTATTTAGAGCTGTTACCTATTACATCAATTAAGAAGAAGACACTAGATTTTATTTTAATTTTTTTCTTCTCTAATGCTCCTACCTTTCTTTATGTATTTCTGTGTTTTTGACCTATATTGTTTTTCTTTTCTCTGAGGAACTTCTATTAACATGGCTTGCAAGGTAGGTCTACTGGAGAAAGATTTCCTCAATTCTGTTTATCTAAGTCTTTATTTCTACTTTACTATTTAGGATAATTTTACTGGATATAGAATTTTATATTAGTGTGTGTTTTCTCTCAACAGTTTAAATATTTCACTTCACTTTCTTCTTGCTTGCATGGTTTCTTAAGGGAAATCTGGCATAATTCTCATTCTTGCTCCTATGTAGGTAAGGTGTTTTATTTTACTCTGGTTTATTTCGAGATTTTATTTTTAAAAGATTTTATTTTAATTTTAAGAAAGTCTTCAATTTTTTGCAATTTGAATATGAGATGCCTAGGTGTGGTTTTTTTTGTATTTAACCTGCTTGGTGATTGCTGAGATTCCTGAACCTATGGTTTCATGTCTGTCATTAATTTTGAAACATTCTCAACTGTCATTATTTTAAATATTTCTTCTGGTTCTCACTCTCTTCCTTCTACTTCTGGTATTCCGATTATGGGTTACATAGGTTACACCGTTTGAATTTATCCAACAGGGCTGGGCGCGGTGACTCACTTGCCTGTAATCCCAGCACTTTGGGAGGCCGAGGCGGGCGGATCACAAGTTCAGGAGATCCAGACCATCCTGGCTACCACGGGGAAACCACGTCTCTACTAAAAATACAAAAAATTAGCTGGGCGTGGTGGCAGGCGCCTGTAGTCCCAGCTACTCGGGAGGCTGAGGCAGGAGAATGGCGTGAACCCAGGAGGCGGAGCTTGCAGTGAGCCGAGATTGCACCACTGCACTCCAGCCTGAGCGACAGAGAGAGACTCCATCTCAAAAAAAAAAAAAAAAAAAAAAAAATTATTGTCCAACAGTTTGGATATTATGTTTCATTTTTCATTCTTTTTCTCTTTGTGTTTAATGGAAAATTTTCATTGACGTATCTTCAAACTCACTGATTCTTTCCTCAGCACTTCCCAGTCTTCCCAGACTTTGATGAGGCCATCAAAGACACTCTACAATGTTTACTTTTAATCTCTGTATTTCCTTCTGATTTTGAGATTTCATATCTTTGTTTATAGTACCTATCTCTTCTTGCATGTTGCCCACTTTTTCAACATAGAGCCCTTAGCATATTGATTATTATTTCAAATTCCTTATCTGATATTTCCAAATCTGTCATAACTGCATGTTTGCTTGATTCGTCTCATAAGACTGTATTGTTTGGCTTTAGCATACCTTGCAATTTTCTGTTGAAAGCCAGACATGTTGTATTGGCAAAGGAACTGAGGTAAGGAAGCCTTTAATGTAAGGTTTTATGTTTATCTGGTTAGTAGTTAGGCTGAATTTGCTCTTTGCATAACTGTTGTGTCAGAGGCCAAAATTTCCTCTAAGGTTATTTTATTTTTCTTTCTTCCGTTTTGAGTTTTCCCAGAGACTCTGTCTTAAATAGGGTCTAAAATTGACAGCTCTTTCATTTTTAATCTCCTGTTACTATACAGGTAATGTACTGATCTGATTGATGATAAGGTGCGGGGAGAGGAGAAGCATCCTATACTCTTTTTTTTTTAATGTTTTTATTTTATTTTAATTTTTTTGAGAGAGTCTCGCTCTGTAGCCCAGGCTGGAGTGCAGTGGCGCCATCTCAGCTGACTGCAAGCTCCGTCTCCCGGGTTCACGCCATTCTCCCGCCTCAGCCTCCCCAGTAGCTGGGACTACAGGCGCCCGCCACCACGCCCGGCTAATTTTTTTCTATTTTTAGTAGATACGGGGTTTCACCATGTTAGCCAGGATGGTCTGGATCTCCTGACCTCGTGATCCGCCCGCCTCAGCCTCCCAAAATGCTGGGATTACAGGCTTGAGCCACCTCACCCGACCCAATTTTTTGTATTTTTAGTAGAGATGGGGTTTCACCATGTTAGCCAGGATGGTCTCGATCTCCTGACCTCATGATCTGCCCGCCTCGGCCTCCCAAAGTGCTGGGATTACAGGCGTGAGCCACCGCGCCCGGCCAGAAGCATCCTGTACTCTTAGGATTAGGTCAGTCTTTTAGAGAACCTGTCTTCCTGGACTGTGACCTTCAGAGTGCTTCTCAGCTTCCTTCCCCTTCCCTTGGGTAAGAAAAGAAGGGTAGAGGGGGCTGGTTCTGGGTATTTCCATTCCCCTAGGTGGTTTAGGCTCTAGTAAACTAGCTTTTTGGGGGATTAGAATGTTGTTAAGGAGAACATAATGTTCAGCGCTTATTTCAAAAATGTTTTCTCCTTCCCTCCCCCTGCTGGAGACATAAGAGCGTTTTTTTCCTATCTTTATTCTGAGAACTTGATGGGGCTCTTCCTGGAGATAAAACTCTTGAAGGTGTGTTGACCCTCTAAGGCGTATCCCCCACTCTAGGAGTTTTCAATCTCTGTAGCTTGTCCTTGCTCAGTATCCATCAATTAGTCAGTTACATTTTAAGTGCTTTTACCAGACTCCACCATCTGCTTTGGCACCATTAGCCGTGATGCTGTTTTCAGTTGTCTCTGCAGCTTTAGGAGTAATGTTTGCCCTATGACTTTAACTGTGTAAGAAGAACTGTTTATTTTTAGTTAGTGCAGCTTTTTTCTTGTTGTGAGAATGGGAGCGATGACTTCCAGACTCTTAATGTCATATCAGATTGGAAACCAGAAGTCTCAATTTTTGCCTCATTTTTTTAAGGGTGTATTGTTTCTTGCATATGCATTTATGTCTTCCTGGTGATTTTTTTTTAAATCATTATGTAATGTCCCTGTTCTAGTATTTTTGTTCTGAAGTCTATTTTATGAGATAGCCATTCTGCTTTCTTTCAAATTTAAGTTTTGCAGAGTGTATTTTTTCCATCCTTTTACTTTTAACCTGCCTATGTTTATTTTGAAGTGAGTTTCTTATAAATTTCTCGTTGTGTTATTTTTTTTTCAGTTGATTCTGCCAGCATCTAACTTTTGTTATATTTTAACCATTTACATTTAAGGTAATTTTTATAATTTTCTTACTCGTTGCTTGGTATTATAGTGTACATATGTGACTTACCACAGTCAACTTAAATATCTTCACTCTCATAATGAAATATGGAATCCTTATGTCTATTTGGGTCCTTTATCTTCCCCACTTCTAAATATCATTGTCTTGAGTATCATATGGTATTACAGTTTTTGTGTCAATTATCATATATCATTTCAAAAATTGATAAGGATAGTCTATTATATTTATCCATATTTCTTCTCTTTTCATTTTTTTCCTGATGTTCCAAGAATCCTTCGTTATAATTTCTTTTTGAAAAACCTCCTTTAGCCATTCTTTAGGGAATGTCTGCTAGCGACAAATTATTTTAGTTTTCTTTTGTGTTAAAAAGGTTTTTTGTTGTTGTTATTGTTTTGGAGATGGAGTCTCACTCTGTCGCCCTGGCTGGAGTGCAGTGGCACAATCTCGGCTCACTGCAGGCTCCGCCTCCCGGGTTCACGCCATTCTCCTGCCTCAGCCTCCTGAGTAGCTGGGACTACAGGCTCCCGCCGCTACGCTCGTCTATTTTTTGTATTTTTAGTAGAGACGGGGTTTCACCGTGTTAGCCAGGATGGTCTCGATCTGACCTCGTGATCCGCCCACCTCGGCCTCCGAAAGTGCTGGGATTACAGGCGTGAGCCACCGCACCCGGCCTAAAAAGATTTTATTTCCATTTTTATTCTTGAAGGATAGTTTCTCTGGATATATAATTTATAGTTGACAATTCTTTTCTATCAGCCCTGAAAAAAAATATGCCATTCCTTCTGGTTCTGTAATTTCAGATGAGTAATCTACTATCATTCAAATTAGGGTTCTTTTACAGGCAGGTAATGTGTTATTCTCTCAGGCTGCTTTCAAGATTTGTTTTGTTTTGTTTCCAAAAAGTTCAATTATGATGGATCTTGGTGTCGATATTTTTGGGTTTATCCTTTTTTGGACTTAACTTCCTAAATCTGTGGGTTTGTATCTTTCACCACATGTGGGAAGTTTACAGCCAGTATTTTTTCAGTACTCTTTCAGCACACTTTGTTCTCTCTTTTTGAGATTCGGATGATATTGTCTGATAGGACCCTATGGCTCAGTTCTTTTTATATTCCGTCTGTTTTCTCTTTTTTGGTCAGGTTAGATAAAGCCTATTGGTGGGTCCTCAAGTTCAGTGATTCTGTCCTGTGTCTTTTCACTCTATTCTTGAGCCCATTCAGAGTTTTTTTAAAACGTTATGTTATTGTATGTTCCAGTCCTGGGGTCCTAAGCTTCCTCTTTCTACTTTTCAGAATTCTCTTCGGTTGTCTTCTGTATTATTTCCAGAATCTATCATTATACTTGGTGGAAATAGCAGGGATAGACAAGTCTACAAGATCTTTTATCAGTCTAGAAGTTCACCCACTTACATCTTTTTGTTACTGTTTCTAAAAAAATACATTTTTACTACTTTATGGGGAATATGGGAGATTTAGATGTAAATTTACACTTGTACATTAGGATATAATGAGTGTTTTGCTCTTTAATCTGCGACAGTTTAATGGTGAAGTCGGTAACTTTTAAAGTGGCATTCCGAGAAGAGTGTATTAATTTTTAAAAATATCTTTTACGTTGTAGTGACAAGCTTTTAGCACATTTTTAAAAGATTCCTGGTACTAATCCCTCTTTAAATTTTCCCAGATTGCCTTTTTTTCGTTGTTTTTTTTGTTTTTTGGCAGAGGGGCAGGTGATAGATAGTGGTGGTGGTAATGAATGCAGAGATCTTATCTATGAATGAGTTATAATTGAGTTGTAATAAGCAGTAAGGTAGAAGCTAAGTTCCAGATCTCGATTCATATTCCAATGGTAACAACCTATTGAAATTTGAAAAACAGCACCACATGATCAAGCATGTTTAAAAAACTGGTTGAGTTAATCCAATTTCATTTTCCTCATGGCCTAATCTGTGATGACTGCAACTTGTGGCCTCTGACCCCTTTCCTTTTTTAAGATAGGTGGCCTGACACCTGCTTTTTAAATTATCCTAACTTTACTGTGATGTGCTGTCAGTCCATCACCCCAATCTTCACTCCCAACCCCTGGCAGCATCCCTTGTCCTAATATGCAGTTCTATAGATCTGAGTTAGTGTCTGACTCTATCATTTAATCATTGTCAGTGCTGAGAAGGAGGCGCACTCGTCAGAGCTGTAGTTGACCCAGGGCACTTTGTTTCTTCGCATGAGAAATTTCTAACCTCAGAGATGAGAAAAGCCTATCAATGTCATTCCTTAACCTCCAAATAAAGAGTCAGGACATCCAATGCAATAAAAACAAATACCTCCAAAAATTAGTAAGTACTGACAGAGAATACCATATCTTTCCAAATGTGTAATATACAGGTAGTTAGCAAAAAGATGGGATGAGATAAATCAATGTCTTTGTATAATATTAAACTTTCTCAATGAACATTTCATAATTTCAAATAGATTTTATCTTTAGTGTGCAAATTACCCTGGTATTAATTTTAATGGTGAATTTTTTTGAATGTTATTTCTATAGAAAGTATGTATCACGTGCAACTGACTGATTTCTAATAGAAGAAAAATAGATGGAATCATTTAAGCCTAGATATTGAAATATTGGGGGAAAAACATTGGTTAGGCTTAAAGAAACGTTTCAGAGGTAAAATACAAGTGTTTAAGTATAGTTTCATTTTCTCTCTCTCTGCCTCTCACACATACACTTTACACCTGGGAGTAAAGGGAGATATATGGGGAGGGTGATAGTGAGGGACAAAGTAGATGTCATCTTTCTTATACTTGTCTTTCAGATGGAACCCCACTGAGCTGGTGGGTTGGAAGAACCAATGAAACACACACTTCCTGGGGAGGTTCTCTGCCTGATGCTCAAAAGTGTACTTGTGGATTAGAGGGGAACTGCATTGATTCTCAGTATTACTGCAACTGTGATGCTGGCCAGAATGAATGGTGATTTCCACATGATTTCCCTGCACAAAAATGTGGTTTTTATTCTTTAATTATGCATAGTTAATTAAATGTCAGACAAGCTGGTACAATAAGGTAACTAGATTAAAGTATGTTCAAGCAAGCTGAAATACAAGTTTTGATGAAATATGATCAGTTAATCTAAGGATTAAATTTTATGACCAAAGATTTACTAATTCATTGTGAATACTATATAATGTGTTTTTTATTTTTCGTAAAAGAGAAGCAGCTGTTAAGTTTTCCACTCACTGGAAATCAAATATCATTCTCTGCGAAGTTTAGTTAATTAATTAACGTAGTATTCATGTGGCAATTCAAAAAGCAAATTCCTCCAAATCTTTGTCTTAAATTGATTTGGGATATAATGCTGCATATTCTGTCTTTCTTTTAGAAATTAACATTAACACAAGAAACTCTGAGAGGTCCTGCATAAAAGGACTGTGTTTATTTTTTAGAAGCAACAATTTCCCACACTCATTGAAATCTGCAGTGCAATAGCAAAGCTTCAAGCACCAACTGTTCTGTAGACCATACTTTGAAACAACTAACATAGAATTTCCGGAATTTGAAAATTATTTTGTAAGCTTTCTTTTGAGCAGAAACAATTTTCTCATGTAGATTGCAATGCCTCTTTTTCAGAAGTTCTTTTTGAGGTTATTCTTGAAATGCATATTGGTTTTCTTTTTTTTTATTTGTAATATGTAAATGTTTTCAACCTTTGGGTTCATGTCAGCAACTTAAAAAGCATTGTCATAAAACAACTAGATCGTGTAGAGTACGTGCTTTAAAAAAAAACTTAGGCCAGGCACTGTGGCTCATGCCTGTAATCACAGCACTTTGGGAGGCCAAGGCAGGTGGATCACCTGAGGTCAGAAGGTTGAGACCAGCCTGGCCAATGTGGCGAAACCCCGTCTCCACTGAAAATACAAAAATTAGCCAGGTGTGGCTGTGTGTGCCTGTAGTCCCAGCTGCTCAGGAGGGTGAGACAGTAGAATTGCTTAACCCAGGAGGTAGAGGTTGCAGTGAGCTGAGATCGCGCCACTGCACTCCAGCCTGGGCGACAGAGCAAGACTCCACCTCAAAATAATAATAATAATAATAATAATAATAAATTAATAAATAAAAAATGTAATGGTCATTCCAGGTGTCAGTATAATTGATTTGGACATAAAATAGCTAATCTAAGCAGTAATTTGATTCCTAAAAATTGAGTTGTTTGGCCTGCATGGTAGTCCACTTATTTATTTGGCATAAAAAGTCTACTTTGCATCACTTTAAAAAATATTGTGAAGTTGGGAAAACTCACTTGAATCTACTGGAGCTTTCTATAGAATACATACTATACATTTACATGGATATTATTTTTAATCTTCCTCAAGTTCAAAATTACAAAATGATCATACAGATTTATGAGACACTCTTTTTGAATATTTTGATATGCAATCTTAATACAACTTTCTCTTACTTAAAAATGAATGCAGTTTTAGTGCAGTGAGTAACAGGAACAGATCTGATCCATAGTTTCAAATCTGGCCACCAGTAAGTTTCAGGTCTGAAGTAATTTGCCGTCAGTTAAAATGGTTTTGTACCATATTTTGTATGATGTACATTTTAAAGTGTCTGGTATGATAATGTGATGATGTGTGTTAGCTTTGGGCTCTAATGAGACAAACAGCGACCTTCAAATCTTTTGACGGACATCTTTAACAATCCTAGAGGTTTTCATTTCCTCCATTCCACAAGGGGCTCCTGCCTGTGAGGGCTCCAGCCCTCCAGCTCCTGGCTGTTCAGAAGACCTCCAGCTCATTGGTCTGTCCCCACCCCCATTCTCTACAGGTCAGAAAGGAGAGCATTGGCAGGTTATTACAAGAAAGCCAGAATGGCATATATGCTAGTGGCTTTATAACTTAGTTCGAAGAATGTTAACCGTTTTGTTTTGTTTTTGTTTTGAGACAGAGTCTCTCTCTGTCGCCCAGGCTGGAATGCAGTGGTGCGATCTCAGCTCACTGCAACCTGCGCCTCCCGGATTCAAGCGATTCTCCTGCCTCAGCCTCCCGAGTAACTGGGATTACAGCCGAGTGCCACACCTGGCTAATTTTTGTATTTTTAGTAGAGACTGGGTTTCACTATTGGCCAGGCTGGTCAACTGTTTTTTTGTTACAGAACCTTCTGTTAGTATTAAGTGCATACTTTATTGTAGACTTCACGTATGCTTAGGGCAGTAACCAGAGGAACGTATCACTTGGAGCCACCTGTATTGAGTGACCCTCCCATGAACTGAGTTTGAGGAGGGGATGGGAGGAACTGAGGTGGGTGCAGGTCCTCTGATACCCTTAGCCATGTCACTTCAGCACCGTCAAGGACTGCACTGGTGTGACAGAAGCCCTGGGCTTTCATTTGGAAAAAAATTCAGGAGAGAAGCAGGTTTTAAAAATTAACTCCCCTCCTACATTCAGAAGGGAGCATTGTGGAGTCATTTGCTTTTTAACCTTATTTTATTTACTTTGCAGCTTCCAGTAGACAGGTCTATCCAACAGTAAGACCACAAGCATTCTGAAATCCTAACCCAACTCTTGTAGATTGTTTTGTAAATGTGGGGGTGTGTATGGGGGTGGGAAATTACAATTTCTATTTTAATTTTTCAAATAAAATTGATTTTTCAGTTTATAAAAATGGAATTTACCAGTCTCATGAAATGAAAAGATTTATAATTGTAATAATTTAGATTAAGGTGTAGACATAAGAACATAAATCTTAGTCTTTATTACTTATTTTCTATTACTGAGGTGTGCTTAGTAAAGTTTTCCTGGTGGAAAGTTTATAATAAAAATAGTATTTGGGAATGAAAGTAAAGTGAAAGCTATTTTAAGTCTCTTCAGGCATATGTCCGTTAATGGGGCAGGCAGTATTGTTAATATAAACCATCGCCATTTTTCCATAAGTTGTCCCTGTAATCAGCAACTCGTCTAAGCATATTACTTAAAAAAAAGTTTATGATCAGACAGTTCCTCAGGCACAGTAAGAATATTCTATCAAATAACTATAACATGCCAAAGATTTATTATAAAAACATATATTTAAAAGGCACTATAATGATTTAAAATATTGAACTATGCTGCAAGTCAATATATGTGTATAAATGTATAGTGGACTATGTTCAAATAGACCAATATATTCTCTAAAATATACATATAACATATAATTCAGCTGTCTGCAAAAATCCACAAGTTGTTTTGCTAATATAATGATGACACATGTAACTGTAATATTATTTTACTTAAGAATTTAAATAGGACTTTTGTGTGATTATCTTAGAGTCTTTAAAAGTAACCACAAATAAAAAGCATAAAATAAGATGGTTTAAATGCATACTAGTGTACAAATAATCATAATAAATACGAGTAAACTCTGTTCATTTAAAAACCAGATATTAGATTTTATCATATTGGATTTTTAAAGAAGCTATAGCTTGTTTACAAAAGATAAAATATAAGCACTCGGTGAAGTTGAAACTAAAAGAATAGAAAATATTTACCAAGTAAATACAAATCAAAAGAAAGCAGATATAGCTGTATTATGTCAGACAAAGATGAAAAGCATTGTTAGGGATAAACTTGAACTCTATCTAATGCTGAGATAAACTCACTAGAAAGATCTCACTACACTTGTGTGTATCATCAGATTGTTTAAAATATATAAAGAAGTGGCAGGGCGCCGTGGCTCACGCCTGTAATCCCAGCACTTTGGGAGGCCGAGGCGGGCAGATCACAAGGTCAGAAGATCGAGACCATCCTGGCTAACACAGGTGAAACCCCGTCTCTACTAAAAATACAAAAAATATTAGCCAGGCATGGTGGTGGGCGCCTGTAGTCCCAGCTACTCGGGAGGCTGAGGCAGGAGAATGGCATGAACCTGGAAGGCGGAGCTTACAGTGAGTCAAGATCACACCACTGCACTCCAGCCTGGGCGACAGACCAAGACTCTGTCTCAAAAAAAAAAAAAAAAAAGTATGTGTGTGTGTGTATGTATATATATATGTGTGTGTGTGTATATATATGTGTGTGTGTGTATATATATGTGTGTGTATATATATATGTGTGTGTATATATATATATATATATATATGTAACAAATATGCAAAGGCAAATTGACACCCAAAACAGTGGAATAATTAACATAACATTTTTGGGAATGAGTAAGTGAAGCAGGTAAGAATATTTTAATATTATAATTAACAAACTTGATATAGCAGCCATATATCGTTTAGCAAGGAAAAATTATTTCTTTATAGAATGTATTATACATTATTGTTGAATAAGTATAAAAAATTTTGTAAATGGATGGAATCTTAACAAATTTTACGGAATTGTCATGATGGAAACTATATTCTTAACTGTAATCAATAATGAATATATAACTTTTAAAAGCTCATGCATGTGTCAGTTAAAGACACAAGAGGAAATAAAATAGATGTAAGTGATGAAAAGTTTGGAAAAGAAACAAACCTGGCAGATATTGTAGATAATATGATTGCCTACATAGAAAATCCAAAATAATATAAAGAAATATCAGGAAAAATGAGAGTTCAGTAAGTTTGCTGAATTTATGGTCAGTCAGTATTGAGGAATTACTTGAATTTCTATAAAATCGTAAAATAATTACCATTACACACCTAGAAAAATTTTATTTGCAATATTAACAAAAATGTAAAGTTCTGTGGAATAACTGCAGTACTTTTATGGAAAAAATTACAAAACTTATTCAAGAGAATTAAGGACAGCCAAATAAATGGATTGACTCACTACTGTCGTGGATAGTATGACTCAGTATCTTAAAGCAGTAGTTCTCAATCGGGGGTGATTTCGACTCTTGGGACATTTGGCATTGTCTGAAGACATTTTTGTCATCACACAGAGAGGAAGGTTGTTTATATTAGTGTCTATTAATTAGAAATCAGGGTGCTGCTGAGCATCCTACAGTGCACAGGACAGCCCCCCCCATGACAAAAAAAAATTAGCCCAAAATATCAGTAACGCTGCTGTTGAGATACCCTCTTTTAAAGTTGACATTCTCCTCAAATTAGTCTGTAATTTTAACAAAATTCCAAAAAATGCCAAGTGTTTTTACTTGTGTGGATTGCAGCAACCTGGTTTTAAAATTCATATGGAAATTAAGGATGAAAGGATAAGCAAGATAATTTTTAAGATGAAAAATAAAGTGAAGAAACTAGTTCTGTTAGCTGTCAAGACATACTGTATTGCTGTAGTAATTAATGCAGGTTGAACTGGCCAGAAGATAGGCAATTAAACAGAAACTGAGAATCTAGAAATTTTTTAAGTGGGTTAGATGTGGATCATAATGATTTTATTATTGCTGACCTACTCCCCCAAAATAATCATTAACAGTTGGGCTGGGCGCGGTGGCTCACACCTGTTATCCCAGCACTTTGCGAGGCCAAGGCGGGCAGATCATGAAGTCAGAAGTTCGAGACCAGCCTGACCAACATGGTGAAACCCCGTCTATACTAAAAATACAAAAATTAGCTGAGCGTAGTGGCGCACGCATGTAATCCCAGCTACTCTGGAGGCTGAGGCAGGAGAATCGCTTGAATCCTGGGGGTGGAGGTTGCAGTGAGCAGAGATCACACCATTGCACTCCAGCCTGGGCGACAAGAGTGAGACTCTGTCTCGAAAAAAAAAAAAAAAGAAGAAAAAAAAGTTAAAAAGTTGACTCAACATTTCTCCCTTTTAGCTTTCTTTGCAACCTCCCAAACTTATGGCTCTACTTTGCCTTAAATAAAGTTCCCTGGCAAATAATAAGTAGTAGCTTTTAGAAGTTTTCACACTTCCTAGGAAAGTACAATTTCCAGAACCGTAGGAATTTCTAATAAATAAAAATTTTAATAAAATATAAAATAAAAGCAAAAAGTCTTTGAAAGTTCTCTTACTGAATTTTTAATACTGCTCCAAGAGATTATGGTACCTATGAAAGCACTATTTCCAAGTGTAGACTATAGTATAAGCTTTAGAAAATAATAGGGAGAAAAGAAAAATGAGATGTCCCTATTAATTAGGAAGTTTTGAGGAAGTCTGATAACTATTACAAATCCTGAGTATTCTATTTTGATTTCCAAAGGTTGGGAATCTGCCTGTAACAATAAGAAACTGGTGAAAAACACTGGCTATCTTTATGCTCAGAATGAAAACACCAGACTTTCCAAAACAATGAAAAAACAAGACTTTATTATAGTATCTGCCCTAATTAAACTGAAATGTGGATTTCATTTACACATTCTCAATATTTTGCACAGTCAGTATTGAAAATGGAATGAAACTTGGAGCTCCCGTGAAATAGATCTTTTAAAATACAAGCATCCTCCATAAATAATTAAATTGCATTTTCTCTACTAGACTATCTTGCTAAAATGATGATCACAGAATTGGAAATGGTAATTTTTAATGGCTACCACATTAATAAAAAATTTCCTAGACCTACCTCATTCAGCAGGAGACATATTTCTAGCTTGTCTACCATCAGTCCACTCTAAAGCTGAATGGTGATGCCTTTAGATAATCAATATTCTGTTCTTTGCATTAAAATGAATAACAGAATCTTAACTAGGTAAAGCAACAGGGTTTTAGTCTGAATTTTAGAAATAAGCTTTCTTTACCATTAAGTGTATTTTTTCAGGGAATAATCTTAAATAATATAGCCATTTTATTTTAGTTTTATATTTTCCAATTTGAAAGTTTGATACCTAGTCTTTTATAAAAGAAGTTGATTAATGGGTACAAAAGTCGAGTTAAGTAAAAGAAATTCTAGTATTTGATAGAACTAGAGAAATTATAGTTAACAGTAATTTATTGGATATTTCAAAATAGCCAGAAGAGAATTGTAATGTTCCCACCACAGAGGATAACTGCTCAAAGTGATGGATATCCCAATTACCCTGATTTGATCATTATGCATTGTATTCTAGTATCAAAATAGCACATGTGCCCCCAGTATATGTACAACTCTGACATGCCAATTTAATTTTTTTTAATTCAGAAAGCCTTATTCTGAAAATACAAAAGTGTTGCAATGATGAAATATCAATTATTGTGATCTTTTGCCACAAATGCATACAAAAGAAGGTTTGAGAACTGGGCAATTTAAAAAATACAGTATTTACTAGATACTGTGGAGTTTCTAACCGTAACTGGACTAAGAGTGTTTTGTCTGTAAATCAGAATATACATGCAGTTGAGACATATATGTAATAAAATATAACCAAAAGTATATAAATATAAGCATTTTATTATATATGCATATATGCAATATTATTGGCCAAATATTTATTACATATACAGTTACATACACATATATAATAAAATACTTTTGCAGCAGAGTAGACAAATGCCTTTATTTTGGCCAGAGACAAAATTAGTGGCATAGCTAAGACCAGGACCCCAGGTTCCCCTAGGGGATCCTCCAGGTCTCTTTGTATTGGACACAGACGTGTGCATTTATTTTCCCAGTCACATAATTAATACTCATGGTATTCAATAGGCTGTGTGCTTTCAGAAGGCAGAGACTAAAATATATTTTTTACTCTGTGTCCTCAATTCCCAGGACAATGTCTGTTCGACAAAAGGTGAGCGCTGAGTGTTTGGGGTTTTTTGTTTGTTTTTTGTATTTTTTGAGACAGGGTCTCACTTTGCCACCCAGGCTGGAGTGCAGTGTTGCACACATGGCTCACTACAGCCTCTACCTCCCAGGCTCAAGGGATCCTCCCACCTCAGCCTCCCATGTAGCTGGGACTACAGGTGTGCACCATCACACCCAGCTAATTTTTGTATTTTTTGTAGAGACGGGGCCTCACTATGTTGCCCAGGCTGGTTTCGAACTCCAGAGCTCAAGCAATCTGCCCACCCCAGTCTTCTAAAGTGTTGGGATTACAGGCATGAGCCACTGTGCCCGGCCTGTGTTTGTTGCCTGAACTACTGGGAGCAGTGTTTCACAGACCACTTTCACACTCATTAGTCTATGTATTACTTATAAGGGTGTAGTATGTATTTGGTTTTGAATCTGTGGGACTCATTTTGCATTTACAAAGTTAACAAGGAAAGAAATACCCAGTAATCATAAAAGGACTTTAAAAAATAATGATAAATTAATATTCTGCAAAATGAATATCTAAATCCAGTGTTACTATTTTTATTTGTAAAGAATAATCACTTAGATATTATTCTAAGACAATTTTAGAAGGGAAGTTACCTTCTTGATTTTTCCCCTTCTCTGTAATCATTTAGATCAGGAATTGGCAAACGGGTCAGGAATTAATAACCTCTTGCTTTGGGTGAAATCCAGACCACTAGTCTATTTTTGCATGGCAGTGAGCTAAGAATGTTTTCTTTACATTTTTAAAAGGTTGAAAAATAAAAAGAATATTTCATGTCATATAAAACTTGTATGAAATTCAGATTTCATATCCAAAAATTTTTATTGCAACCCAGCCATGCCTGTGTCTGTGGCTGCTTTCACACTTGGTGGCAGAGTTAAGTAGTTGCTGTGAGAAGCTGCATGGCCTGCACAGCTTACTGTATGGTCCTTTACACAAAATGTTTGCCCATCCCTGATTTAGATTCATGGTAGTCTCTGTGCTCTCAAAATATTGAAAATGTTAAGTATTCTGTTAAGCTCTATGATGTTAGTTTCAAATTGAGATAAGAGATCAGAGTTAATTTTGCCCGTATGTTAATCAGAATAATTTTAATGGTTTCGGTTGTTGTTCTTTAGGACTAGTGACACAATAGTCCTTTCCCAAAAGGAGCACCTCCCAGTCACTCAGATTGTGATGACAGACACAGGCCAACCACATTCCGAAGCAGATTATACACTGGGGCCACTGCTCTGCCGCGGAGATAGTAAGTAGTGTCAAGAAAAAGCTTTATTTTCATAATAACTTTTTTTGGTTATAAAGGGGTAGACAAATGCCCTTGTTCTTGCCAGAAAGAGAATAGTGGCAGTACTAGGACTGGGGCGAATATCAGGAAAACACACATACCATAAAGGCACAGTCAGTACTGAAGATCTGTGTTTCCTTACTGAAGCATTAGTTTATAGAAAATGAATCATCTTTGTTTTAACTTATTACTTGCTTGGCTGGATTTATTATCAATTGATTGTATTTTTTCCAGAACAATCATGAGATGAACTATTTTCTGAATGCTAAGGGATATTTATTCATTGCCCTTATACTCTTCAGACAACTATAGTGGTAGGAAATTATTGGACACTCTCTATTTTCTGACCTCTGTACATACTGTTTTACATTACATGGCACCGAATGTGTATTAATCTCTTTCCTGCAGCATTTTCGTTCATGGGTGGCTTTCATGGTCAAGTCCTCACTCCCCCACCTCAGTGGCACTATAAGCCCAGGGTTCTTAGAGGATCTACCTACTGGGTAGCACGGGAACCACAACTAAGCTAGTAAAAATCTTCTTTCCCTGAGAAAAATTGTAATAGTGTTTCTTACCCACTAGCATCATACATTGCCGTGGAGAAGTCTGAGACTAAATGTATTTTTATTTCCTGTTCTACCTCAATGTGTGGGGGCTACTTCTGAGAGGGGTGGTTCAACAAGGAGCCTGAGCCTCTCTGTACATTCTTGCCGAGTGTGCCAGATGGTGTGGTGTCTCCATCCCCTAATACCAAGCAGTTTCTGTAGCCAATCGTGTAGGCAGCTAAGTAGTTCAAAGAGAACACAACATCACTATCGATGTGTACTCACTCCCCAGAGAGGGCGGGGACCGGCTTGTCTCCTGCTTGATGAAGGAGTCCCGGACCCTTGTCTGGGGGCTCCTCATCTGAGATGCAAACCTACCCACTGTGTGTGTAGCATCCACCTGGGCCAATGGATTGTGTTGCCCTGTGAAATTTGGAGATAAGGGGAACCAATGCAAATATTCTGACACTCATGCTGCATGCTGTGCTGTGAGCAATAAAGTTCTTTAACTCTGACCCAGAAATTTTGTGTTTTCTATCAGCATCCATTAATCTGTGGCAAGCTAAATTGTTAGCTTGCAAGTAGGGTGAAATCTCAGATTCTTCACAGCTCTTGACAGATATGTTATCCTTCAATTTCAAAAACTTATCCAGAATATGCCTTAGCGTTAATTATTCTGTTATTTTTTTCTAAAATGAAATATGCTTATTTTGACCGAAATATTCTGTTCTCTTTTAAGAAAAAATGGTTTTTATTATGCTTTGAATACTTTGTTTCATTTGGTGGATTCTCTTCATCTAGGACTGTTGACTTGTTTCCTTTGCCCCCCATACATTTTTTCTGTTTCTTCCAATGGCTTTAATCTCTTTGTCCTTCTCCTATGCATTCAATATGATTATTCTAAGCTTTTCCCAATGTCAGTAATTTGTTATCAGCTGTGTTCTCCATTTCCAGATATTTCCGATTTCTCTGTTACCTCTGTGATTTTGTTTGGGTCTTTGATTTTTTTTCCTTAAAAATCATCTTTTCTGTTT
This sequence comes from Homo sapiens, assembly GCF_000001405.40. Classification (NCBI taxonomy): domain Eukaryota; kingdom Metazoa; phylum Chordata; class Mammalia; order Primates; family Hominidae; genus Homo; species Homo sapiens. The sequence goes on along the minus strand of NC_000009.12, from coordinate 41,927,698 downwards.
ATCTCATATTTTAGCTCTTATTTTACTGAATTGGTTTTTATATTATTCCCATAGTGTGAAACTCTTATGAAATTTTTCTTTCCTTGTGTTCTCTCTTAATTTCCTTCCTCCATCCCATTCAGATGGCTCCTTCCTTCCTTCCTCCCTCCCTCCCTCCCTCTTTCTCTCCTTCCCTTCCTCCCTCCCATTCAGTCTGGCTTTTATACTCCTTCCTTCCTTCCTTCCCCACTCCCTCCCTCCCTCTCTTCTTTCTTTCTCTCTCTTTCTTTTCTTTCTTTTTCTTTCTTTCTTTCCTGTCTTCTTTTTTTCTTTCTCAGTATGTTTGCACTGTTTCTGTGCTTTTTGAAACATTGTTTATACTTGTAGTGTAAGTCTACACTACAGGTCTGTCTGGCAGGTCTGTCCAGACATTTAATTCATTTATATGGAATGGAGTTGAATTCTTCTCGACATTCATCTCTTCACAATCAGACACATACTTCTTGTCCCTTCTGAACTGCAATAGCAGGACTAGAGTTGGTCATCCTATCAATATTTTTTCCCATAATCTAAGAGCTCAAGGGAGGGATCTGTTGAATTGTATCTGATTTACTGGCCATTCTCTGTGCTGTTTTATCTTCAAGAATTATTAAATGTCCTGTGCCAGGCATCACACTGAAGCATGGAGGGTATATCTGCAGGCTTCAGATGCCTCCCACAGTTCAGTAATAACCCCTGGAAATTTGTAGCTTTTTCCCCTGCCTATTGATACTCTGACATCAAACACTGGTTTCTAGGTACTCTGTACTTCTCAAAAACATTTTCTAGATTATTTTCTCTCTGGAAATTTACCTCAGCCCTTCATTTCTCTCCAAATGTGGCTGTATTTGTGAGACTCTTCAGGATATGTCATTCACCTTCAGTTTATATCCTACTTTCAGCAAGACTTCTGAAAGTATGGAGAAGAGAAAGTGTGATATTTGAAATATTCCCTTCTCTTTTTGGGAGACTGAGATGGGAGGATGGCTTGAGCCAAGGAGTTCAACACAAGCCCGGACAAGATGGTAAGACCTTGTCTCTTACAAAAAAACTAAAAATTAGCTGGGCATGGTGGCCTGTAGTCCCAGCAACTAGGAAGGCTTAGGTGAGATGATCTCTTGAGCCCAGGAATGTGAGGTGGCAGTGAACTATGATCATGCCACTGCACTCCAGCCTGGGTGACAAAGTGAGACCTCATCTCTAAAATAAATAAATAAATTGATTAATGAAGAAAGAAAGAAAAATAAAATATTCTCTTCTGTAAAACTTGTAGCTTCCTCTTCGTTTCTCTTTTCCTTTCCTTATCTTCATCTCTGTTTTCTTTAACATAACACTTATTGATTCTTTTCCCTTCTTTTGGGGCAGCTGGGACTAGGGGATCTGCAGGGATAGGGTCAAGGAATGACCACTGGGTTAGAAGCTAGGTTCCACACTGGGGAATGAGCAAATATGTAAAAAAAGTGAGGAGCATAGGAGTGACCTCACTGAGGAAAGAGTTATACATGTGGGAAGGAGGAAGACTGTAATGAACCCTGTGGTGCTGGGTTAAAAACGGAGGTATCCACATGAACTCATGGATTTTAATATACATAATAGATAACTGTAGAATACACATAGAAGAGAGAGACTGCGTGTGTGTATGTGTGTGTGAGAGAGAGAGAGAGAGATACAAATACACATATTTCCTAGCTGACTACTGAGAGGGCTAGAAGCAATGACACCCTAGTAAATAGCCTGCAGATCTGGGCTTCTAAACACCATTTTCTGTCATTCTCTGCTAAAAAAGAAACCACGACTCCTTGAAGAAATGGCTGATTCCAGAAATGTGGCAGAGAAAATTTAAGATGAGCCTGGATCATTTTGTTATGACAAAGGGGAAAAAAAAAGCTGAAAAAGGCATGGGTGTCAGCTTAAAGGAGCTGCCACATTTGAGACAACTTAAGCATCAAAATAAGTTATAGAGTATAAACCATTGAATAGAATACAAATTCAAGAGTGACGTGAATAAACAAATGGATAAATACACAAATAAATTAGTAAAAGATCAAGAGAAAAGCTATTTCTTGGTTTGTTTGTTTGTTTGTTTTTGAGATGGAGTCTCGCTCTGTTGCGCAGGCTGGAGTGCAGTGGCAGGATCTCGGCTCACTGCAAGCTCCGCCTCCCGGGTTCACGTCATTCTCCTGCCTCAGCCTCCCGACTAGCTGGGACTACAGGCACCCACCACCATGCCTGGCTAATTTTTTGTATTTTTAGTAGAGACGGGGTTTCACCGTGTTAGCCAGGATGGTCTGGATCTCCTGACCTCATGATCCGTCCGCCTTGGCCTCCCAAACTGCTGGGATTACAGGCGTGAGCCACTGCGCCTAGCCGAGAAAAGCTATTTCTAACGTAGGCATGTCAACCAATTAATGTGGAAGGAATGACAGAGCTTAGAAAATCACTATTGGCAGCCATCAGAATAAAAATTCAATCAGGAGCCATCAATATATTGTAAAACCATTGGATGAAAAAATTTTAAACTGGGTAAAGTTGTGTTTCTGTAACCTTAAAGTGTCAAAAATACATGAAAAAAGAGAAAAATAATAACTTCATGTTGGAGAAACTGGACAAATGCCACTTTACAAGGCAGTTGAAACTAACAGGACCAGTGATGGGCTTATCAGCATTGCTGCCTGCTGCTGCGACACACTGAGGAGAACACAGCAGCCCTTCTGTGGTATTTTTGACAAAAATGCACAACATGAATCCAATCATGAGTATGTCAGACAAATCCAAGTTGAGGAACATTCTGAAAGTCAACTGAAAAATACCAAAAAGTCAAAAGTACACAAAAGATAAGAAAAGACTCACACACTGTACCAGAATAAAGGACACTAAAGAGGCCTGAGTAATACATGTGATGTGCAGTCCTGTGATGGGTTTTGGACAGAAGGGAACAAATAAGCTTCTTCTTGTTCTTGATTGTTCTTGCCATGAAAGGAATTAAGACTGTGTGTGTGTGTGTGTGTGTGTGTGTGTGTGTGTGTGTGTGTGTGCAGGAAGGAAAGCAAGAGTCTGTGTTCTGGCTTCTGGAGTCATTTTTCCAACTACCTCCTTCAAATCTCCACTTGGATGCCTAATAGATATCTCAAATGAAACATGTCCCAAACTGAGCTGCTGCTCGAACCTGCTTCTTTAGAATTATTTCCCTTCCCAGTTAGACCAAAAACCCCAAAGTCACCTCAGACTCCACCCTTCTTCTCACATCTTACCGAGTTCTTCAGTAAGTTCTGTTGGTCGTACCTTTGAGGTGATTCTGAACTTGACCCTGTCCCTACTGTGTTGCTGCGCGATCCCCTGACTGGTCTCATTGCTTTTGCTTCGCTTTTGTTTGGCCTTCTCTGAACACAGAATTCCAATCCTCAGCGTAATCACCATTTAGCTCTTGATGTCATCAGTATATGACATGGATGCTCAGAACCCCCAGTGAAAGCTCATATACATTCTATTAATGTATTTAGCAGTCATAATCCTGTAAGTATCAAATGTAGCTGTTATTTTTGTTTCATGACTTTTTTTCCTTTTGTCGTTTTCTCTATTGTAAACAGAGTCATTTTGGAATTCAGCTTCCTTCAACACTGAGACTTCATACCTTCATTTCCCTGCTTTCCACGGAGAACTCACTGCTGACGTGTGCTTCTTTTTTAAGACCACAGTTTCCTCTGGGGTGTTTATGGAGAACCTGGGGATCACAGACTTCATCAGGATTGAGCTGCGGGGTAGGCTGGCCACTCTGGACAAGTCACAGGGTACCCATTATTTAGCAATAAAAGCTTTAACTCAACAAAATGGTAGTATTTCATTCTTACTTTGTGATTCTATTTCATTATAAAACACTAAACTTCTATGATTTTAGGTAATTTTTTGTTTTTGAGAGAGGGAGAGAGGATTTTGCTGTGTCACTCATGCTGGAGTGCAGTGGCATTATCTTGGCTCACTGCAACCTCAGCCTCCTGGGTTCAAGCAATTCTCCTGCCTCAGTCTCCTGAGTAGCTGGGACTATAGGCACGCACCACCATGCCCAGCTAATTTTTGTATTTTTGGTAGAGGTGGGGTTTTGCCATGTTGACCAGGCTGGTCTTCAACTCCTGGCCTCAAGTGATCCGCCTGCCTCGGGTTCCCAAAGTGCTGGGATTACAGGTGTGAACTGCCACACCCAGCCAGTAATCATTTTTAAGAGAAAATAAAACAATGAAGCATGAAGCACGTAATAATCCATTAAAATGTCATGCCTTCCCTAGAGTACTGAACAGCAGAGCCAGAGCTTTAAACCAAACTCATCACATTGTTTACTGAATTCCAAAAATATTTGACCAGACATATTGTTTTTTATGTACCCAAAGCTTAATTTATGACTGTCAAAATTTACATTCAGTGTTTATAGAATTAGATGAGACTTTGAGCCGTTTGTAAATAAAATTACTGAAACCTCAAAAACAAATACTATTTGGTATTCTAGCTATGGGTACATAGCTATGGGTAGTCCAGCTATGGGTACATATCTCTACTATTTAGGACTTAACAAGGTTGAATTGTGAACTCTGAGGATAAATATGTTAAAATCCATTCTGTTTTCCTCCAGGATACAGATTTATTCTGCCCCCACCCCAACTCACAGTCTTGTTTTTCTGCATCGCCGTCATTATCTCCTTCCATCCTGAGCGTGCCTTCATGTTTTCCTGTGTCTGCACAAGACTCAATTTTCTGTGAATTTGCTTGAGCAATATTCATATCTAATATTTCTAGCTCCCACAGAAGTGACATTTTCCTTCGATGTGGGGAATGGACCTTGTGAGGTCACGGTGCAGTCACCCACTCCCTTTAATGACAATCAGTGGCACCACGTGAGGGCAGAGAGAAATGTTAAAGGAGCGTCTCTTCAAGTTGATCAGCTTCCTCAGAAGATGCAGCCTGCCCCTGCTGATGGGCACGTTCGTTTACAGCTCAACAGCCAGCTCTTCATTGGTGAGTGCTGGTGGTTTATAACTGAATTTAGTGTGAGTCCAGAGAGGGACCAAAAGAAAATAAGAACTGTGATGTACTGAGAGCAACAGTTGCCAACAACTACTGCTTATTGGTACTATTTGCTGATAACCTGGTAGGTTCCAGGAGCTTGCTGTGTGCTTCTTATGTGACATTTCTTTTGTTTGTTTGTTTTTGTTTTTATTTTTGTTTTCAGACAGAGTCTCACTGTGTCGCCCAGGCTGGAGTGCAGTGGTGCAATCTCAGCCCACTGAAACCTCCACCTGCCGGGTTCAAGCGATTCTCCTGCCTCAGCCTCCTGAGTAGCTGGGATTACAGGCGCAGGTGCCACCACGCCTGGCTAATTTTTGTATTTTTAATAGAGACACAGTTTTACCATGTTGGCCAGGATGGTCGTGATCTCTTGACCTGATGATCCACCCACCTCAGCCTCTCAAAGTGCTGGGATTACAGGCGCGAGCCACCGGGCCCTGCAGTATCTCAGTGTTTAGGTATCAATGTTTAGGTATTGTCATCTGTTTACAGATGAGATAGCCAAGCCTCAGAGAAGTGGAGTAACCAGCTAATGAGAGAGATCCCAGGATAGCCGACCCCCAAACTTGAACCATTCACATTGCAGAGGATTGGCATATGTGACAGCTATATTTTATCAACACTATTAGTGAGATCATTAGACATTTTTATCCATTCCTTCAGTTTCACTTCTCGGTGGAGTTAGAGAGCTTGTAATTGGGACAGAAGTCCTCCAGGGTCCACTCAAAACCAGATCGCAGGATACCCGCTGATTGGAAGCAGCACTGCGCACCTCCCCCGCGGCCAGGCTTCCAGGAGCCCACTCCCGGTTTTCCTCGCTGCTGTTCTCACTTCTGGGGCTCTCTCATCACAGGCTCCTTGTTTATAACCCGGTCTGGCTCATCTGTTCTTGCACTCCATTTATTTAAAGGTGATAGCTCTGGAAGTCTTTCCTTTAGTTTGCTTACTTACTGTTTTATCACTGTTGTTTATTTTTCCCCTTGGGAAAAATATATTTTGCTATATTGCTTTTGAAACTATTCTAACGTAGGAGCTACACAGATTAAAGCTCTCACTTGTTCATTCTTAAGTGTTTTAAAGCGAATAAGGATGCAATCTAATTAAAACTGGACTAAATCACAAATTATCACCCAACCTAATTTACAGGGGAGGGTAGATACAACTTCCAGGTACTAAATGCTACACGTGAACCCACGTATGTATGTGGATGTGGATGGGGTGTTATACCATGACTTCCTAAAACCTAGCTTCAGGCGTGGTTAGCTCTTCTATTAAGGTGCAGTGAGGCTTTTTCAAAGGACATGAAACCATCAAACTACTGGAAAGGAGGACTACACGGAGGGGTCAAACCAAGAACTTGATTTTCTCACTTGTAATCTTGGAGATTATTTAAGGGAATGCCTAGAAACACAATTAGCATAAAATTCACCTAGAATCAGCATTCATTGCGGTGGATGAAGCACTGGCTTCAGAATCACCCACAAAGCTGATTGATAGTTCAGATTTGGGGCCCCCACCTTAGGCCCACCGAATTGGAATCTCTGGGAGGAGGCTAAAAACTGCATTTTCCAGAAACTCTAGGTAATTTCCATGCTCCTAACATTGAGAATTGTCGCCTTCATAATGGTGTTTGTCACTACACAGGTGTTGTAAACCTCTCTAAATGGTTTCTTCAGCATTCAAGTTTGACATGACAAAATGTGCATGCATGCAGTATTCAATTACTGTTTAGCACTGTACCCTCTGAGAGGAGGAGATCCTGGGGTATGGTGTCACCCCTTCCAACTTCCCCTCCTTTGCTTATCCATTTCCTTTCACACTTTATTTTTAGAGTCCATCCAAGTAAGAAATTTATCCATATATATTTTTATTATTGTGAAAAATTTGGAAGTTCATACCTAACCATTATAATGCACATTCTTATTCATAAAGAAATTAAAATAATGTTTGATGAATGCACATTCTTATTCCTAAACAAAGTAAAATAGTGTTTGATGTGGTTTATATTATGTATTTTGTTCTTTGTAAAGGAACTAAAGTGAAATTCTTTCTTACCTGAAGTTAAGGAAATGTTTTTAGAAGGACTATTTGCCAGACTCACCATGTTTGAAAGTTATGTAAATAAATGTTTTATTCAATGTCATTTAAAGCTGCATATCTCATAACAGTTATATTTTCAAAATTGTATATGTTCACAAAATTTTTTGACACATTGTGATTATTGCCACTCTCCATAAGGCCTGAGTTTGACATGGACATAAAATCCTGAATAAAATACCAAGGAACACATTTCTATTTGCAGTGTTTCCGTTGTAGGTGGAACGGCCACCAGACAGAGAGGCTTTCTAGGATGCATTCGGTCTCTGCAGTTGAACGGGGTGGCCCTGGATCTGGAAGAAAGAGCCACAGTGACGCCAGGAGTGGAGCCAGGGTGTGCAGGACACTGCAGCACCTATGGACACTTGTGTCGCAATGGAGGGAGATGCAGAGAGAAACGCAGGGGGGTCACCTGTGACTGTGCCTTCTCAGCCTATGATGGACCGTTCTGCTCCAATGGTAAGTGTGACCAAGGAGCAGGTTATAGGGAAAGTACATGAAACTTAAATAGTATGAAGAATGCTTCTGGCATTTGATATTATAAAGAGAGGATAAGATTGAATTATTTGAAATGGAATAATTTCTGTACCAAATTCCTCTATTGAATTTAGAAGGGATATGACTGTTTTTGAAAACTTAAGGCTATCAGTCCTCTCTGGGTTTCTTATTTAGAAGATCTCTGGGTTACCCCAGCATCTGTTCAATGCTAATCCTCTCGAAATAATTTGGTTTTCAAAACTCTGTCCTTGTACTGTTCTAATTTTAACATCAGTAAAGCATCATTCTTATTTTTGTTTTTAATTTTTAGAGACAACGTATTGCTATTCAAGCCTCTCTGTTGCCCAGGCCGGACTTGAACTCCTAGGCTTGAGCAATCGTCTTACCCATTGTCCCTTGTGACAGTGACTTTAAGTGATTCAAAAGGCCTTTATAGAAATGTCTTTTCTTATAAAACAAGCATACTAACTAGAAGGGGAAAAGAATATTTAAATATTGACAGTCATTAACAGGATCACTCAAACACTTTGCTCTATGATGTTTGACTCTTCTTAGAGGAGTGCAGTGGGGTATCACACAGCTTCTGCTCAGGTACAATCATGTTTTCAAAAGAAAAGGGCTGGGCGTGGTGGCTTATGCCTGTAATCCCAGCACTTTGGGAGGCCAAGGCAGGCGGATCACGAGGTCAGGAATTCAAGACCAGCCTGGCCAACATGGTGAAACCTCATCTTTACTAAAAATACAAAAATTAGCAGGGCATCCCAGCTACTCGGGAGGCTGAGGCAGGAGAATTGCTTGAACCCGGGAGGCAGAGGTTGCAGTGAGTCGAGATCGCACCACTGCACTCACTCCTGGGCGACAGAGTGAGACTCCGTCTTGGGGAAAAAAAAAAAGAAAAGGAAAAAGGGACTGATTTTAGTATTAAGTACTCTGTACTGACTTATTTAATATATTTATAATACTTTTATGAAACCTCTTACAATATTGAATCATCAGAGCTAAAATGTAATTGTGTGTTTAAGTGTCTCTGGGCTGTTACACTTACTATTTTTAGCAGCAAAACAGGCTTTAATCACTATAAATTGTGTGACTTTCAAAAGAATTTTGAGGATTCATTATCTAGAAGTCATTTAAATTTTCAGAAGTTCTTGCATATGTCTTTTATTAGTCCTGAAGATCTCTGTGCTCACAAATCTCATAGCTCTGGTGCAAATACAGAGCTCTTTTTATATCTCAAGCCAACATCAGGAGTAACCACTCCTTCATGAGCACAAGTGCTGATTTCTAAATCATTCCCAATCCACATTTGCTAAGTGCAATTTGAATGTTATTTTATAACCCAAAATTTTCTTAAGGATAGACGTTATATGGTAAGTAAATGGAAAATGGTCCTCCAGTGGCTGGGGCATATGTTATAGTTAGATTACCTAATCTAATAAGAATGATCTGGATTTTCAGTAAATTCTTTATATTTTATGGAAATGGAAAGAGTGGAGTAGTATTCCAAGACAGTGATCATCACCCAACATTTTCTTTTTATTTACAGATATATTTGGGGGGTGTGTGTATGTGTATGTGTGTACTAAACACATTTTTGGAATTAACTTGATATAAAATTAAAATATCAACCTTTCATAAAGTGTTTTAAGAGAAGCTGAAAGCCCTTCAACTTTTCTCTCTCAGAATACTGTAGATACCACTTTGGATTAGCCTTTCTATCCAGACAGTAAATTTGAGAAACATCTTTGGCATAAAAGAACATTTCTAAATTCTGACCTTGAAGGAGGGTTGGTCTTCAAATCACCTTTTCTCTAGTTACTTCAGGAGCTCTGTTTCATGCTTCCTACAAAGTAAATCGATTTTTAAAGAGGAGGTAACATTCAAATAAAAAACCTGGTACTCTGGCATTTCCAGGCTGGCCACATAAGGAGCTCTGTAAACCCTCTCTCATACGAAACAGGCATAACTAGTAAAAATTATTATTTTAAAAAACAACTATTGAAAGTCTTTAGAAAATGTCCTAAGGAAATACATCAAATGAAGAAACATTTATTAATCAGTAATAACAGTGAGAGTTTGAGGCATTTAAGCCAAGACCCTCTCCCTGCACCTCCCCATCCCTAGCTCAGTATGACGGAAGCTCCACTCTATATGGATATAGCCAAGAAGCCAAAGGTTTCCTCTCTACCCAGGTCCTACTACAGAGATACTGCATTACCCCAAGATTGGGTGCCAGCATTTCTTGTCATCCCCAGTTTTGTAGGACAGAAGCTCTGTTCACGCAGAAACAGCTGAGAAGTCTGGGGTTTCCTTCCTACACCAACTCCTCATTCCAGGACATAAGGTCTTCAGGTGTGGCAGCTGGAAAAATCCTGTGTCCCAATTGCCCTCACTCCAGCTTACTTGTAAGGAACAGTTTCTCCACCAGGAGAGGCAAGGCAAGAAGTTACCTTTCCCACCCTGTGCCCTACTTGTAAGCAGAGGTTTTACTACAAAGGAGCAGGCCACTCTCACTCTCCACAGCTTCAGAGCAGTGAGGCACATTTAACCAAGAGGTAGAGGGAGGCCATGAAAATACACAGCTTGGTAGCCCTCCCCAAGTGAACTGATTTCTATTTGGAACAGAGCATGGATCAGTTTAAGCTAGTGGTATGAAGATATTGGCAGTAAGCAATTAAGAGAATGTTGATAACTCTAAGAGAGTAATGAGTTAAGCCAGGGAAGTTTAACAGAGAAAAGAAAAAAGAATCAGCAAACTTGAAGCAAGATCAGTAGAGATTATGTATCCTGAAGAATACAGAGAAATAATAATGAAAAAAATAAACAGATCATCAGAGAAATATCAGACATAACTAAGCACACCAACATATACGTAATTGAAAATACCAGGAGAGAGAGAAAGGATCAGAAAAAAATATTTGAAAAATAATGGTTGAAAACATCCCCAAATTAATAAAAATCATTAATCTAAGATACAGAAGCTCAGTGAAATACAGATGACACAAAGAAGTTTATATCCAGACACATCTTATTAAAAACTTTGAAAGCCAAAGTCAAGAAGGAAATTTTAAAAGCAGTAAGAGAAAAATCATATATACAAGGAAACGCCAGGATCAACAGCTAACTTCTAATCTGAAAGAATGGAGGCCAAAGGACAGTGAGATAACATATTCAAAGAGATGAAAGAAAACCATTGTCATGAAGAAACTTACACCCAGCACAACCATCTTTCATGTTCAGTAGCACAGGATGACTATAGTTAACAATAATTTATTGTATATTTCAAAATAACTAGAAGAGTGGAACTGGAATGTTCCTAACAAAAAGAAATGATAAATGTTTAAGGTGATGGATATCTCAGTTACCCTGATTTGATCATTACACATTGTTTGGTTGTATCAAAATATTACCTCTACCCCATAAATACATACAACTATTAGGTATTCATAAAAACTAAAAATTATAAAAGATAGTAAATATATCCCTACTTACAAAAAGCAGAGAATTCACTGCTATTAGCCTGCATTAGAGGAAATAACAAAGAACGTTCCTTCAGGTTGAAGGGATATAACCCAGACAATAATCTGAATCTACACACAAAAAACAAATAGCACTAATAAATGTAAGTGTGCAGGTAATTATAAAAGAAAGTATAATGTCATATTTCTTACCCTTTTCAGTGCTTAACTATTTTAAAAAGCAATGTATAAAACTATAATAGAGAATATACAAATATATAATGTATATATTTTCATTGTTGGGCCTATAGAAATATATTACAAAAAAACAGCACAGAGGAGACAGATGGCAGCAAGGCTGTACTGAAATAAGGAATAACACCAAATGGTAACATGAGTCAGAGGAACAAAGAAAGAGAACTAGAAATGGTAAATAAGAGAGTTTATAGACAAAGTCTATAAATATTTATTTGATCTTGTTTCTTTTCTCAGATTTTTTAAAAAGAGAACAAATTATATAAAATAATAATGGGTTTGGTATGCATAAAAATAGTTCCAAAAGAGAAGAAATAGAGCTATGTAGAAATAACTTTTCTAAATCTCACTTGTATTAAGTTAGTGTAAACCTGAAGCAGATTATTGATAAGATATATATAATGCAAGCTTAGAGCAATCACTAAAGAAAATAAAACATTGTCATGAAGTATATTAAAAGGCCTATATACCAAAACCTAGTAGGATTTATCCCAGGATTTCAGGAGTGGTTCAACAAATGAAAATCAGTCAACATATTACACAAGATTAATAGAATGAGAGGGGAAAAAAAAACATGATTATCTTAATTGTTGCTGAAAAAAAAAAACATTTAACAAACTCCAGTAACCTTTCATGATTGAAAAACAAAAACACTCAATAAACTAGGAATAGAAGGGAACTTTCTCAATATGATAAACGCCATATATGAAAAACCTGCAACTAACATCATACTCAATGGTGAAAGCTTCTTCCGTAAAATAAGAAACACAACAAGTATGCCCAGTTTTACCACCTCTATTTATCATAGTACTGGAAGTTCCAGCTAAAGTCATTAAGCAAGAAGAAGAAATAAAAGGCATCCAAATTTCAATAGAAAGGCTATCTCTCTCTCAGATTACCTTATCTTATATGTAGAAAACTCTTCAGAAAATAAAAGCTGTTAAGAGAAAATAAATAAATTCAGCAAAGTTGCAGGATACAAAATTAACACCAAAAATTTGGTTGTATTTCTCTACACTAGCAATGAAAAATCTGAAAGTGAGATTAAGGAAACAATTCCATTTGCAATATCATCAAAAAGAATAAAAAACTTAGAAATAAACTTAACTGAGAAAGTGAAAGACTTAGACATTGAAAACTATAAAACGTTGTTGAAAGAGATTAAAGAAAGAACTAAATAGATGGAAAGACATTCCATATTCATGAATTGGAAAACTTGAGATTATTAAAATGACAATACAACCCCAGCAGATTCAATCTAATTCTTATCAGAATCCCCAAAGCACTTTTTATACAAATGAAAAAGCCCCTATCAATATTTAAATAAAATTTGAAAAAGCCCAGAATAAGCAAAACAATTTTACAAAAGAACAAAGTTGGAGGATTCACCCTTCTTGACTTCAAAACTTACTATAAACTACATTATTCAAAACAATGTGGTACTGAATGAGGATAAACCTATAAATCAATGGAATAGAGCTGAGAGGCCAGAAATAAACCTACATACATACAGTCAATTGATGTTTAACATAGTCTTTGTCAAGATCATTCAGTAGGGAAGTAACAGTCTATTCAACATAAAGGTAGGAAAAGTGGATGTTCACATGCAAAGATTGAAGTTAGACCCTTACCAAAATTAACTCAAAATGAATCAAAGTTTTAAATCTAAAAGCTAAAACTATAAAATTTTTAGAAGATATATAGGCAGATCTTCATGATCTTGGATTTGGCAGTGGTTTTTTAAAAATCACCCCAAAAGCACGGGCAACAACAACAACAAAAATAGATTATTTGGACTTTATAAAAATTAACAACTTCTGTGTATCAAAGAACACTATCAAGAGAGTAAAAAGACAATCCACAGAATGTGATAAAATATTTGCAAATTATGTATCTGATGGAGGTTCACTATCTAGAATATGTTAATAATTTCCACAACTTAACAACAAAAAGTCTAATTGGACAAAGGACTTGATGAGACATTTCTCCAAAAAGATATACAAAGAGTCAATAATCACATGGAAAGATGATACTCGACATCATTAGTTATTAAAGAAATGCAAACGAAAAGTATAATGAGCTGCCTCTTCAAACCTACTAGATTGACTATAAAAATAAATAAATAAATAAATAAAAACAGAAAATAACAAGTTTTGGCAAGAACCTAGAGAAATTGGAACTCTCTTTTGTTACTGGTGGGAAAGTAAATGCCACAGCCACTGTAGAAATTGATTTAGAGTTAACTCAAAATAGTTAAACATAGAATTACCTTCGAACCCAGCAATTCCACTTCTACATATATAACCAAAACAATTGAAAACAAGAACTCAAGCAGATACTTGTATACAAATGTTCATAGTAGCACTAATCACAATAGTGGAAATAATACAAGTGTCCGTCAACACATGAATTGATTAAAAAATGTAGTGTATACATATAATGGTATATTGTTCAGCCATTAAAAGGAATGAGGTTCTGATACATGATACAACATTAATTAACATAGAAGACATTATGCTAAGTGAAATAAGCCAGACCCAAGAGGGCAGATATTATATAACTTCATGTTTACTAGATATCAATAGACAAATTTGTAGAGACAAAGTAGATTCAAGGATACCAGCAGCTGAGATGAGGGGGCAATGGAGAGTTATTGCTTAATGAATAGAGTTTAATTTTGGGAAGATGAAAAATTTTGGATATCAAAAGAGGTGATAATTGCACAACATTGTGAATTTAATTAATGCTACTGAATTTCATATTTTAAATGGTTAAGTGGCAAATTATATATTATATATATTTTACCCCAAAGTATAGTGAAATCAAGAAAGAAATTAAAATGTTACACTCCAAAATATCCACCAACACAAAATAATAAGTCAGAAGGAAAGTGAAAAGAAAACAAATGAAACACATAGAAAAAGAAAAAGAAAATGGCAGATGTAAATCTAACTGTATCAATAATAATATTAAATGTTCATCGATTGAGCAATCCAATCAAAAGACAAATATTGTCAGAATGGATAACAAAAGAAATCTTAACTATATGCTGTCTAAGGACATACAATTTAGATTGAAAGGGGTAATTTAGTTGAAAATAAAAGAAGGGAAAACATGTACCATGCAAAGAGTAACCCTAGAGAGCCAAAGGGACTATACTAATACCAGAAAAAATAAACTCTAAAACAAAAGGTGCTACTAGAAATAGGGAAACTTATATAATGATAAAAAGTTAATTCCCTCAAAAAGATATAACAATTACAAACTTATATGCAGTTAATAATATAGCCCCAAATTGCATAAAGAATACCTGACAGAACTGAAAAGAGAAATAGAAAAACCAGGAATAAAACCTGGAGGATTCAATACTTCACTTTCAATAAAGGATAGAATAATTACTCAGAAGATTACCAAGAAAATAGAGTTGAAAAAAATAAAAACGCAATCATTCTAACACACATCTGTAGAACACACCACTTAACAATAGCAGAATGTATATTCTTCTCAAGTGTTCATGGAACATATTCTAGGTTAGACAACATGCTACCTGTAAATCAAGCCTCAACACATTTAAAAGGATTGAAATCATATGAAGGGACTTTTTAAAACACAATGAGATGAAATTAATAACATAAAGAAATTGTGGAATATCACAAATATGTGGAAATTAAACTATACACTCCGAAATCAAAAGGGAAATTAGAAAAGGTTTTGAGATAAATGAAAGCAAAAATACAACATTACTAAAACATATAGTAACACAGCTAAAGCAGGGTTTAGAGGGAATTTTAAAGCTGTAAACATCAATATTTAAAAAGAAAAATGGTTCCCAAATAAAAAACCTGACCTGCCACCTTAAGACACTGAAAAAAGAAGAGCAAACTAAATCTAATGTAAGGAGAAACAGGAAATAATAAATAAAACAGGAGAAATTTCTCAAATGGATAATATAAAAGTGACAGAAAAAATTAACCAAACCAAAAGTCAGTCCTTTAAAATTGTTAACAAAATTGGCAAACCTTTAGTACAACTGACCAAGAATAAAAGAGATGATTCAAATTACTAGAATGACATATGAAAGAGTGATATTACTACCAACCTTACAGAAATAACATGGATTGCAAGAGAATATAAACAACTGTATGTTGAAAAAAATTACGTAACTTAGATAAAATGGACGAATTCCTAGGATGACACTAACTACAAAATTAACACAAACTACTACTTCTGTTTCAAGAAGGAGGAGAAAATATAAATTGGCCTATAACAATAAAAGGAATGCCTTAATAATATTAAAATACCACAGAAAGTAAAGCCCAGGTCCAGATGGTTTCAAACAATTGATGCTATCAACTATCAGAATATATCAACTATTTAAAAATATATCAACTATTTAAATAAGAAGTATTAATTCTTCAAAACTCTTCCAAAAAATAAAAGAGAAAGGAGCATTTTTCAACTTATTCTGTAAGGTCAGTATTTCCCTAATACCAAAGCCAGACATAGATATACCAGTATATATATTTTAAATCTACAGACCAATATCATTTAAGTAGATAGATGTGAAAACCCTGAACAGAGTATTACCAAAGCAAATCCAGTCACATATAAAAATGACTATACATCAAGACAAAGTGGAAATGATCCCAGAAATGGAAAGTTGTTTTAACAGCTGAAAATCAATTAATATAATATACTATATCTTAGAATAAAGGACAGAAACACATGATAGGCTCTACTGATGCAGAAAAGTCATTTGATAAAATCCAACATCCTTTCATGAATTTTTGTTTAAATTCAGTAAACTAATTATAGACGATAACTTCCTCAGTCTAACAAATGGTATTTTTGAAAAACTCATAGCTAAAATTATATTTAATTTTAAAGACTGAATTTTTTTTCCTAAGATCAAGAATGAGACAAGAATGTATACTCTCACTAGTTCTATTCAGCATTGTACTAGAGGTTCAGGCCAGACTGATTAGGCAAGAAAATGAAAAAAAAAAAAAAAGAAGAAAAACATCCAAATTAGAAAGGAAATAAAACTATCTCTATTTGAGGATGACATGATTTTTTATATAAAAAAATCCCAAAGAATCTACTTAGAACAATTAAAACTAAAACCAAGTTCAACAAAATTGCAGAATGCAAAAACAATATACAAAATCAATTGTATTTCTACAAATTAGCTGTGAACCATCTGAAAATAAAACCAATAAAACAATTTTATTTACAGTAGCATCAAAAAGAATAACATACATAGCAATACATTTAACAAAAGAAATGGAAAACACACTGAAAACTATAAAGCATTGAAAGAATTTAAAGGTAAATAAATGGAGAGATATTTCATGTCATGGATTGAATAATTAATATAAATAAAATACCAGTGTTCTCTAAAGTAATATACAGATTCAGTACAGTTTCAATCAATATCCCAGCTGGCTTCTTTCCTGAAATTGACAAGCTGATTTCATATGAAAATTTAAATGATGCAGAATAGCCAAAACAATCTTTAAGAAGAAGAAATTTGATAGATTCACACTGCCCAATTTCTAAACTTAATGTAAAGCAGTATATAACTGGCCTAAGACTAAACAGATAGCTCATTGGGATAAAATTGAAAGTCCAGATAGATACCTCGCCATTTATGGTCAATGGATTTTACAAGAGTGCCAGGACAACCCAATGGGAAGAAGTAGTCTCTGAGACTACTGAGTATACATGCACATGCAAATGAATGAAATTAGACCTCTATCTCACACATACATAAAAATGTACCAAATAGACCTCAATGTAAGAACTAAAACTATAAAACTGTTAAAACATGGGAGAACAAAAGAGAAGATAACCCACAGAATGGAAGAAATTATTGCAAATCATGTCTCTTATAAGGGTCTAGTATTCAAATTATTTAAAGAGCTTTTACAACTGAATAAGATGCCGTGTGTGGTGGCTCACACCTGTAATCCCAGCATTTTGGGAGGCCGAGGTGGGCAGATCACGAGGTCAGGAGTTCGAGACCATC
Organism: Homo sapiens; assembly: GCF_000001405.40. NCBI lineage: Eukaryota > Metazoa > Chordata > Mammalia > Primates > Hominidae > Homo > Homo sapiens. Next base: position 41,910,289 of record NC_000009.12, on the reverse strand, counting down.
CTGGCTAACACAGTGAAACCCCATCTCTACTAAAAATACAAAAAATTAGCCGGGCGTGGTGGCGGGCGCCTGTAGTCCCAGCTACTCGAGAGGCTGAGGCAGGAGAATGGCGTGAACCCAGGAGGCAGAGCTTGCAGTGAGCAGAGATCACGCCACTGCACTCCAGCCTGGGCAACAGAGTGAGACTCTGTCTCAAAAAAACAAAAATAAAAACAAAAAACCAACAACTGAATAAGAAAAAGAAATTTAACCTAATTAAATAATAGGTAAAGCTTATAAGTAAATATTTCTTCAGCAAATATGTGTGAATGTCCAATAAAATCATGAAAAAATAGTTGGCAACATTAGCCAGTAGGCAATCAAAGTCACAATGAAATACCTCTTCACACAGACAAGTATAGCTGTAATTTAAAAGAATGATAATAATAAATGTTGGTGAGGATGTGGAGATATTAAAACCCTCATGATTGCTGTTTGAAATGTAAAATGGTATAGCTATTTTGGAAAAAATATGGCAGCTCCTCCAAATTTTAAAGTTGGTGTTATCATAAGATTGAACAATTTTACTCCTAGGTATATATTCCTAAGAAAAATAAAAATGTATCCATAGAAAAACTTACACGTGAATTTTCATGGAAGCATTATTTATAATAGTCAAAAAGTGGAAACAACCCAAATGTCTATCAACTGTTAAATAGATCCGCAAAATGTGGCACATCCATTACTATTTACATCCAATGAAATATTATTCAATAAAATGCATAAAATACTGACACACGCTACAAGATGGATGAACCTTGAAAATACCATGTTAAGTGAAAGAGGCCAGATTGAAAAGACCACACGTTATATGATTCCACTGATATGAAATCTCTCGAATAGGAACCTCTGCAGAGACAGAAAGTAAATTAGTAGTTGCCTAGGCTGGGGTGTTGGGGAGAAACAGAGAATGACTGCTAGAGGTTATGGAGGTTTTTGTAGGAGGGAATAAGAAGGTGCTCGGGGGAGGGGAGTGAAAATACTCTAAAATTGATCATGGCAATGTTTGCACATGCCTGCAAATATACTAAAAGACATAGAATTTTACACTGTAATTGGGTCTATTACATGGCATATGGATTATATCTGAATAAAGATGTTTAAAAATTAATGATTTGGGAAAAAATTGAAAACCAAAGATGAGATAAGTCACCTATAAATTATACATTTATACTGAAGAATTAGTTATATGTAAATATAAGATGAGGATGATTTGGAGAATTAAAATCTCTATTAAGTGTTAGTCAATTCTGGGTTATGAGTATATTGGAGTTTGCTACTTTTTCTTCAAGTTGTAGTTTTTAAAAAACTTTAAAAAGTGAAAAATAAAAAATAAAACAGGAAAGGATTTCACTATTACTTTATCTCCCAGGATATTTAAGGTTTGGTCTCATTCTCTAAATGTACTTAAAACAAGACCGTTGGACTTACATTTTGTTAACATAACAAAAATGTATTTATCATTTCAGAGATTTCCGCATATTTCGCAACTGGCTCCTCAATGACATACCATTTTCAAGAACATTACACTTTAAGTGAAAACTCCAGCTCTCTCGTTTCTTCATTACACAGAGATGTAACATTGACCAGAGAAATGATCACACTGAGCTTCCGAACCACACGAACTCCGAGCTTATTGCTGTATGTGAGCTCTTTCTATGAGGAATACCTTTCAGTTATCCTCGCCAACAATGGTGAATATCTTTTGTGTAAAGAAAAAGAGAACCCTGAGTTAGAAAAATAGGACTGTAATGACATGGGTCTTTTCAGCAGTCAAACTACAAACGATGAGAGAAAACTGTATGCCCTCCAATGGGTTTGGTTTTTCAGTGCCTCCCTTAATGGTTATTATAAAAGCTAGCATTTCAAGATTAAATTAAGATGCTTTTCTCCCATTACATGTTTGATAATTTAACGGAGTTGATATGCAGTTATATTTCTTATTATTGATAGGATGACTTTAATAGTACATGATGACTCAAATTGGTTTTGCAGTTCATTTTGAAATAAGATATCTAGATACATGACATACATTCCCTCCTCATTCTAAGCAAAATAGAGGAGCATTTATGTGGATGTTATAGTGCAACTATATAAAAGCCAATTCCTATAAGCAACAGATAAGTACAGCTGTTCTTTATCTCGTCAGTGGCTGAAAAACTAGTTATATCACTTTTATAGAAGAAAAGTGTAATGACAGCCTCTCAAACAGTGGTAATTGGGGCGTTGCAAGGTTTTCACAGTTGAACAAGAAGACCAAGCTTTAAGTTTGTTAGGTACACAGCACAAAAATTTCATGTCTAGAAAAAAATCTACAAAATCTCTGATTAGGCTGGACACGGTGGCTCACGCCTATAATCCCAGCACTTTGGGAGGCCAAGGCGGGTGGATCACGAGGTCAGGAGATCGAGACCATCCTGGCTAACACGGTGAAACCCCATCTCTACTAAAAATACAAAAAATGAGCCGGGCATGGTGGTGGGCACCTGTAGTCCCAGCTACTCGGGAGGCTGAGGCAGGAGAATGGCGTGAACCCAGGAGGCGGAGCTTGCAGTGAGCCGAGATCGCGCCACTGCACTCCAGCCTGGGTGACAGAGCGAGACTCCACCTCAAAAAAAAAAAAAAAAAAAAATCTCCGATTAACAGGATCTTAGTATAAGCTAAAAGAGAATTACAGATAATGAGGGTACATCTGTGTAGGAGAGGAGTATGTATATTAGAAGATGTAGATACTATGGAAACCTTGTCTCCTGACAAAACCCTTTCTTGTCCTCATTTTTGGATTATGGCAGAAGACTTAAAATAATCTGGCTATAAAAAATCTTTATGCACATATCAGTAATACATTAAAATGAGCCTTATTAGAAGTTATAATTACAGGAACTGAATGTTGATACAATATTGCATAGAGTTTCATCATTTCATAAATATCAAAGTCATAATGAATTTAGATCTGAGTTCTGAGCTCATATGCATAATTTAAACCTTTTCATTTTTAAATGAAAAGCTTTGGGGAGACTGCTTATTAACAACACATTTAGTCTTGACTTTTAAAATAGCATCATTGGACTCAGAGTCTGGCACAGGAATAGCACCTAAGTAATCACTGTTCCAGGAAAGATAACTATTGGGTGCATCTAAATTGATGCTAAATAGATTCAAAAGTGCTATAAGTAAATAATAATAAAAGTGCTCTAGAATCTGTATCAAGAGTTTTATAAAATACCACTTTAATTTTAAATGCCATTTATTTTTCTTTTTAGGAAGTTTGCAGATTAGGTACAAGCTAGATAGACATCAAAATCCTGATGCATTTACCTTTGATTTTAAAAACATGGCTGATGGGCAACTTCACCAAGTGAAGATTAACAGAGAAGAAGCCGTGGTCATGGTAGAGGTAATCCCACAAATGCAAAAGTCAAACTAACTAATATTATTATTTTGAGAACAAATAATCTAATGAAAAAATTTGATAATAAATATTAATAGAAGAGCAACCCATTCAGTGCTGCTCTTCCATAAGTCAAGAAGAGGCCAAATATGGCCAGGATCTGGGAGAGAGGAGGTGGTTGTTTATTCTGTATTGCTTTGTTTTGTTTGTTTAGCAATGCAATTCCGTCAAAGGTATTATTAATATTTTACTATTTAAAATATCAAAATATCTTTATTTGTTTTACTTTACTCAATAGGGGAATGTTCTCTAGTTTATCATAGTGACTACTGGTGGAATCTATTCATTGATATTGCAGTGGGAACTTGTCTTATTCCGATTATAAAAGAACAAATACTTTAGCAACTTAAAAACACGGTTTAAAAGCACACAACATAGTTATTAAAATGGGAATAAGTAAGAAAATAGACCTGAGTCACCACAGAGGAAGTAAATTACACATTGTCATTGGCATTGGAAGGAAAATATACTGTATAGAGAACAGCAGTGCTTGGTTTTATGTTTCATATTTTCTCCACAGAATGAGTACGTATTTAAGTTTAAAACAGCCAGTTCCATCTTTTTCATGGATTCTGCCAATTATAGATCCTTCCATTATGAAGAAGAGTAAAGCCAGCAAGTGGGTACATCGTGGATAGGGTGGTAGCTGATGGCATCATAGGAATTGCTTATAAAATAGCTTCCCCTTCTAAATGATTAATTATTTGAAGGTGGCTTCTTGAGCTTTTGTAGTGGTACTTAAAAGTGATTTATTTTCATCTTTCCTTTCCTCATCTTCCTTTGCTTCCTTATCATTAAAATTGTACTTTGTGTTGATGTTTGCTTCTCATGGGACATCTAATAGGTTAACCAGAGCGCAAAGAAACAAGTCATCTTGTCCTCAGGGACAGAATTCAACGCCGTCAAATCTCTCATATTGGGAAAGGTTTTAGGTAAGTAGGAGAAAGAGCTTTTTCCCAAAAAATCTAAGTGTCATGTCACAAACTCTGGAAGCATTCATCATGCTGAAAGAAGCTCCTTGTCTTACTTGAATAATAATTTCACAGTGAGTGACAATCAAGGTGCAAACTGTACTCTTGCCTGAGTGTACATATAATCATGAGTAAGTGCTGCCTGTGAGATGTGCAAGGGCGTTCCTGGAAAAATACCTCCACACTTAACCTCTCACTTGGCAATCATGCATAATGAATCACGGTATTTTTCTAACCCTTCTTGAAAAGTGAAATGTTATCAAAGCTGACACGAAGTTCACAGATTATGTATGTATTAATCAACATCAACTCCGGAGACCATCATTCAATGATAAAACTACATTTGAGTTGAACACAAGAGAAAAAACTGGTAATCTTATTACAGCAGATGAATACAGTTTTATTTCTCTCTCAAGCCCTGCTTTGCCTGTTGTTTCCATCCTTTTTGACTTTAGTATCTAACAGGAATGGGGAGGCATATTCATAAATATCTGTTACGCAAGGTAGAAAGTTACAGTAATTGTCTATCATATTGTCTATCATAACCTGTTGTAAAAGCACAGTTAGCTTTACATTTAATAAAGGAACTGAGGAAAGTAATCTTTTTTAAAAAAAACCCATCTTATGTAACTCAATTAAGAAAATGAACTATACTTTAATATTAGGATCAAAAAGTTGAATAATATTTATTATATACATCTTTGTTTCCTTCCAAATAAAGGAGAACATGGAATTGAAGGTGTTAATGTTTTCATTCAAGGATGGTGTATTCAAAGGCATGTAACTTACGGTATAAAAATCTACATTGAAATTCAGCAACGAAGTATATACTCAGAAGCAATTGATCTCAGAAAATTATAAATATTCATTTTGCCTGTCCTTGGAGGTAGAGATAATCATCAAACATTAATAAAACACTTTATACTTTGAAAAACTGTATTTTAGGATTGGTTCTGCTATACATTTTTTGCCACTCTCACATCATTTAGTAATTATACCAAAACTACAACTTTATCTTTAAATTTGGAATTATATAGGAAGTGCTTTCCTTAACTTATAGTAAAATAGACCAACAAGTTGGCTAATAGAGAAGCCACTAATTTTACAAATAAAGTTACCCAAAACACGGTGTTCTAAGTTACCAATATATTTCTCTTGAGTCCCTGTAAATCTTTGATTCATCCCTTCATTTAAAAATATTTGGTGAGCGGCTGGGCGTGGTGGCTTACGCCTGTAATCCCAGCACTTTGGGAGGCCGAGGCGGGCGGATCACGAGGTCAGGAGATCCAGACCATCCTGGCTAACACGGTGAAACCCTGTCTCTACTAAAAATACAAAAAAAATTAGCCGGGCACGGTGGCGGGCGCCTGTAGTCCCAGCTACTCGGGAGGCTGAGGCAGGAGAATGGCGTGAACCTAGGAGGCGGAGCTTGCAGTGAGCAGAGATCCTGCACTCCAGCCTGGATGACAGAGCGAGACTCTGTCTCAAAAAAAAAAAAAAAAAAAAAAAAAAAAAAACTTGGTGAGCATCTGCTATGAACAGTTTATTAAGCACGGAGAAAGCCTCTGAATGAGAGAAACACTATACCTACCCACCCTCACTACACTCACATGTTAATAGGTACATAGGGTAATATATGAGCAATTCTAATAAAATAATGCTCATATCCAGCCTAATTTATTATTATGCACCCTAACAATGCCTTAGAAAAAAATGGCCCAAAATCCATCATAATTAAGATGCTGTTTCTGAGCACCTCAATATGATTTTGCCATTTCTGAGTAGTCTTAGTGAATGAAGACCATTCAGATTGATTATCACAAGATCAATTCAGAGTAAACCTATTTAAATATAAGCTTTTTAGATTTTGAATTTTCTATATAGCTTTGAATTTTATCCAAGAGGTAGCTTTAAAGAATGCAAACACCTAAAATACTTTATAATTCAGTAAAGATGATCCATCATAAATTAAGATTTGTTTTTAGATACTTTGGTATTATTGGTATTCTGTTTTGCTTTGTGTGTGTACATGTGCACATGTATTTAAACACTTTTGAGATGAGTATCACTCTGTCGCCCAGGCTGGAGTGCAGTGGCGCAATCTCGGCTCACTGCAACCTCCGCCTCCCAGGTTCACACGATTCTCCTGCCTCAGCTTCCTGAGTAGCTGGGACTACAGGCATGTACCACCACGCCTGGCTAATTTTTGTATTTTTAGTAGAGACGGGGCTTCATCATGTTGGTCAGGCTGGTCTCGAATTCCTGACCTCGTGATCCACCCGCCTCAGTCTCCCAAAGTGCTGGGATTACAGGTGTGAGCCACCGCGCCCGGCCCCTTAAACACTATCTTAAAAATTACATATATATATCAAAAATACAGAGTGCAAAAATGGAAGATGCCTTTTTGTCTGCTCCCAAAAAGTAAAAAAAGTTAGCCTGTAAACAGTTGCATATGAATACAGCTGAGCTTATATACCTTAGGAGGTATACATTCTAGGCTGAAGAAAAGAAAACCCACTGAAGGACTATATTTCAAATAGAGCTCTAGGTATGTAAGAATGCCAAATAGTTTTGGTAATTAAATATTTCTGGAAATTGCCTTTTGAGTTTTGTAAGGAGATGTCACATAAGACATACAGTTTTAACATTTAAAATTCATCAACCTATGTATTTTATATTACTTCTATGCTATGGTGTTTGTCTCATTTAGAAGAAATGTTTTATGTTGGGTCTGGGATTTGATTTTACCTGATTTACGAGCTAGGAAGTTAACAGCTTTTAACTGTTTTGTGGATGCTGTCCTGGTACAGAGACAAAGGACCCTATTACTCACGGCACGGCAAGCCTCGTGAGCAGCAGTTCATTTGCATTGTTTTCCCTTGGCCCTGAAGCCTTATGGGGCAGTGACGGGTGCAGATGAAGGCTGCACCTGTGGCCATGTTTGCACTGTAGCAGAGGAACACTGAGTTTGGGGAATCCACCGATTTTGTAACAAGCACTAAGCAAGTCTATTCTTTGTCCTGGAGGGGGTCATGACCTTATCCTTCAATGTTGCTTGCTTCAATTATAGCCTTGAGAAGTGGCCTGAGTAAAGTGCTGTCAGCATCTTGCACTTCTTGGCAAACCCAGCAAAGCATGAGGAGACACTCAGAGCCAGTGGTGGATTGCCTCTTTCAACATTATAGAATAAAAACACCCAAAAACCCTATAAAAAGTCAAGAAGATAGGAGATTTTGTGGGGTTTTTTTCCCAAGAAAGAGCAATGATTATATCAATTAGTCCTTTATTGGTAAAATGAGGAGGCTGCACTAAGTTATCTTCAAGATTCTCTTCGATAGAAAATTCTAAGATTGTTCTAACTTGGTCCATTAACCAGGATTCAGTGGGCATCACAGATGTCTTGAGGTCTTTGAAAGTATAAGTCAACAAAACTAATGCTGTCCAATAGAACTTTCTGTGATGATGAAAACGTGTAAAGTCTGTGCTGTCCTATGTGGTAGTCCCCAGACACACTTGAGATAAATGAGTTTTTAAGCACTAGAAATGGGGCTAGTATAACTGAGGGACTAAATTTTACATTTTATTTCATTTTAATTGATTTGAGTTTCTTTTTTTTTTTTTTTTTTTGAGATCGAGTCTCACTCTGTCATCCAGGCTGGAGTACAGTGGCGTGAACTCAGCTCACTGCAAGCTCTGCCTCCCGGGTTCACGCCATTCTCCTGCCTCAGCCTCCCAAGTAGCTGAGACTGCAGGCACCCACCACCATGCCCGGCTAATTTTTTTTATTTTTTATTTTTTTTTATTTTTATTTTTAGTAGAGACGGGGTTTCACCATGTTAGCCAGGATGGTCTTGATCTCCTGACCTCATGATCCGCCCGCCTCGGCCTCCCAAAGTGCTGGGATTACAGGCATGAGCCACCGTGCCTGGCCTGATTTGAATCTCAATGGTCACATGTGGCTAGTGTCTACCATATTGCACAGTGTAGAAGACTGTCCACTTACTTATCTAGTCGTTTTTTCCTTTAGTTCAACCAAGTGGCACCCTTTTGTAAGGATAGACATCTGTCTATTTGGCATGACTTCAATGGGCTGGGAAGACAACCCTATCTCAAATATTTTTTTTCCCACAACGTCAAGTGCCAATATTTCAAATTCTGTATTAGAGATCCATTCTTTTGACTCTTCTGCCAAAATACACATGCCCCTGAAAGTGTTATCAAAAGCCATGACCAGGAATTTGTGCAAACATGAATTTACTCGGGAGCAGGCTTTGATGGAACAGAATAGAGAATTGGAAGGGGGCTGGGTGCAGGACCCCGAAGTTGAGAAAGCCCAGAAAGGGAGGCAGACAGGTCACCATACATTTTTGATTAGAGCTATTCAGCTAAGAGTAGCAAAAGTGAAGGGTTTTGACCATGTTGCCATGTCAAGGTAATAGACAGGAAACTGTATCTACATGTCACCACAGTTAAGAGTTGAGTTCTACTGAATATTGGTTAACTGATAAACAATAAATAGTAGTGCTGGCTAAAATCTGGGAGTACAGAATCACGAGTTTCTTCCTGGATTGTGGTGTGATTGCCAGGTACACTTCAGAGTGGGCAAAGGAACTCCTTTCTTTCAGATTTTCCAGCTTAAACAAAGTATATATGACCATTTTCTAATTAAGTCATTTATTAAAGATGTAAGAAAGTTCTACTCTGTTTCATCAGCTCCAAATTAAACAATTGCTCAAGGTTTTTATTCAGGGTTTTAAAGAGAAGTCTGGCCGGGCGCAGTGGCTCATGCCTGTAATCCTGACACTTTGGGAGGCCAAGGTGGGCAGATCACAAGGTCAAGAGATCGAGACCGTCCTGGCCAACATGGTGAAATCCCGTCTCTACTAAAAATACACAAAAAAAATTAGCTGGGTGTGGTGGTGCATGCCTGTAGTCCCAACTACTTGGGAGGCTGAGGCAGGAGAATCGCTTGTACCCAGGAGGCGGAGGTTGCAGTGAGCCGAGATTGCACCACTGCACTCCAGCCTGGGGACAGAGTGAGACTCCATCTCAAAAAAAAAAAAAAAAAAAAAAAAAAAAAAAAAAAAGGTCTGCCCTAAAATTATGTGATTCTTCTCTAAACTACAGTTACTTAATGTAAAACCATCTTGTATCATGTCAAAAGATAAAAATACTCTTGTTAAGATCGTGTGGCAGACTTTATTCAGGACTATGGCAATAGGTATAGGAATTACTGGAATGGGGCTTTGCAGTTGGGGAAAGAGACTGAGCTCAACTTCAAATACAACAAGGAGAAGTGTGGATTCGTAGCCAAGGAGCAGAGTGGCTGGGGTGGGGTGTCTGAGTGGAAAACTACAAAATGGGAGAGTAATTCTTGCTAAACTGACTCACCAGGTTTCCTGGTGATGCCAGGCCAGTGTTGTCAGACATCACCTGTGGGGTGGTGAGAGGGATGAGAAAGGTGATTAGATATTGAGAGTGATCAGATATTGAGGGTGGGAGATTTGGGTTAAAAGCAAATTGGCAGGATTCTTGCTAAGCTGGACGATGAAAGACCAAAGGTCAGGCTGGTTGAGCAGAGAGCTTAGAGTAGCCTGACCAACATCTGGTCATAGGGAGAATCTTTGTCCATCATGTCAAAGTTCTTTCTTGGAAAAAATAAATTATGTAAAGATCCTTGAACTGGAAACATCATAGAAAAATAGAAATGTAAGAGAAATTGTCATTCTGGTCAGGATCTAAATGTACTAGAGTAAAACCAAAGAAGAGTAAAAAGGGAAAAGTGAGAGAAGAAAAAGAAAAATTTCCCAAGCCTCTCATTTAGGGAAGAACTGTTGTGGGGAACCCCGCGGTGGTGTGGGAGGGAGGGTGGGGAGAAAGAACCATGCAATCGCTCATCTCACTGTTGGGAATGGGGGAAAGTTGGAAAAAGAGGATCTGGTTTTCATATAACAGTGTGAAGGCATGATTTTGATTGTGAGGGCTAGGGAAGTTGAGCTCTCAAACTCATAAAAGGGAAAGCAGGAAATAAGAAGGAAACTGATTAAAGCAGCAAAATAAAAGAAAAAAAGATGAAATAATGTGAAATAAATAGTGTAAGATA